>NC_000010.11:99385519-99688549 GCF_000001405.40 Homo sapiens | reverse complement strand
ATCTTTCATCTTGTGATTTTTTTCCCTTTTAAAATTATTTGCATCTTCTAAATTTCCTCAATGAATAGAAATTAATTGTATAACAAATGTCTAAGAAGTATAAATCATCTGAATGTCACGAAGATATCGAAAAAAAAGAAAAAATGTAAATTTTGGAGTTCTAGTTCTGGGCAATCTTGTCTCCCCACTGAATACAAATATAAACTCTAGATAGAATGCATGGAGCAGCTTTCTGGAAACTCTGAAAGTAAATGATAATGAGCACACCGGGAAAGAGACCAGGGTTTAAACTACCACCAAGCCAGTAGTGAGTGTCCCATTTTTTCCCCCTCAGATATTACCTGGTCTAGACTTAAGAGCAGCTTGAAACATGAAAGTAAACACCAGGTGTGAACAGAGGAACTTCAACTCATTTTCTGGTCCAAAGAACAGAAAAAGGAATGCCAAAAGTTCAGAGAAAATAAGGGAAATCTCCTGCTTTTTTTTTCTTTCTTATTTTGTTCTCTCTAACCTTAGGCAACAGAGGTAGAATTTGAGCAGGTACCTAAAACTCTGAGGGCTTTGAATTCTTTTCTCTGACCAGAGAAGCTGTAGCTTCAAGACTGTGAAACAAATCCTATTGTTTATTTAGGCTCCCTCTGTCCTCCTACCGCTTGGCCCTGGATGCAGATGCAGTCATGAGAAGTGCATGGCAGAGAGTGGGCAAATTAAAGCCCTGGTATTCTGACAGGAGGATCATGAAAGGGAGCTCCAAGGAACCAGAAAGTGGCAGAGGGATCACAGACAGTAGGGAGCAAAGTTGTGTATGAACCCCTGGGCTCACCTCCAAGCTACAAATACATGGATCTGACCCTAAACAATATCCAAACAGCTCTGAGAGCTGAACTACAGGCTAGGCCACTGCCCAGGTTCCAGATTAGCCACTGGCTGATACACAGGACAAATCCAAATAGCAGTGGCCAAGGCTTTGAAAAATGAATGAATAGGCTGGGCACGGTGGCTCACACCTGTAATTCCAGCACTTTGGGAGGCTGAGGTGGGTGGATCACGAGGTCAGGAGATCAAGACCATCCTGGTTAACACAGTGAAACTCCGTCTCTACTAAAAATACAAAAAATTAGCCAGGCGTGGTGGCACACGCCTATAGTCCCAGCTACTCGGGAGGCTGAGGCAGGAGAGTCGCTTGAACCAGGGAGCGGAGGTTGCAGTGGGCCGAGACCACGACACTGCACTCCAGTCTGGATGACAGAGCGAGACTCTGTCTCAAAAAAAAAAAAAAAAAAAAAAAAAGAAAGAAAGAAAGAAAGAAAAGAAAAATGAACTAATAGAATCACGGGCCGGCCGCAGTGGCTTGCGCCTGTTATCCTAGCACTTTGGGAGGCTGAGGCAGGCGGATCACGAGGTCAGGAGTTTGAGACCAGCCTGACCAACATGGTGAAACCCTGTCTCTACTAAAAATACAAAATTAGCCAGGCATGGTAGTGCATGCCTGTAATCCAAGCTACTTGGGAGGCTGAGGCAGGAGAATCGCTTGAACCCAGGAGGTGGAGATTGCAGTAAGCAGAGATCACACCATTGCACTCAGTGTTGGTAACAAGAGTGCAACTCTGTCTCAAAAAAAAAAAAAAAAAAAGATTCACAGCCTACAGAAAGCAGCTCAGAACTTGAGATCAACTGCCTCCTAAAACAAAAAAAAAAAGTTCTCTTTGATTTAAACAGGACCCAGAGTCTCATAATGTAATATTCAAAATGTCCAGGATGGAATATAAAAATACTTGGCATACAAAGAACCAGGAAAATCTCAACTCACAAGAGAAAAGACAATCAAAAGATGCCAACTCTGAGATGACACATATATTGGAATTATCAAAGATATTAGAGCAACCATATAACCAAGAAATATGGGCAGTCCTACAATGAATGGAAAGATAGAAGGTCTCAGCAAAGAAACAGAAAAGAAAAGAAATAGAATATTAAGAAGATCAAAATAGAAATTTTACAACTGAAAAATGCAATACTGAAATTTTAAAAGGTAAATCTTTTCCCATGTATATGTCTGCAATTAGAAGACATATAAATCTCCTTCTCGTTTATAAGAAATGGAAATATAATTCATCAAACTGGCCAATTTGGCTGCATGAGAACACATATTCACTCTAAAAGTACAAACCCAATAGTGTGAGATTCCAGGGAATTATCAATACTGCATAGTAATTGCAATGAAGGCATAACAAAACAAAAGTAACTCATTCTGATCATCCCTTGGAATTAAAGTTTCTCCTTACTTTAATAATTTACCTTACATTTGACTTTGACAAACTCAATACAACTCCTAGAACTATATATGTTTTCAAAAGTACAGTTAGCTAACCAAATATCCAACTGAAATCATTAAATACTAATACATTCTTATAAACATATTGCTTAGTACTAAGTTAAAAAGAGATATACATTTTTGACTTCCAGAACCAGCATTCTAAACAGATGCCAATGCAAAATATGCAAATAATCAAATCAACTATGTAGCAGAATCAAGAAAATTATTGGCAGAAAAATTAAAATCCGATATATAGAATAATTCTAAACACCCGTTAGAGAGGCTGTGCCATGGTTGGCTTAGAGGTTAACCAGCTGCACCCCTTAAGGCCCAGTACCTTCCTGCTTCCCAGAGATCACTTCTGCTTGAGACTGTGAAAAGAGGAAGTCAAACTCCAGTGGTAAATCTTTCACTAGGTCAGCCAAGATAGCCAACTGCTTCCTGCAAGAAAGAACAAAAAATCCCAAAGTTAGTCACTAAACTCTCTTCTCATAAACTGCCTCAACTTGTCCTTCTACTTAGCCTTGTCATGACCTCACTGTTCACCTACCTCATCTACTTGTCCAGCCCTGCTTCTTTTTGGTACCGCCTTTGATTTTAAAAGTTTAAACTGCCTCCAGGTATAGCCTCCTACCTAAAAGGCAACATGGTAATAGTAATACTTTCCCCTTATATGATGTTATTATTCAAAGAGTGTTAAAAGATGAGGCTATGAGACTACGGTTCTATGACTCTCACAGGCTGAGTACAAACAAGCCACAGGAAACTGCAGCCAAGTTGCATAAACTATAAAATTGATGTAATTACATTATTCCTCACTACTGTAAAACAAAGATGTTAAATTAAGGAACACAATCTCATCCTCAAATCTTACACAACATAGAAACAATGCTTCACATTACCACACAAGATGTACTGTTGGTTCCACAAGTTTTAATGTAATCCTTTACATAAGCTAACAATTAACTTTTTTTTGAGACGGAGTTTCACTCTTGTTGCCCAGGCTGGAGTGCAATGGCATGATCTCGGCTCACTGCAACCTCTGCCTCCCAGGTTCAAGTGATTCTCCTGCCTCAGCCTCCCAAGTAGCTGGGATTACAGGCATGGATCACCACACCCGGCTAATTTTGTATTTTTAGTAGAGACGGGGTTGCACCATGTTAGTCAGGCTGGTCTCGAACTCCTGACCTCAGGTGATTCACCTGCCTCGGCCTCCCAAAGTGCTGGGATTACAGGTGTGAGTCACCTTGCCCAGCCACAATTAACTTTTTAATCTCCTTTTCCATATTTCAAGGGTTGATTTTTTTTTCATTGTGAAAATCTTACCATTTGAAAACCCTAGATCAGGATCAAAATCCAGAGGACATAACAACATTTCCAATTTGGGGAAAACACTTGAAACTTTGTATCTATAGGGTTGTCTTTCCTCTAACATTTTAAGCATGTAATCAATATTATCAAGCAAAGGAAAGCAAAGAAACAAAGCTAGAAGTAATAATATGCATCTAGAGAAAATGTTAGTTAAAATAAGACAAGTTATCTTGGATTAAAAAATATTCAATACAAAAATATTCTGCTGGCTCAGACAGTTGTCAGTACTACTTGATGAAGAATGTTGTTAGCACTTCAAAGTGAAGATCTATATTTGAAGTAATAATCTTCCAGTATAATGTCAAGTATAGTTTCTTAAAAAAAGTTCATTGTTATACATATTAAATTCTTGCAATAAGAATTTCAAATGGGGACCAAGAAGGGGTATTCTTCTGTCCCTATTGGATATGCTTCTAAACTCCTCAAAGAGAGGGTTCGTTGGTTTTGGCAATGATATGGAAGAATGGGCAACAACATATGTTGCTGTTAGTTATGCAAATTACTAGTACAGGCTGGGTGCAGTGGCTCATGCCTATAATCCCAGCACTTTGGGAGGGTGAGGCACATGGATAACCTGAGGTCAGGAGTTTGAGACCAGTCTGGCCAATATGGTGAAACCCCATCTCTACCAAAAATACAAAAATTAGCCAGGCATGGTGACAGACACCTGTAATCCCACTCGGGAGGCTGAGGCAGGAGAATCGCTTGAACCCGGGAGGTGGAGGTTGCAGTGAGCCGAGATCATGCCACTGCACTCCAGCCTGGGCGATAGAGGGAGACTCCATCTCCAATAAATAAATAAATAAATTACTAGTACAACCTTTCTAAAGGGCAATCCAGGACCATGCTTCAAAATGTTTCAATGTGTTTAACCTTTGATCCAGCTGTTATACTTTTAGAAATTAATTCCAAGGAAATCATCAAACAATAAAATAAAGAAGAGAAATACTGCAGCATTATTTATAACAATGAAAATTATTTATAACAATGAAAAACTGGAAATACCATACCATAGGGATTGGTTAAATAACTTATGGCACAGCCATGCAATGTAATACTATACAGATGTTAAAAGAAATGAAGTCTACTTATATCTACATGTATAGACATGAAAAGATAAGAGATGTCCAATACATTTTACAAAACAGTATGTATAATGTGATTCCATTTATGCTAAAAAAACAAAAACCCAAATCATTCTTCATGTATACATAGTGACAGGATAAAGCTTTCATCTTCTAAAATTCAATATTGTTTATTTATTTAAAATGCTTTTAAAATGGCGAAATGTTGATAATTGTTAAAGCTGGGTAGTGGGTAAATGGGGATTTACTGCACTGTTCTCTTTACTTTTATACACAAGTGAAATTTCCTAAAATAAAAATTATTATTTTATTAAACACCACCTTGTATTATGGTGTAATTTTTAAGGGATTTTTTTTAACTGCAAAATAAAAGGGAGGTAGAAAAAATTCTGTTAGTCCAGGCCTTTGGCAAAGAAATAAAACCAAATGCTAATAAATTCAAAATATAGTCTAAATGGTTCAACCCTATTTTGAATCTGCTTACAAATGCTAATAAATTAGCAAACCTTTAATCATACAAAACAGGTTCTTATACTGATAGTCACATTTATGCCAACAACTCGCTTGGACTTAGAGGCAGCAATGATTTTATAAGCCTAGAACAGATGTATGCATTATTTAGAGAGGTGACCAGAAAACAAGTTGAAAGAGAAAAAAAAAAGGCAAATTTCTTTAAAAATTCTTTAGATACAATAAATATTAATATTCAGAGTTTCCACATTGACAACTAACATCTTAGACAAAAAGGGTGGAGCTACACAGTGGGTTTTGTTTGGATGGAAACTTCTTTGACAGAGGTAATACCGAACAGTGCCAGGAGGTGAGGCAACAATCTCCTTTCCTCCAAACACACTAAAGGTAGCCAAACTACCAAGTGGGTTCCTCTGCCCAGCTCAGCTGGTCAATTCTGCCTTTTTAACCTCCAGGTCAGCTTTTTCTCTGGCCTCCCTCCCCTTTCCTTGGCCTTTTATAGACTTTGTGATGTGGCACCTGCTCTTGTGTCATCTATATTCTTCCCAGGGTTTCTAAAATTTTTGAACAATATGAATATCACCTATGTCAAATAAAAATTCTTAATTGCATGCACAGTATGATTGCAACTTTGTGGAAATTACATATATGTGAACAGAAAGGAGGGAATACAACAAAACGAAACAGTTTTGATAGGGTAGCAGGGTTGTAAGTTGTATTGTATTGTTTTGTTCATTTTTAAGATTTCCCTTAAGGAGTTAAGGCTGCAGTTACAATATTTAAAGTTTGGTTTTAAAGATAAGTAAAAACAAAACAAAAAATTTTTTAAAGACTGAAATGTATGGGGCAATAAGGAACTAAAAAACCTCTCATGTTGACAAATGGCTATATAAATAATCTGCTTCTCAACAGTAAACCAGTCAGTAAACCAGTAACTGTGAAAAAAAGTCCACTGAAAGAAGCATTGCTGCTATATGTTATGTTGTCTACATGTCTGACATAAGCCTTGGAGCCCTACATGTATGGCTGAGGTTTTTGTTGTTTGCTGTTGATTTAAGGAAAGAAAGCCAACTATAAAATTTAAACGTTGTAAAAAAAAAAAAAAACTGCTGTTGACCAAAGGAAAATATTTAAGCTAATAAGGAAATACCTGATGCCTATGAGACCATGAACATTCCAGGAGGATGAATTCTAAAGTTAAGGTTGGCAATGGTCTCATTGATATGACACCAAAAGGCACAGGCAACCAAAAATAAACAAGTAAGACTATATCAAACTAAAAATTTCTGTACAGTAAAGGAAAAAATTAACAGAGTAAAAAGGCAAGCTACAGAATGGGAAAAAATATTTGCGAACTATACCTTGGTAAGGGGTTTATCTTTAAAATATTTTAGAAACTCCTACAACTCAACAGCAAAAATCCTATTAACCCAATGTAAAAATGGGCTAAAGACTTGAATAGACATTTCTCCATTCACAGAAATGGCCAACAGGCATATGAAAAGTTGCTCAACATCCCTAGTCATCAGGGAAATGCAAATCAAAACCCCGATGACATATCACCTCACACTTGTCAGGATGGCTGTTATCCAAAAAACAAAAGACAACAAGTGTTGGCAGGGCTGTGGAGAAATTGGAAACTCTGCATACTGCTGGTGGGAATATAAAATGGTGCAGCAGCTCTGCAAAACAGTATGGAGGTTCCTCAAAAAATTAAAAATATAGGCCGGGTACGGTGGCTCACGCCTGTAATTCAGCACTTTGGGAGGCCAAGACGTGCAGACTGCTTGAGCCCAGGACTTCAAGAACAGCCTGAGCAACATGGCAAGACCCCATCTCTACAAAAAAAAATACAAAAAATTAGCCAGGCATGGTGGCACATGCCTGTGGTCCCAGATACTTGGGAGGCTGAGGTGGGAGAATCACCTGAGCCTGTGAGGTGGAAGTTGCAGTGAGCCGAGATCATGCCATTGCACTCCAGCTTGGGCAACAGAGCGAGACCCTGTCTCAGTAAATAAATAAATAAATAAATAAATAATCAAACTGTCATATGATCCAGCAATCCTACTTCTGGCTAATTATTCCAAAGATTTAAAATCAGGATCTCAAAGAGATATGAGCCCTCCCATGTTCACTGAAGCATTATTTACAATAACCAAGATGTGGAAACAACCTAAATGTTCACTGACAGATGAATATGTAAAGAAAACATGGTACATACACACAGTGGAATACTATTTAGACTTTTTTAAATAAAAAAGGGCATTCTGCAATATGTGACAAGGTGGATGAACACTAACGACAATATGCTAAGGGAAATAAATAGGCACAAAATTTCAGTTAAGCAAGATGAATAAGCACTGAAGATCCACTGTACAACACTGTACACACAGTCAACAATAACGTATTGTATACTTAAAAATTTGTTGGGCCAGACATGGTAGCTGACGCTTGAAATCCCAGCGCTCTGGGAGGCTGAGGCAAGCGGATCACTTGAGCCCAGGAGTTCTAAACCAGCCTGGGCAACATGGTGAAACCTGGCTCCACAAAAATTAGCTGGGTGTGATGGTGCCCACCTGTAGTCCCAGCTACTTAGGAGGCTGAGGTGGGAGGATCACTTGGGCCTGGGGGGCAGAGGTTGAAGTGAGCTGTGATCACACCACTGCCCTCCAGCCTGGGCAACAGAGCAGACCCTGTCTCTAAAAAAAAAGAAAAAAATCTGGTTAGAGGGTAGCTCTCATGTTGTATGCTTACCACAATAAAATAAAAATCATTAAAAAAAAAGTCAGGGAGCTCATTCTTCCCCCGGCCTACGTAAGTATGGACGGATCAAGGTGGTACCAAAGGAGAGAAATCACAAACAAGGAGTCTGGCCTAAATACAGCCTTCTCTTCCTCTTCCTCTAATGCAGGAAGAGGGATCAGGTGGCAAGGTGTCAGGCTGAATTGCAAAGGTCAAGTGGAAATGATGTGACTGGCTGGGGCTGAGAAAACAGGCCTAAGGCAATGGAGACTGAGCTTTGCAGTAGCAGCAAGAAGAGGGACTCCCCCAGTTATTGCCAGGGTTCTAGGCAGAGTTACAGAAAAGGTAGTGTTCCTACCAGAGCTCTCTGACTAGTCCCTAAGTATCCAGGTCATCAGGTGACCCTCTTCCTAATTTATTCTGTAATTATGTTCTCTATGTGCCCGATGATCCAAATCTATTACCATCACCACTACTCCCAACCCTCAATCCAAACTAAGAATCACTATAGTCATCCCAGATAGATACTGATCCCAAAGCAGCAAATGACAAGAAGTTGGGAATGAATGATTGTGTCATAATTGGGTTTAGGGGTATAGACCAGGGAACCACAGAGGACAGTGCATGAAACTGGCCTTTCATCTCTTGTGCCACCGTTTTCCTGTGTTTCCTGTACCCTGCATCTCACCTCTCAGGGAGAAGCCTCATGCCTGCTGTGCAGAGGATGTAAAGAGGGGTCTCCTTGTGCTTCTTCACAGGCACATGAGCAGCAGCAAAGCTCAGCAGAGGACGAAGGTAATCACTGGCATGTTCTGGAGTGTCTGCCATTGCAGAGATTCCTTAAGTTAAAACAAACAAACAGACAAAACTTTCTTTAAAAAGCGGCTCACATAAGACT
Organism: Homo sapiens; assembly: GCF_000001405.40. Classification (NCBI taxonomy): domain Eukaryota; kingdom Metazoa; phylum Chordata; class Mammalia; order Primates; family Hominidae; genus Homo; species Homo sapiens. The sequence continues at coordinate 99,679,665 of NC_000010.11, read as the reverse complement.
CAGGAAACTGATACCCTATAAAGTTCTCCTCAAGGTCCTAAACATTTATTTATTTGAGAGGTAGGGGGTGACAATGAAAGAGATATCCCTCCCATTACCCAGACTCTCAAGAAGAAAGGGGTAGCTTGCTTTCTGCTTCTTTTGTCTCCTCTTTCATGCCTTAAAAGAGACTGACAACAAAATATATTCTGATTAGTACCTGGCTTGATTTTTTTAACCACTGGTTGGCTGTTGCGGTCTCTCATCTGTTTGATGTCCAGCAAGTCATGGGGGTTCCCATTATGTCTTGGCCAGAAATAAACAAAAATCCGGGAACCACTGCTGCCACAGTCAACAACAAGTCCATAATTCAGATTTGGGTCTTCAGTGTCAGTAGCTTCAAGCTCCCCTACTCGAGCCAAATACCTAAGTCAGGCAAAAAGAGAAATCAGTGCTAAGCAGTCAGGTCCATGAAAGGCGCCCTCACTTACTTCATTTGTTCATGAATCTTCATTAAGTGCCTACATGTGCTAAGCACATGGGACTACCAGTCCTAACCAATGAGTGAAGCAATATTGACAGATTTACTGATGTGCTTGAGACAATAGCTGGTTCACTTGCCTAGAAGCCACTGAAATTAGATGACTAAAAGATGTCCCCACGTGTGGGGGCAGCTCTGAAACTGGCTAAGGTAGCAATCTTTTTTCAAGCATTAGAGCTTGTAGCCCTGAATAAATAATTGGTTTTTTGTTATATGCTATTAAGTTTTGGGGTAGCTTGTTAACGCACACTAGATAACTGAGACAATCTTAATCACTTCTTTTCTATCTTTCTGTATAGATGCATCCAGAATATTGTGGAATGATTTCTCATTTAATGAGTTTCTGGGAGGTGATTTTTTTTTTTTTTTGAGACGGAGTCTTATTCTGTCACCCAGACTGGAGCGCAGTGGCACGATCTCAGCTCACTGCAACCTCTGCCTCCCAAATTCAACCAATTCTCCTGCCTCAGCCTCCCAAAGTGCTGGGATTACAGGCATGAGCCACTGCACCTCGCCTGGGTGGTGATATTTTTGATTGGGCTTTTTGGTTTTGCTTTTTGTTTTGTATTTATATTGCTAGAATTGCATTAAAAATGTAATTCATAAAAACAATAATTATTCTTTTCTACAATATTTTATATATATACATATATCTTTTTTTTTCTTTTTTCTTTTTTTGAGATGGAGTCTCGCTCTGTCTCCTAGGCTAGAGTGCAGTGGCATGATCTCAGCTCACTGCACGCTTCGCCTCCCAGGTTCATGCCATTCTCCTGCCTCAGCCTCCCAAGTAGCTGGGACTACAGGCACCCGCCACCACGCCTGGCTAATTTTTTGTATTTTTAGTAGAGACGGGGTTTCACCGTGTTAGCCAGGATGGTCTCGATCTCCTGACCTCGTGATCCGCCTGCCTCAGCCTCCCAAAGTGCTGGGATTACAGACGTGAGCCACCGCGCCTGGCCTAAATATTTTATAAACATAAAAAGAATGATAATAAAATATGTATAGGGTATAAAGAATAACAATAAAACAAATGCCTGTGTACCTACCACCAAGTTTAAAAAATAAATTATATTTTTAAAAAATAATAATAATAATTCTTGGCCCCTAGGACATTAGTATTTTGTGTTGGAATTTTTTCAGATTCTCATTCCAAGATATCTGGCTGGCTGACATCAGGAAGATGAAACAAGTAAAGGTGTTCCATGAAACATAGCAAGGTTTGAATCTCAGCTCTATTGCTTTCTATGCTGTGTGACCTTAGGCAAGTTAATAAACTTCTCTCAGACTGTTTCCTCATCTGTAAAACAAGGAGAGTGAAGGGTATCTACACTCACAGAGATCATACACATAGCAGAACTGTGCTGCCGCTGTTAACAGAATAATCATTGGGAAAGTAAATAGTAGAAGACTCTGAGGAAAAAGGCTTAAAAGTTCAGAAAATAAAGAAGACTAAGAGTTGATTAAAATACTTCTGAGCACTTGGCTGGGCGCAGTGGCTCACGCCTGTTATGCCAGCACTTTGGGAGGCTGAGGTGGGCAGATCACCTGAGATCAGGAATTCGAGACCAGCCTGGCCAACATGGTGAAACCCCATTTCTACTAAAAATACAAAAATTAGCCAGGCATGGTGGTGGGAGCCTGTAATCCCAGCTACTCAGGAGGCTGAGGCAGGAGAATCGCTTGAACCTGGGAGGCGGAGGTTTCGGTGAGCTGAGATCGTGCCACTGCACTCTAGCCTGGGTGACAGAGCGAGACTCCATCTCAAAAAAAAAAAAAAAAAAAAAAAGCTATCTGCCCTGCTCATCCAACATTGTCTTTAAAGCCAACTCCTAGATCTCCAAGGCTCTTACACAGAACCCCTCAGAACCAGCTTTTGTGATGTCTGAAGCTAACAGAATTTGGAAAGCCTTCTTTTAAAAACAAGATTCAGCATTACAAATAGAAAAAAAGCCCATGTAAGTGAGGGGCTTTAAGGTATAGGGATCATTAGCTTCACAATAAAACCACCCCCAATCAGAACAACAAACCACGCATCACGCTCCTGAAACCAATCTAGCCAGTGTTTATTGGTGATTTCACATCGTTAGACAAAACCACACTATTCCTTATTTGGGCAGAAAAGCAAACTTGATAAAAAGAAGTGCATGTAGAAATAATTCTGAAATAAAAAAGTAGAGTACCTTTCCTATATTACAATGCAAAATGCATTTTTTTAAAAAAGAGAACAGGGAACTGAGCTTCAATATAATGTAAATTATTACTGAGAGTAGGGGTAGGTAGAACTTTTTTTCTGGATCTGAAATGGTAGTGAGTTGAGGGAAATGAAGCAGATGGTAAAAATCTGTTACATAACAGAAAGTTTCTAATGCTAAAGATTCCATTTCACCACATATCTTCCCATAAATCAAATCACTGGGCTGAACTGGGCTAGAATCCACCAATCAACTAGCAACAGCTCACTTCTATCATATGAGAGCTGGGCAAAAGTCTGGGTTCAAGTCACAGAACTCTTGCAAATACTGACCTCACAAAAGGCCAAAGATAAAAAAGAAATAGGCAAGATAATCCACCCCCATTCCAAAGTGACTTTTCATTTCCAATCATAGCAATCTTTCTATTTCACATGCTTCACAGAATCTTCCTGCTTCCCTTCTCTGAAAACCACCCACTCTGCTTGTCTCTTGCAAGATTCTGGATCCCATCCCCTTCTGCATAATGAATAACTTTTCTCTAGTGCGCTGGTTCTCAAATTTGGGGGCCTTAGGACTCCTTTATAATCTTAAAACTTATTGAACCCCAAAGAGCTTTCATAGACATAGGTTGTATCTATCTATATTTACTATATTAGAAAATAAAACATAAAAATGTTAAGTATTTCATTTAAATAAAATAAACTCATTACATATAAATATATTTTTATAAAAATAAGCATATCTCCTAAAACAAAAAAATAGAAGAGTGGCATTGTTTTATAATTTTGCAAATATCTTTAGTAGCCAAACTAACAGAAGACCCTAGATTCTCGCATTTACTTCCGTATTCAATCTGTTACAATATATCAAAACAATACTGAAAAATTTCAATTTTCAATTTTCACACAAATTGAAGCATTTGTGTGAAAATCTAGCCTCACACAGACACACTGTTGGAAACAGGAGGAGTATTAAACAGCCCTTTCAGATCATTCTGAATACTCTTCTTTGATACTATACTAAAACTCAACAAGTAGCGTTTCTTAAAGATTAGTCACGATTGGGCGCAGTGGCTCATGCCTGTAATCGCAGCACTTTGGGAGGCCGAGGTGGGTGGATCATGAGGTCAGGAGGTAAAGACCATCCTGGCTAACATGGTGAAACCCCGTCTCTACTAAAAATACAAAAAATGAGCCAGGCGTGGTGGCGGGCGCCTGTAGTCCCAGCTACTCGGGAGGCTGAGGCAGGAGAATCACTTGAACCTGGGAGGCAGAGGTTGCAGTGAGCCGAGATCGCACCACTGCACTCCAGCCTGGTTAACAGAGCGAGACTCCATCTCAAAAAAAAAAAAAAAAATTAGTTGCAATTGGAATCTAAACCCCACCCCACCCCACCCCCCTAAAAAAAGATGAGTTGCAATTGGAATCTAAAACCCTATCTAAAAACTTTTCATACTCTGTTACATTAAAATCCATTAAAAAACATGGGTTTAACATGCACTTTGAATGGCTGTTATCCAAGCATGATTTCATAACATCATCTATTGGAAAATAATTGGTTCACTGAGTTATGCAAATCTTCCTAACACTGATACATTTCATTCTACAATCCTTAAAAAAAAAAACACACATTCATTAATATCACTACCAATCTTACTCAAAAAGTCTTTTAAGTATTGGGAAGCTATCCAATTTCACAGTGGCAGATACAGTTTTCCAAAATACTAATTTTCACTTGGAAGTTCAAATTTTAACATTGGCAATAAATACTGAAAACTGTTTTTCATGAAGTGACAGGTTTATTTCACTCATTTTCAAGGAAATGTCTATAAAATACACAAGTCTGAAACCTTAGTTTTTCTGGCAGTCATTCTTTTAACTAAAAATAGTGTTCCATGATAAAAGCAGCTGGGTTTACCTCATAATTCAAAAAACTGCCCAAGTGCTTTTACTCTAGACAACTTCAGCATATAGCAGAAGTGCTTAATACCTATTTCCCCTTTCATCACATAGAATATTGAAAAGATATTCATAAGTGGAACTGAATCTTTTCTTCCAATGCAATTGTGTGGCAATGAAGAATATAGTAACTACTAGTACAATGTGGTGCCTCTATCTTGATTTGCACTAAGGCATTATTAGCGGTTTTACCTGCCATTGCTTTTGCACCATCAAAGCAAGTATCAATCAACTCAGTGAAAAAGGTAAAAAACATGACAACAGTCAAGAGATGGAAGCGACCCAAATGTCCATCAACAGATAAATGGATCTACAAAATGTTGTATATACATACAATGATATATTATTCCGCCTTAAAAAGGAGGAAATCCTGTCACATGTTACAACACAGATGAATCTTCAGGATATTACGCTAAGTAAGTAAGCCAGGCACAAAAAGACAAATACTGTATGATTCCACCTATATGAGGTATCTAAAGTAGAAACAGAAAATTTAATGGTAGTTACCAGCAGCTCGCTGGAAAGAGAGAGAAAAGGAGAGTTCATTAATGGATACAGAGTTATGATCTGCAAGATGAAAAAATTCTGGAGATCTGTGTCACAACAATGTAAATATACTTAATACTACTGACTGTACACTTAAAAATGGTAAATTGTATATGTTTGAACCATAGTTTTAAAAGGCAAAATAACATTTTAGTACTATTATAAAAAATAGTTTCACCCTCACAGACTCCCAAAAGTGTCTCAGAGACCCTCCAAAGGCCACTAAACACTCTTGAGAACCACTGTTCTAATACAGCCTTCCTTTTCTCTTTAACATCCATCTGCTTCTCTACCTACTCCTTCCCCTCTCCTGTCTCCTTGGACATGGCTTCTCAGTTCTTAAAAAGCCTCTACCCAACAATGCTGACTGGTAGTACCCAGAATGATTTGAAAAGGCCTCTTCCTTCTGTTCTAAAATGTGGACGTCAATATTCCCTGTTTATATTTCAGTATGAGCCCCTAAGATTTCTTTCATATTTGCTTGCTCTACCTGTTTAGACCATAAGTTTCTCAAGAACATGTACCTTATCTATACTACCTTGATATTGTCACAGAGTTTCTCATGTTTCTCTGCCCAAAAGATGTATCAAATAGTATTGATTGGTTTGGTCCTAGAGCTCACAAAATGGAGCTGTTGGTCTGTTAACTCCTCCGTGTCTTTGTACAGCTCTATTCAAAATCAACTGGTCTCTTTCTTAGAAAGTTTTAATTGCTTTCCAAATAAAGTATCTTGTTATCCTCTCTGATTCCTGCCAAAATAAGGAACTTTACAGCTCCAGTTTTGGTGCAACTCAACTTTTCTTTCTCTTCCTTTCGAAGTCTCCATGTGTGCTTTGGCTAAAATGTCAGCTGACCTTTGATCACTAAAGAGGAAGATAGGCCTAAATGGCATTTATGCAGTGGAAAGTCTCCATTTTTCTCATTGTGCATACAAACTAGTAACTAAAGAACAGTTTTCCCCTCTGGGCAGTAGCCATATTACCTTTTCCTGGAACTCTGACCTCTTATGACCTAATCAGGTTTCTTACACTTTCAACCAACTAGAAGCCTTCCTCTATTTAGGCTCCTAAAATGAATGGATCACCAGACCTTTCATGCATTTTTTCATATATAGTTTCTTTTTTTTTTGTCATATATAATTTGTAGCCATGGCCTTAGCCATCATGGCCAATTATTTGCATTGCTGGACCCTCCTGTTTTGCCGATGCCACACTAGCCAATCTCTAAAGAGGACCAAAAGCCCAAGAGAAAAGTCTCAAAAGCCTTGGCATCCCTCACATCCACCTTCCCTAAAGAGGTCTGATTCACTGTCACACATACTCACCCCAATACCATACCCACACACACACCTCCTCTGTTTAAGAAACATGATTTCCTTCTAGTCACTGCTGAGTCAATGAAAAGAAAGTTACCCACAAATATATCACCCAGGGTGGAATTGGAAGACAATGGCTTTTCACTGCCATTATCCTGAAAGCATTAACAGCGTTAGAGCTGTAACTAAGCAAACCATTACCTAGCTTACAAAATCAAAACTAATTATACCACTTTAGAGTTCAAACAGAGCTCAGTGATGGGCCAAAAGTCAATTGAAGTAGCCCCCATGAGTATGGGGCTACTAATTCTTTGCTGAATGTCATCATACTCTTCAACTCTCTTCAAAGCTCAGAACCAAATATAATGATATTACAGTTAAAGTAGCTGTGCATGACTGATGATAGTAATACATACCCAGAAAAGTATATTGTAAGATTACTGCTTGCCTCCTAACAAGATTAATCAGAGCAGTCAGGAACATCTATAATTTAAAGTCCTGCTCAAAACACCATTAAGATCAAATAAATGGGCTGGGTGTGGTGGCTCATGGCTATAAGCCAGCACTTTGGGAGGCCAAGGTAGGTGGCTTGCTTGAGCTCAGGAGTTCAAGACCAGCCTGAGCAACATGGCGAAACCCCATCTCTACAAAGAATATAAAAATTAGTCGGGTGTGGTGGTGCTTGCCTTTGGTCTCAGCTGCTTGGGGGACTGAGGTGAGAGGATTGCTTAAGCCTGGGAGGTTGAGGCTGCAGTGAGCTATGATCACGCCACTGCACTCCAGCTTGAGTGACAAAGTGAGACCCTGTTTCCAAAAAAAAAAAAAAAGATCAAGTAACTGAATAAATGTGGGACAGACACAGTGGCTCATGCCTGTAATCCCAGCACTTTGGGAGGCCAAGGTGGAAGGACTGCTTGAGGTCAGGTGTTCAAGGCCAACCTGGGCAACATAGTGAGACCCCTGTCTCTAAAAATAAAAAAAGAAATTTAGCCAGGCACGGTGGCATGCACCTATAATCTCAGCTATTAGGAAGGCTGAGGCAGGAGGATGGCTTGAGTCACTCTATAAATAATAAAATAAACGTGAATAAATGCTTTCAATTTCACCATCAAAAATCTCTGAACTGTTCTATTGCACATAAGAACCTAATCATTTCATCTGTATATGCTAAAGAGCATTCTAACCAAAAGCAATGCTTCTCTTTGACTTGCTTTAATTAAACAGAATTGAAACACCTATGGAAGGCCAGTACCAAGCCAATTGCTGACACAGAACCTCTCATTCAGTTATTTCCAGATGGTAAAGGAACATGAAGGCACCACCTTTCAATAGCTACAAAAGACATTCTTCAGACAATAGTTCAACCAGACAAAATTTTACCCACTAATGAAGATAACAGTGAGGCTACCAAAAAGTGAACAATATTAAACATGAATGTGAAAAAGGAAAGGTATTAAACAGAACATTTAAGAACAGTTTACCACAGTGTCTTGTACACTATGTATACATGCTAGAAGTTCCTCTTACACAGTCACGCACTGCATAATGACGTTTCAGTCAACAGCAAACCACATGTACAACAGTGGTCCCATAAGATTATAATGGAACTGAAAAAATTCCTATTACTTAATGATGTCTTGATGATCCTGATCCTGTGCAGGCTTAGGCTAATGTGTGTGTTTCTGTTTTCATTTCTAACAAATAAGTTTTAAAAGGAAAAAAAACTTTAAGTTTTTAAAAATAGAAGAAAACTTATAGAATAAGAATACTATAAGGAAAATATTTCCCTATAGCTTTACAATATGTTTGTGTTTTAAGTTGTGTTAGTCCAAAACAGTCAAAAAGTTTTTAAAAATTTCAAAGCTTAGAAAGTGGAAAAGTTACAGTAAGTTAAGGTTAATTTATTATTGAAGAAAGAAAAAAATTTTTAAATAATTTTTAAATAAATTTAGTGTAGCCTAAATGTACAGTGTTTATAAATTCTACAGTAATGTCCGAGGCCTTCACACTCACCACTCACTCACTCTGAGAAACTTCCAGTTCTGTGAGCTCCATTGATGGTAAGTGCCCTATACAGGTGTACAATTTATTTTATTATTATTATTATTATTATTTTTGAGACAGGGTCTTGCTCTGTTGCCCAGGATGGAGTGCAGCGGAGCAATTACGACTCACTGAAGCCTTGGCCTCCTGGGCTCAAGTGATCCTCCCGCCTCCGCCACCCAAGTAGCTGGGGCTACAGGCATGGACCACCACACCCAGCTAATTTCTAAATTTTCTGTAGAGATGAGGTTTCACCATGTTATTACCTAGGCTGGTCTGGAACTCCTGGGCTCAAGAGATCTGCCCACTTCAGCCTCCCAAAGTACTGGGACTGCAGGCATGAGCCACCATACCAGACCCAATTTATCTTTGATACCATATTTTCACTGGACCTTTTCTATTTTTATATATGTTTAGATACACAAATACTTACCATTGTGTTGCAGTTGCCTATAGTATTCAGTGCAGCAACATGTGTACAGGCTTGTAGGCTAGGAGCGTATACACCACACAGCCTCAGTGTGTAGTAGGCTGTACCATCTAGGTTTGTGTAAGTATTCTATGATGTTTACACAATGATGAAATCACTTAATGATGCATTTATTAGAACATATCCCAATCATTATATAACACACGACTGTATGAAAAATTAATAAATTTTAACAATTACCCAGCATCCACAGCAGAAATTAAAACATGGTACACTTAGCACTGTCAACAGAACTCTGTGAAATGATGAAAATGTTCTCTATCTGCACTGTCCCATATATCCACATGTGGCCACTGAGCATTTGAAATGTGCCCAGTCCAAGTGAGGAACTGAATTTTGTTTCATTTAATCTTAATTAATTTAAATTTAATTAGCCACTTGTGGGTAGTGACTACCCTATTTGATACCACAGTGTAGACACTCGATAATTGTTGAATAAGTAAACAGATAAATGAATAAATGGATATAAGATATGTATTGAGTCTGAAGAAAATATTGGAGCATGTCTTATGTGGCACATGCCAGAAAAATAGTTGATTAAAACACACATCTCGGCCGGGCGCAGTGACTCACGCCTGTAATCCCAGCACTTTGGGAGGCCGAGGCGGGTGGATCATGAGGTCAGGAGATCAAGACCATCCTGGCTAACACGGTGAAACCCCGTCTCTACTAAAAATACAAAAAATTAGCTGGGCCTGGTGGCGGGTGCCTGTAGTCCCAGCTACTTGGGAGGCTGAGGCAGGAGAATGGCGTGAACCCGGGAGGCGGAGCTTGCAGTGAGCCGAGATCGCACCACTGCACTCCAGCCTGGACGACAGAGCAAGACTCTGTCTCAAAAAAAAAAAAAAAAAAAAAAAAAAACCACACATCTAACACAAGTATTATTCTCAAAAACAGCTCTGCTGTGCATGTGTAGGGTCAGGGGATATGTGGTAAATCTCTGCACCTTCAGCTCAAATGAGCTGTAAAACTAAAATGGCTCTAAAAAAAGTGTATTAAAAAAAACACAGTTTTGGATTCTATCCTTACTGACACCCCATCTCTCTAAATTTACTTTTTTTGTATCAAATAAATTCTAGTTTTGATGCAAACTTCCTACTCTCTCTTTCCAGAAGCAATATGGATACATGTTCACAATAAAGAAAAAAAATGTAAGTCTTTAGTTCTGGAACTACTGAGAGAAAACCCCCTGACAGGCTTCTAAAGTCCTGGTTAATATCCCCTGAAAAGTGATATGTTAAATTCCACCAATGCCTATAAAAAGTTCACATTGAAATATCTGTTTTCAATGCAAAAGTAATTAAAATATTTTAAACATTAACTGCTTTCATATATATTAAAATACAAAGATGCAATGTGCAAGAGAGACTATCATTTCTAATTAAAGCAATGCCTTATTTGTCAAGACCATAAAACAATGAATGGGCCTAGGACAGTGGCTCACATCTGTAATCCCAGCACTTTGCGAGGCCAAGGCAGGTGGATTGCTTGAGCCTAGGAGTTCATGACTACGCTTGGCAACATAGGGAGACACTGTCTCTACAAAAAAAAAAAAAAAAGATATATAAAATAAAATAAAGAATGCATGTAGTGTTCCTCTAGGCACATTTTCCTGATCAAAGGTTTGCAAACTTGCTCCCATGAAGACACGTGTAAGTGGGTTCCTGGAAGACAGCACACTTTCTGAGGGACACCACAAAGTACGGATATAATTTCACTGTGTGAATTAGGAACAATTTAAGTAGAAAAAATATGTCTATATATGAATATAATATAAAAAAATCACAACTACAGGCGCTTGTGTTAAAACTTTTTTAAGCTGTTAAATTAAGGTAGCAAGTGTTTCTACCAATTCCTAGTTACTTGCTTAATCATTTCATCAAAATTTTAAATAGAGATTATAACGCCCATTATCTTCAGTGTATATTTTCAGGCAGAGAAGAGAATTGGAAAACAGAAAAATCAAGATTATTTCAAATAATAGATTGACATTTGATTAGTCAATCAATGCACCTGACATTCCTAGATGCTCTACTCTTCTTATGCAAATGACAAGACTAAAAGACAGCTATTTTTATTCTCACTTTATATATAAAGAATATGAAATTCCAGGATATTAAGAAACCTGCCCAAGATTACCCAACTAGCAAATGATGGGCTGATTAACTCTAATATTAACATTCTTTCCCTTACCTCACAATACCTCCTTAAGTAAATGTAACCAAATCTTAAAGCAGTTTTTCTCAACCCAGGTGGTATATTAGATTCACCTTGAGAAGAGTCCCAATTATTTGCATTTTTCTAAAGGTCCCCAAGTGATTTAGATACACAAAGGTTGAAAACCTCTGATTTAAAATTATCATTAATGGCCAGGCATGGTGGCTCACGCCTGTAATCCCAGCACTTTGAGAGGCTGAGGTGGGTGGATCACATGAGGCCAGGAGTTTGAGACCAGCTTGGCAAACATGGTGAAACCCTGTCTCTACTAAAAATACAAAAATTAGCCGGGCATGGTGGTGCGCACCTGTAATCCCAGCTACTCGGGAGGCTAAGGCATGAGAATCGCTTGAACCTGGGAGGTGGAGGTTGAAGTGAGCTGAGATCATGCCACTGCACTCCAGCCTGGGCAACAGAGTGAGACTCTGTCTCAAAAAAAAAAAAAAAAAAAAAAAGATTATCATTTCATTAACATAAATTTTTAGACTATGTAATAAAACAGTTTTAACAACATATGTAGAACTGTTTACCACTATAGAAACTGTCTGTAGAAATTTTGAGTTATTGAGTCTATCTTTATTAAATTTCCTCTCTCCTGCTTCACTGTCAAGATGCCAGATATAACTGATTATTGTCATAATGTGCCCACATCTAACAACACACCCCACCCACCATTCCAATTTGCTGTTATCTACTGTGTTCTGAGACAAGTGAGAACCATGCAAATGAGAACAGTGTGTAAAATAAAAGCTAACAGGCTTTATGTGAGAGCCTATCTTATCAGTAAAGTACAGGTGCTTTTAGCACATGAACTTAGTGATATCAAATTTGGTTGCTCAAGAACTTCTTCTGTTTAATTTCTGATTCTTAGCTTTGTTCCTAATTCTTAACCTTGTACATAGTTCCTGATTCTTCACTCCTGATTCTATACAACCGTACCTAAACTATTATCTCACTGGGAAATAATTTTTCCTTTATGCCTGCCTCTCTAACTAGATTACGAACTCCTTGAGTTCAGGGGCTATGTTTAGTCATCTTTGTACTCCAGTGCTATCATAGAGTCATCGACACAGCAAACCCTCAATAAATGTTTGCCTCTTAAATGACTCATGGAGGCTGCCCTGAGTGAAGTTTAATGATAAATGGTCATTTGTGGCAATATATACAGAACCTTTCATTAAGTAACAATGAGCTCTGAGCCACAGCATTCCAGGGTGTTAGGACTTTGGTGAGGTCGCCACAGTGGCACAGTCTATGTGTTCCTCAGCTCTATTGCTAACTTGTTTCAATTAATTCAACCTACCAAGTATTTATTGGCTCTGACCACTTGGGATACAGTGATAGACAAGAATTATCAGATCACTCTGCCACCCACATACATTTAAATGCTTTTACCTCTCTCCATCCTCTTGCAACCACAACCATCTCTCTATTGAGGTACAGTCATTGACTTACAATGGTACAACTTATGATTTTTCAGCTTTATGATGGTGCAAAAGTGATGCACATTCAGTAGAAAGTATACCGTGAGTATCCACACAACCATTCTGTTTTTCACTTTCAGTACAGTATTCAATAAATTACATGAGATATTCAATACTTTATTATAAAATATGCCTTCTGTTAGGTGGTTTTGCACAACAGTAGGCTAATGTAAATGTTCTGAGCACCTTTAAAGTAGGCTAGGCTAAGCTATGACATTTGTTAGGTTAGGTGTATTAAATGCATTTTCAACTTATGATATTTCAATTTACATAACCCATCATAAGTCAAGGAGCATCTCTAGTTCAATTACTCTTCCTGCTTTCTTTTTCATTCCTCTCCAATTCTTTTTCCACAATCCCACCAAAGTGAGCTTTCTTTAAGAAGCAGTTCTGGCTGGGCACGATGGCTCATGCCTGTAACCCCAGCACTTTGAGAGGCCGAGGCAGGTGGACTACTTGAGGCCAGGGATTCGAGACCAGCCTGGCCAACATGGTGAAACCCCGTCTCTACTAAAAAATACAAAAACTAGCTGGGCATGGTGCCACATGCCTGTAATCCCAGCTACTTGGGAGGCTGAGGCAGGAGAATTGCTTGAACCTGGGAGGCGGAGGTTGTAGTGAGCCGAGATAGCGCCACTGCACTCCGGCCTGGGTGACAGAGTGAGACTCTGTTTCAAAAAAAAAAAAAATTAAAAAGCAGTTCCAACCTTTTCACTCTTCAAAACCTTTCAAAGCCTTCCTTCTGCCCTGAGGGTAATGCCTAAACCCTCTAAAATAGCTTAACAGACTCAGCTTGATCTAGCTCTCCAGCCATACAGCTCACCATTCACTCCCTAATTGTCTTTAGCCATATTAACTAACCTACATGGAAGTCCATAATTAGACCATGTCGTCTTCAAGTGAGAAACTATGCGCAGGTCTGTCAAGAAAATTCCATAAGCATTAAACAAACTCAAATTATGGATTTAGGTCTCCAAATTTAGTACATTTCTTAAGGGCAGTTGTTGATTACTATAATCATCCAAACAGTGTTTCCTCTTCTGGAAAGGAAAAGAAAGTCGAGGCTGGCATGGTACTCATGCCTGCAATCCCAACACTCTGGGAGGCCAAAGCAGGAGGATCGCTTGAGCCCAGGTGTTCAAGACCAGCCTGGGCAACATAGTGAGACCTCCATCTCTATTTCAGTAACGTTTAAAAAGAAAAAAAAAAAAGAAAAGCAAGCCAAAAATACAAATGAATTGGGCTGCTAGAAGAAGGCAAGGCTGAAAACATAAGCTTCTTGAGAAAATGTACCAAAGTCTCTGTATCTGGTGTCTGATGCCTATTATCGTCTGCACATAGTGGCTGCTCAAATTTTTGTTGAATGAATGAATGAATGATGAATGAATGAATGAATGACCAAAGTGAATGGGAAATGAGAAAATCTGGGGACAGAATCCAGAAATAAAAAGGAGGGTAGGCATGTGTCCCAATTCTGACCAAAAAAGATTCCAGGAAATGGTTGTTAGAGGTTTCTGGCAAGGCTCTTCTCCATTCTTAGAAGAGAGTCATGGAAAGCCTTTCTGTCTCCTACGGGACATAAGTGAATATATATGCTGCCCTGGTTGCTACTGTCTGCTGTTTTTCTTCTCTTTTTTTTTTTTTCTTTGAGACAGGGTCTCACTCTGTCCCCCAGGCTGGAGTACAATGGCGTGATCCCAGCTCACTGCATTCTCTACCTCCCCAGGCTCCAGTGATCCTCCCACTTCAGCCTCCTGGGAAGCAAGGACTACAGGTGCATGCTACCATGCCTGGCTAATTTTTATATTTTTTTGTAGAGACAGAGTTTCACCATGTTGCACAGGTTGGTCTCGAACTCTTGAGCTCGTGCAATCCACCTGCCTCCGCCTCCCAAAGTGCTGAGATTACAGGCGTGAGCCACCATGCCCGGCAGTCTGCTGTTTTTCAACCATTAAGTAAACTGACACTGTGGACAACAGACAGGAGAGACAGAGCCTCTCATCCTGTCAGCCAGTGTTGAACTTGTAGTCCTTCTACCCCTGGACTTCCAGGTATGTGAGCATTCTTATTGTTTAAGTCAATGTGGGCTGTTATTTGCAGCCCAAAGCCTCTTAACTAATACATATCTGAGAAGCAATAAAAAGAAAATTTAGGCCAGGCATGGTGGCTCACGCCTGTAATTCCAGCACTTTGGGAGGCCAACGTGGGTAGACCACAAGGTCAGGAGATCGAGACCATCCTGGCTAACACAGTGAAACCCCATCTCTATTAAAAATACAAAAAATTAGCCAGGCATGGTGGCATGTGCCTGCAGTCCCAGCTACTCAGGAGGCTGAGGCAGGAGAATCACTTGAACCCGGGAGGCAGAGGATGCAGTGAGCTGAGACAGCGCCACTGCACTCCAGCCTGGGCAACAGAGCAAGACTCTGTCTCAAAAAAAAAAAAAAAAAGAAAATGTAAATATTTTAAAAATGAGGCCAGGCACAGTGGCTCACATCTGTAATCCCAGCATTTTGAGATGCCAAGGCAGGAGGATTGCTTGAACCCAGGAATTGAAGGTTATAGTGAGCTATGATCGCACCACTGTACTCCAGCCTGGGTGACAGAGTGAGACTCTGTCTCTAAAGAAAAAAATTTTTTAATAAGAAAATCATGTTGAAGATAATGAACATAACATGCCATTATTTAATTTTGTAGCTTCATCAAAAACTAATCTCAAAAAAATAGCAAAATGAATCACTGCTATAAAGAAATATAGACCTTCTGTGCAACTGGTATAGCTAAAAGTATATAAAATAATTCAGATGTACTATCTGTGAAAAAAGATGTCAAACTTTCACTGGATAGAACAGTAGATTAAACACTACAGAAAAAAATACTAACAAATTTGAAAGCAGCAAAAAAATATACGAATGAAACACAGAGAGAAAAAAGACTGGAAAAAAAATGAACATCAGTGAGCTGTGGGAAAACATCACATAGTTCAATATACATGTTACTGGAGTCCCCAGAGGAAAAGCAGGGGAGAACAACAACAACAAAAATCTGAAGAAGTAATGGACAAAATGTTTCCAAATTTGATTAAAACTACAAATCCATAGATCCAAGAATCAACAAATCACAAGCACAAGAATCAGGTAAGCAGGGCACGGTGACCCATGCCAGTAATCCCAGCACTTTGGGAGGCCGAGGCAGGAGGATAGGTTGAGCTCAGCAGTTTGAGACCAGCTTGAGCAACACTGCGAGACCTCACTTCTACTAAAAATCAAAAAAATTAGCCAGGTATGATGGCATATGCCTGTAGTCCCAGTTACTCGGGAGGCTGAGGCAGGAAGATAGCTTGAGCCCAGGAGATTGAGGCTGCAGCGGGCTATGATTGCACCATTGCACTCCAACCTGGGAGATGCGCGAGATAGTCTCAAAAAAAAAAAAAAACAAATAAAATCATGTAGAAAACAACATCAAAGCACATCACAATCAAATTGCTTAAAACCAGTGATAAACAGAAAATTCTAAAAGTATTCAGAGGAAAAAGATACATTCTATACAGAGAGAACAAAGATTAAAAGGACAGCAGACATCTCAGAAAGAATGCAAGCCAAAAGACAGTGAAGCATCATCTTTAAAGTAATGAAAGGAAAAAAAATGATCAACCTAGAGTTCTATACCCAATGAACATTTCTTTCAAAAGGAAAGCAAAATAGGGACTTTTTCAGTCATATAAAAGTTGAAAGAATTTATCACCGCATACTTGCTCTACTAGAAATGCTAGAGAATGTTCTTGAGGTAAAAGCAAATATGGAAATATGGATCCAGATGGAAATATGGATCTACACAAAGGAATGAAGCAGACCAGAAATGGTAAATATAGACAAAAGTGACTCCATCTTGGATGTTAATCTGCCACATTGACTTCTGACTAGCCTCAGTCCCGTAAATGCCTCTTGATTCCTGCTTTATTTACTACTGTAAGAACATGTCAACCTTGGTGTTGGCACACAAATGACAGGATATGGCACATGCAGCATTCTTACCTGTTCTGGAGGGCTGTCTTTAATTGTCTTGCACAGGGTGCATATACCATCTCCCTGTACTATATAAGCCCTGGGTCTGGGGAGTAACAGTATGGAGATCTATCTGTCTTGCAGCTACCCAGGGCCACGCTTCTGTCTGCAAATTCCCTCAATAAATCAATGAATACCAACGAACAATTTGCCTGCCTCCTCCTTTGGTTTCTCCGTCCCTTCAGCATTCAAGGGTCACTTTGCTTATATGACCCTTTCAGGCAACAATATGGTTAAATACATAAGCCTTTTTTTCTTATATTGAAAATCTCTTCAAAAGACAATTGACTAACACAAAAATAATAACAATATATTGTGGAGCTTATAACATGTAGAAATAAAATACATGACAGTAGCAGAAAGACCAAGGGGAAGGGAGGAATGAAAGTATACTGTTGTTAGGTTCTTGTTCTAGATGTGAAGAGGAGTAATATTACTTGAAGGAAGATTGTGATAATTAAAGATGACACTATAAACTTTAAAGTAACCACTAAAAAAAGAAGAAGTTATATCTAATAAGCCAACATGAGAGATAAAATGGAAACATAAAAACTGTGCTCAACTGAAAAGAAGAGGGAAAAAGAGGAAAAAGAACAAGAACAAATGTGACAAATGAAAAACACATAGCAAGATTAAAACTAAACATACTAAATAATCAGATTAAATATAAATGGCCCGAACACCCCAATTAACTGCAGAGATAGTCAGATTGGATAAAAAAACAAGACCCAACCAAACACTGACTACAAGAAGCCCACTTATATAAAGACACCAATAGGCTAAAACTAAAACTATAGAAGAAATATCTGTCATGCTAATGTTAATCAAAAGAAAGTTGGAGTAGCTATATTAATACCAGACTAGTAGATTTCAGAGCAAAGTATATAATCAAGGATAAAGAAAATCATTTAATAATGATAAAGGGGTCCATTCATAAAGGTATAATACAGTCCTAAACATTTATACACACAATAAGTTTCAGCCCACCAAAACAAGAAAACACAAAGATGCCTTTCATGCAGTATCAGTATTCCTGTACCAAACTGCATATTGCCAAAATAGGGCTTAAAATCTTCTTTATGTAATAAATGGCATGCAATTTTACTAATAAAAGTACAGTATCACCCAAAAGGGTCAAAGTCAGTAGTGTGTTAAACAGCTTATGAAAATATTTATGACTTGAGTGCCAAAATCTAAAGCTGACTCACCTTTCGTATTGCCTATCTCGTGGTAATGAAGCACTCCAATGTCGAAAGTCTATGATTAACATAAGTAAAAGGAGACAGGATATGAAGAAGAGTCCCAGGAATGCCACCCGCTGACGGAGAAATGGACTCACTGTGGGCACAGTGAAGTACCAGGAGGCTGGGCAGAGGTAGGAAAAACTGATCCTGAAATTAGACAAACATTAGTAAGTCTGAAACATTTCTACAACTGAGTGCTTAAATATCGTTTTAAAATTGGATAAAACCCTCCTAATAAAGGCAAAAATCCATGCCAACAGAAGTCTAAATGTTCTTGTCATCTCTAATTTTAGAAGAAGCTCATGGTGCTTCTACTATATATATCAGAAAAGCCTTATCTGCCCTTTTTCCAAACTGCACTTTGAGTGCAATTCAAAGACTTAATCTCATGTTAGTGAAAAGATCACCAGTCTCCCTGGGCAACCTCATAACATTGGAGAATCAGAGCAACTACAGTATTCCCAACCAAGAATTCTGTCAAGAAACAGGATGGTCAGAAAATTTATTTAACTGATTTTAAAAATGTTTTACCAGATTATACAAGCACATAGTAAAAGACAAATCAGTTTAAAAGGATATATTGTATAGTGAAAAGTGATTCTTGCCCTGACCCCACAATCTCTCAGAGGCAAACATTACTACCCAGTTGCTGTGTAATTTTTTTTTTTTTTGAGATGGAGTCTTGCTCTGTTGCCCAGGCTGGAGTGTAGTAGCGCAATCTCAGCTCACTGCAACCTCCACCTCCTGGGTTCAAGCGATTCTTCTCCCTCAGCCTCCCCAGTAGCTGGGATTACAGGTGACTGCCACCACACCCGGCTAATTTTCGTATTTTTAGTAGAGACCGGGTTTCTACTTGGCCAGGCTGGTCCTGAACTCCTGACCTCAGGTGATCTGCCTGCCTTGGCCTCCCAAAGTGCTGGGATTACAGGCGTGAGCTACTGCACCTGGCCGTTGCTGTGTATCTTTCCAGGGATATTCTACGGATACACAAGCATAAATATACACCAATATATTTACAGTAATATATCTCTGTGTGTGTGTGTGTGTGTGTGTGTGTGTGTGTGTGCGTATCCATTCCCTCGGTTTTACACAAATGGTAGTCCACCATACCTGCTGTTCTGCATCTTTCCCCCACTTTATTTTATAACTTTCCCTTATTGGTGCATGTAGATCCACATTAATATTTTTTAAAAGCTTCAGGTTATTATAATGTATGGATAAGTGTATTCATCTGTGAAGTTCACTTTGTATATTGATTCAAAAGGACCTCGGTCTGTCTGCTTTTAAAGTTCACTGCAAACAAAAAACAAAAAAACTTCTTTGTTTAACCTCCTCAAGTGGCACCTAGCCTTGCTCAGATGCGAATCTGAATCAATGTTACAACCTTGCACTTTACAGAGCTGAGCAAGCCGACTCACTCTACCACTCCTGGTCTATGGGCTAGAAACTATTATTTATCAGCCCTCGAAATAATACAACTTTGATCGTCTCTGCATCCAACTAACCAGAATACAAAGTCCAAGTGCAGCTCCAGGGCAAACCTCACTTGGGACAGCCTCCCAGGGCCCCCCAACCTGCCTGCCATCCTCTGCCGTGCTCCCAGCCGGAGGGAAAGTGTGCAGCCTTACCTAGCCATGGGTTCCCTTCGGTGGTCTCAACGCCTGTCACCTTCTTTTTCTTTTGCCCTGAGAAGGTGGCCTCCTTGTCCCAGGCATCTCCTACGTCTGCAGCCTAGAAAGATTTGATTTCAGGCTTCTGTCCGACTGAGCCCACGAGACAAACCTGCACGGGAATTCCACGGCTCCCACCTCCTCCCCAGGCTCCCGCTCCGTCTGCTCTGGTTCCTCAGGCCCAGGGGACCCTACCCGGGCATCCTGGGAGCGGGGCGTTCTCGTGGGCCAGCTCTGTCCTCTAGGAACCGGTCGTCCCCAGGTGGCGGGGTGTGGGTCCCGCTTCCTCTCCCCGTCCCTCCGGGTCCCACAGCCCTCTCGCGCCCACACTCACGGGATCAAGCGGCCCGCCGGTTCCTTCGGCACCTCTCGGTTCAGTCCCGAGCTGCTCCCCGCGGCCCCTTGCCCAGCCGGAAGGAGGGCCCGGCCGGCGGCGGCGCCACGTCCCCAAGGAAACCGCAGGGAGCCAATGACTGACAGAAGACTCACGGAGGGGCCGGCTCTCCACGAGCCGAACCGGGGGCGAACCAGCTCGGTCAGCAGCACGTCCGTCCGCCAGGGTGGCCAATCCCCTAGAGCGCTCGGCCTCTGATGCCCGCCCCGGGACTTTGAGCCGCGCCCAATCGGAAAGGCGTCGTACCGAGGCTCCGCCTGCAGGGCCCGCGGAGAGCTCACAGGTGAGTGGCGCTGGGCGGCCCTGTGCCCGCTTCCCTCCCTGGGGCGCGAACTCTCGGCTGGTTGCTTTCTCCACGGCCGCTCCTGGGACAGAGTAGCTCCGGTAGGTGGGTTCAGGGTGTTCGCGACCGAAGCGCATCCCTTGCCCATAACCTATTGTTGGTTTTGTGCCCACTGACCCTCCCTACCAGAATGGCAGTTCTCTCACCTTAAACCTTCCCTATCACCTCCCAAACTGATGCCCCGACCTCACTGTCTTGCCCCGTGAGAAAACAGAAATCGAAGACAATGACGTTTACACCAAAGTGCTTATGTCCATTCATTCATTCATTGAATGTCTGCTTATGCCAGTCATCATGAATTTCTGTGTCGCCGCCCTCCTTGACCTTACAGTAACACAAAGGAAACGACGCGCGCGCGTGGGTGTGTGTGTGTTTCTTTCTTGCTTACACCAGCCGTTATCTCATTTCCAGGAGGACGGCATAAAGTCCAAGCTCTTTCCAACGTGGCAC
Organism: Homo sapiens; assembly: GCF_000001405.40. Lineage (NCBI taxonomy): Eukaryota > Metazoa > Chordata > Mammalia > Primates > Hominidae > Homo > Homo sapiens. The sequence continues at coordinate 99,658,735 of NC_000010.11, read as the reverse complement.
ATCCATTGCGCCCCACGATCCGCCCTACCGCCGTCCTCTGCCGCTACTTGCCTTCCTTACCACGCTCCAGCAACGCGTCCTGTTTTGCTCATTCTGCCCCTCCACCTGCCTTGAATAACCGTCCCAGCCTCTTAGCCAAATCACCTCCTACTCATCCCTTACCACCCATCTTAAGGGTCGCCTTCCCCTAAAAGCCCTACTTGACCTACTACACCTTTTTTATACATGCCTATTGTTTCACTTAGCACGTTGAATTACTATTATACGTATATGTCTGTCTGTCTGTCCCACTAGACAGAATATCCTTGAAGGCAGGGACTATTTGCTTCCACATATTCCCAATACTGGCCACTGCCTGGCAGATAAAACACAACTAATGTATAATTAATAAGCAAATGAATGAATGGGGGGGATCGGGGAGGAAGACCACCCAAATGCTTTATTTATTCAAAGCTTACTATGACAAGGGAGTCAGTCACCATCACTTGCATTTGGCCGACTCAAAGCCTGTCAGGACATTAGGAAAACTACTTACTTACTTAATTACCTACAGGGTCTCACTCTGTTGTCATCCAGGCTGGAGTGCAGTGGTGCGATCGTGGTTCACTGCAGCCTCGACCTCCTGAGCAAGCGATCCTCCCACCTCAACCTCCTGAGTAGCTGGCTCTACAGGCACGTGCCACCATGCCCAGCTTATTTTTTTTTAATTCTTTGTAGAGATGGAGTCTCACTATGTTGTCCAGGCTGGTCTTGAACTCCTGGGCTCAAGCAGTCTTCCTGTCTCAGCCTCCCAAAGTGCTGGGATTACAGGGATGAGCAGCTGCACCTGGCCAGGAAAGCTTAGTAGTGAACAAAAAGGGAAGGTTTCATGTATACTCTGACTTGAGGGTATTAGCATGGGAAAGCTGGAGGTGGGCTAACAAAAGTAGTGTCTCTTAGGTGATTGGTTTGGGGTAGGTAGCATATTTGGCTGTCTTTAGTGGGTTCTGAGTTGAAGAAAGGAGGCGGCAAAAAACAGGGAAACTGAGTCATTGACCAAGTCCTGATTATTCTCGGCTGGTTGCTGTAGAGGTTGTGGGTCAGAGTTCTAATTGTCATATAAGATCTAGCCATTGTCCAGTTTCTATATTCAGTTCTCATGACTATTGTTTTTTTGGCTCCACTACTCTCCTAACCTTGTTGAACTTCCTAATTTGCCTTTCTTCTTCAATTCTCAGTTCTCAGTTTTTTTTTCTCTGTCCCTCAATCCCCACTCTGCTTCAAGTGTTATATTTTATCTGGACCCCCAGAAACCACATTGAATAGAATAGTTGCATAAAGTTGGGATTAACCACAACATTATACAGATACCAGTTATTTTTATTATTTCAGAACCCAGTTCAGTTCCTAGAACAAAATAGATATGGAAAGAACTAAAATAATGTTTTGGAGTAATTTTTAAAAATTTCTTGAATTTACCTTCTGTGAGTTCTAAGTCTAATCTCTATACATATATATTTCAAACTTTAGTGTTCCACAAAATAGGTGTTTTTGAGTGGAAGTATAATTCCTATTTTTAAAATAGTACTTAATTCCTATGGTTTATGAACTATATTAACTTATAATTCAAAAGTTCATTGAAACATCCTCTAATTTACATTTCATAACTACATCATAAAACAGAAAAGACCTACATTTTAATCCCAACATTTTTTCATTATATTTTCTTTGTAAAACTTTCTTTGTCAGTCTGGTTTGGACAATACTTCCTTCAATAAATCCATATGCCCTCAAGCATTTGTCAAGCATAATTCTTTACAAAAACCAGCAATGCTTATCTGGTTAACAGCTCATAGGGCTGAGTTCCGAGGTTTCCAGTCAGCAGGGCAAATTAAAAAGCACTGAGAGTATTTCTCTATTTCATTTGCTGTAACTCAACATGTTGCAACAAGTTATAGAAACCTATGTTTCAAAACAGGTTTTTAACTGCTCTTTAAAGGCTTGCCTTACAATTACATTTGCAATTTTTCTCCAGATGTGCTTGATGCCCAGCCCTGAGCAAAATCAGCCCAACAGGTCCCATATTAGGTGCTAGTTGTTTGCTTTGCTTCATTTCCCCTTGTGGATTCTCCTTCCCTCCACACTCCATCCCACCCTACCCTCTAAAGGAATTTGGAGGAGTGTCATGTGGTCTACACTCTCCCTTCCAAGTTTACCCATCTCTCTTCACCTGTCTTTCAGGCACCCCATTGTCCCAAATAAACTCATTATCTCTCCACTCTCATCATATCCACCCAAACCTCCTCCATCCATATTCTCCATCTTGACAAAATACCCTGTGATTCACCAGAGCAGGAACCTGTATGGGAGTCATCCTAGAATATCTTCCTTCTAACTTTCTTTCTCCCTTTCCATCCAATGAGTCACTAGGGGTGCTTAATTCAACTGCCTAAAATCCTCTCCAAGATCTTCTAATGAAGCCTTCCAACTGGTGGCCCTGCCCCCAGACCCATGCCCCTCCTGAGTGCCCCTTGATTCTGTTACCATTGGGAAACCTCATCATGCTACTTCCTGATCTAAAATCCTTCACTAGTTCCTTATTTTTTTTTAGCCCATCTTGTGGTCCCATAGTAGTTTCTTATTCTGACGAGATATAGTCCAAATTCCTAAGCATGGTGTGGCAGATCCCACTGACAGCCTATTCCAGAAGTACCTTCTTCCAGAAGTTCCTTATTATTTTTTTAGCCCATCCTGTGATCCCATAGTAGTTTCTTATTCCAATGAGATATGGTCCAAATTCCTTAGCATGGCGTGGGAGATCCCGCTGATAGCCTATTCTAGAAGTAGGCTCTCTCTTCTACCTTGTTAGCTTGACAAGTAACCACACTGAATATGCTTGGCCATGTGCTTGAAGGGTGCTAGGCTCCAACCTCAGTCCCAGGAGATAAATTGTGATTGTCTAAGTCAATCATGGTGGGCCCATACCCTCACAAAATATTGGTTTAAATGGGCATATGGTACAATTTTAGCTAATAATATGAAAGGGAAGTCAGCTGTTGAGAAGAATGCCCAGGGAGGAGGGAAGACATTTCTAGGGAAAGTTTTCTTCATCTTAAAAAGAGATACATTCATACCAAAATTATTGAAAGAAAAAAACGATACAGGTATAAGTCAATGAAAACTTTTCATAATGGGGCTGGGCGTGGTGGCATGCAGCTGTAATCCCAGTTACTTAGAAAGCTGAGGTAGGAGGATCCCTTGAGGCCAGGAGTTCAAGGTGTTTTTGAGTGGAAGTATAATTCCTACCTATTTTTTAAATAGTACTTAATTCATATGGTTTTTAAACTATATTAACTTATAATTCAAAAGTTCATTGAAACATCCTCTAATTTACATTTCATAACTACATCTCAAAACAGAAAAGAAACTACCTTTTTTTTTGAGAAGGGGTCTTGCTTTGTCCCCCAGGCTGGAATGCAGTGGTGTTATCTTGGCTCACTGCCACCTCTGCCTCCTGGGTTCAAGTGATTCTCCTGCCTCAGCCTCCTGAGTAGCTGGGATTACAGGCGCACACCGCCATACTCCGATAAGATCTACATTTTAATCCCAACATTTTAAAATTCTATTTTCTTTGTAAAATTTTGTCAGTCTTGTTTGGACAATACTTCCTTCAATAAATCCGTATGCCCTCAAGCATTTGTCAAGCATGATTCTTTGCAAAAACCTGCAGTGCTTATCTGATTAACAGCTCATAAGGCTGAGTTCTAAGGTTTCCAGTCAGCAGGGCGAGTTAAAAAGCATTGAGACTATTTCTCCATTTCATTTGCTGTAACTCAACATGTTGAAACAAATTCTAGAAACCCGTATTTCAAAACAAGTTTTTAACTGCTCTTTAAAGGCTTGCCTTACAATTATATTTGCAGTTTCCTCTGGATGCATGTTATGATTGTGCCTATCAGTAGCCACCGCACTCCAGCCTGGGCAATATAGCAAGAGCCCATTTCTTTTTTAAAAAAATTTATATAATGACCGAAAAAGAAGAGAAGGCCCCCTTTCTACTTCCAGGTGTGATCTTTTTGTTGTTGTTGTTGTTGTTGTTATTGAGATGGGTCTCACTCTGTTACTCAGGCTGGAGTGTGGTGGTGCAATCTCGGCTGACTGCAACCTCTGCCTCCCAGGCTCAAGCAATCCTCCTGCCTCCTGAGTAACTGGGACTACAGGCACACGTCACCACACCTGGCTAGTTTTTTGTATTTTTGGTAGAGACGGGGTTTTACCATGTTGCCCAGGCTGTCCAGGTGTAATCTTAAGGACATGATGCTTGGAGCTGCTGTAACCATCTTATAATCATGGGGGTACAAGACTGGGGATAACAGAATAGAAATACAGAAGCAAACTGGGTTCTTGATAACATCATCAAGCTGCTAAATTAAGATATTGGAGCAGTCTTACCTTGGGCTTATTATTTGAAATACTAAATTCCTTATTGTTCTTATTTTTAAGTCAGTGAATCAGAGATTTATGTTGTCTGTAGTCTCCTGATATGTGTGGCTTTCAATGTCTGATATTATCTAGCCCCCAACAGCTTCCAAGCTCACTAATAGATGTTGTCACCCAGAACCCTTACATATTTAAAGTTCTCAGAATTGATTATAACTTTTCTCACCTCTGAGCTTTTTTACTTGCTTTTACTCTGCATAACTAACTTTCATTCACTTCTCTACCAAATGAACTCCTACATATCCTTAAAAACTCAGCTCAAATGTTACCTCCTCCATAAGCCCCCAAGTCAGCTTACATGCTTCTTATTTTTTGCTCTTATAGTACTTTGCCTATATCTACTTCTATTAGGGCAAGCTGGCAGCTGTCTGACTGGACCTGATGCCACTGGGCCTGGTAGGAAGACAGAATATCTGTTTTGGACCTTAACAGGTATGTTTGGTCCAAAAAGATGGAATCCCTTGGGCTTAATCTAGATGGGAGATGTTTAGACCAAGAAGACTTAAATTACTCTGCAAAGTGAAATACAGTAATTTTGAGCATTCCCTCTAGAGACTGGGTTTGGGGAGCTCTGGCAAGGAAAAAAGAAAAAGAGATGAAAAAAGCGGAAGGATCAAGGCAAGATGGCAGATAAGACGGAAGAAAACGGCCCATGAGAGACTCTCTGTATTACTTATCTGTTGCTACATAGCAAATTACTCCAAAACTTTGCAGCTTAAAATAGCAATAAGCATTATTATCTCTCACAATTTCTGTGGGTCAGGAGTTTGGTTGCCCCTCAACTAAGGATCTTCTCATGAGGTTGCAAACAAGATGTCAGCTGGGGTTATAGGCGGCTAAAGTCTTAGCTGGAACTAGGAGATATCTTTCCAAGATGGCATGCATGGCTGGCAAGTTGATGCTGGCTATTGGTGGGAGGCCCCAGTTTCTTTTCACATGGTTCTTTCCCAGGGCTGCTTGAGTACCTTCATTACATGGTAGCTGGCTTCCCCCAGGGTGATCCTAAAGAGAACGAGCCAGGTAGAAACTTTATCCTTTGTATGACCTAGCCTCAGAAGTCAAATATCTTCACTTCTGCCACACATTATTTGTTGAAAGTGAGTCACTAACTCCTAGTCCACATTCAAGGGGAGGGGAATTCGGCTCCACCTTTTGAATAAAGAAGTATCAACTAATTTGTAGACATACTTTTAAATTACCGCAGTCCTTAAAATGAGTTTGGTCAGGGAACTTTTGGATATTCATAATGACATCATCAATGTTCAATTTTGAGTTTTGTGCTATGTTATAATCCTCTTCGGGACCCCAAACCTTCAGTTAAAGTCTGATAACACCACAGCTTTGTGTTCAGGTACTGTGAGGAATGAAGACATAGCAGAGCAGGGAGATGACAGCATCTGCAGAAAGTAAATTAACAAGTAGGATGATTGAAAATTTGAAAAATGCAGAAAATCAGTACCACAGGTCATTCAGAGAAGTAAAAGGCCCCTCCTCAGAGAGACCAGGGTGAGGTAGGCTGGGGTGGGGGTACAGTATGGCAAATTCTAAAAGCCCGTAGTACTTGAACAGAGGCATTGTGAGAAGGGAACGTAACCCCTTCTCTTGGTATCCATCCCAATTTTACTTGAGTGTGGACACCCTCCTCATGTGTAGCATGTCATTTGAGGATTCTGACTCCACTCCTGGCCCTAGGAATGGCACATGCAAGCCAGGCCTGAGGTATTGGGCAAAATCTCATCCCTTGGTCATAGCTACTGTTTCAGGAGTGGGCACATGGCCTAATTCTAGATAAAGAGACATGCTTTCTGGGACAAAAAAAAAGGGGCATTTGCTTTTCTTAAAGAGCATATGAGAGAACATTTCTCAACCACTTTCCTCTGTGTTCTCAGGCCCCCCTGCTTTCTCTTACCAGGACCCCTACCTTTCACCTTGTTCCCTTCCACCTCTCCAATCAGTCCCTATCTGGGTAAGGGGTCTTCCCTTAATTTCCAGGGGGTGGAACCCAGTGTTTACATTCTCTTCTGTCTCTGCCTCCACCCCATGCAGGACTTTGCGGAATCAGAAAAGAACCTGCTGTTGTACCTGGAAAAACAAAAGGAAGCTCTTTATGTACACACATGATAAGAACGCAGAGAAATATTAATGAGTAAAAACTGACAGTGACAAAAAAAATCTAACATCACTTATAAAAACTAACTTGAAATAGATCATAGTCCTGGATGTAAGAGCTAAAACGATAAAACTTATAAAAGAAAATAGAGAAGAAAATCTTGGTAGCCTTGAAATTTCTTAGATTCAACAGCAAAAGCAAGATACACACTCACACACCAAAAGAAAACCTTAATAAATTGGTCTCCATTGAAACTAAGAACTAGGCCAGGCATGATGGCTCATGCCTGTAATCTCAGCTCTTTGGGAGGCTGAGGTGGGAGGAGTTCACGGCCAGCCTGAGCAACACAGTCAGACTCTATCTTTAAAAAAAGTTTAAAAATAAAAATATATGCCAGGCATGGTGGCATGGACCTCTCATCCGAGTTACTCAGGAGGCTGAGGTGAGAGGATCATGTGAGCCCGGGAGTTCAAGGCTGCAGTGAGCTATGAATGTGCCACTGCACTCCAGCCTGGGTGACAGAGTGAGACCCTACCTCAAAAAAAAAAAAAAGAAAAGAAAAAGGCAACTAAGATCTACTCCTCTTCAAAACACACTACTAAGAGAATGAAAAGATAAGCCACACAGTGGGTTATCCTTCTGTGGGAGAAAATATTTGCAAATCACATATCTGATAAAGGGCTTGTATCTAGAATATGAAAAGAATTCTCAAAATTAAATAATGAGAAAGCAAACAACCCAGGTGTAAATAGACGAAAGATTTGTGCACTTCACCAAATAAGATATACAGATGGCAAATAAGCAATCTGTTCAAAAGATGTTCAAAATCATTAGTCATTAGAGCAATGCAAATTAAAACTACAATGAGAAGATGGCTGACTAGACACAGGTAGTATGTGCCTCCTTCATGGAGAGGAACCAGAAGAGTAAGTAGATATATTTTAAAGAGATTGTCTAGTAGAGAATGCTAGGACTCACCAGAGAAGTGATGGGAAGCACCAGAAGTAAATAAGGAGAGGGTTTGGGGACTGACTGAGAGCCCCAAGAGGCTCCTGGATGCTGGGAAACAATAAGAGAGAAATCCCTAGGGCTCCACACTCCAAAAAGAGCTTTTATGATCTTGGCTGTGCAAGAAAACCCCAACTAGCTTAGGACCTCAGGCCTGATATATGGAGCTGCCTAAAATTGCACAGATATATTGCTCCAGAAAAGAAATCCACATGGAATCCTACAGGCATCTGAGACTACAGCAGCCTCAGCCAGGCATTATTTTGATAGTCTAGATACCGGGGATCTACAGACATGGCTGCAGCTGTTGCCCTGCTCCAAAAAGGGAGAGGGGAGACCAAGTGCTCTCACACACCCCTGGGAGAGTCCCTACCACCCTTCTGTGGGCTGCCGTTGAGACTGAGACATGAACCCAGCCAAGGAGGATCAGGGAAACCAGGCTTTCCTATACGTATCTAAGACAATACCACTGCCCTGCAGTGGGCTGCTGTGTGACTGAGATGTGAGCGGATTGCATTTCCCCACAGCTTCTTGCTCACACTGCTTGCCTGGAACGTGCCCTACCCTCTCTGGTCCCAGGCCCAAGGCACCATTTTGAGAGTTTAATGTTGGGCTACATCCTGCCCTTAGGCTGAGTTCAGACTGATGCAGCTGCACCTGCTGCCCATCCAAGAACAGACAGGGAAACCAGGCTCTCCTACACATACATAGAACAATTGCCACTGCCCTGTGAGAGTTCAAAACCAGCCTGGACAACATAGTAAGACCCAATTTCTACAGAAAATTTTTAAAAATTTGCTGGGCATCGTGATGTGCACCTATAGTCCCAGTTACCCAGGAGGCTGAAGCAGAAGGATTGCTTGAGCCCAGGAGGTTGAGGCTGTGGTGAGCTGTGATCGCACCACTGCACTCCAGCCTGGGTGACAGAATGAAACCCTGTCTGAAAAAGAGAGAAAGAAATTAAGATGGAAATTTTAAAAAATTTTAAAATGAATGAAAATGAAAGCACAACATATCAAAACCTGTGGGATACAGCAAAAGCAATCCTAAGAGGGAAGTTTATAGCATTAAATATATATATCCAAAAAGTAGAAAGATTACAAAATAATGACTTAATGTCACATCTCAAGGAACTAGAACAAGAACAAACCAAACCCAAAGTTAGCAGAAGAAAAGATATAATGACGATTAGATCATAACTAAATGAAATAGGGACCAAAAAAAATCAATGAATGAAAAGTTGCTTCTTTGAAAATGTAAGCAAAATTGATAAGCCACTAGCTAGATCAAGAAAGAAGGGATCCCAATAAACAAGTGGATATGAAAAATGAGACATTAAAATGATACCACAGAAATACAAAAGATCATCAGAGACTATTATGAACAACTGTATGCCCAGAAACTAGAATACCTAGAAGAAGTGGGTAAATTTCTGGAAACATACAATCTTCTGAGATCCAACTAGGAAGAAACAGAACTCCTGAACAGACAGAACAATAATGAGTAGCGAGATTGAATCAGTAATAAAAAATCTCTCAACAACAACAAAAAAAGCCCAGAACCATATGGATTCACAGCCAAATTCTACCAAATATACAAAGAAGAACTATTGCTAATTCTTCTGAAGCTATTTCAGAAAATAGAGGAAGAGGGAAGTCTCCTTAACTCATTCTACAAGGCCAGTATCATCCTGATACCAAAGCAAGACAAGGACATGACAAAAAGTGAAAACTATAGACCAGTATCCCTGATGAACATTGATGCAAAAATCCTTAACAAAATATTAGCAAATCAAATTCAACAGCATATCAAAAAGATAATACACCATGATCAGGTAGGATTTATCCCAGGAATGCAAGGATGTTTCAATGTATGCAAATCAATAAATGTGATACATCACATAAACAGAATTAAGGACAAAAACCTATATGATCATTTCAATACAGACAAAGCATTCAATAAAATTCAGCATCCCTTCATGATAAAAATCCTCAATAAACTAGGCATAGAAGAAACATACCTTAACATAATAAGGTCATATATGACAAACCCACAGCCAACATCACACTTAGTGGAGAAAAATTAAAAGCATTTCCTCTAACTGGAACGATACAAGGATGCCCACTTTCAGTACTCTTATTCAACTTAGTACTGGAAGTCTTCACCAGGCCAATCAGACAAGAGAAAAAAATAAAAGGCATCCAAATTGGAAAAGAGGAAGTCAAATTATTCCTGTTTGCTGATGATATGATCTTCTATCTAGAAAACCCTTTGGGGTTTTTTGGCTCCTCCAAAAAAGCTTTTAGATTTGATAAATGAATGCAGTAGTTTCAGGATACAAAATTAATGTACAGAAATCAGTAGTGTTTCTATACAACAATAACAATCTAGCTGATGACCAAATCAAAAAGGCAATCCTATTTACAATAGCTACAAAAAAAAAAAAAAAAAACCTAGGAATATATTTAACCAAGGAAGTGAAAGATCTTTATAAGGAGAACTACAAAACATTGATGAAAGAAATAGTAGATTATGCAAATGGAAAAACATCCCATGCTTATGGATTGGAAGAATCAATATTGTTAAAATGACCATAGTCCCCAAAGTAATCTACAGATTCAATGCAATCCCTATCGAATTACCAATGTCATTTTTCCCAGAATTATAAAAAAATCCTAAAATTCATATGTAACCAAAAAAGGGCCTGAATAGCCAGAGCAATCCTAAGCAAAAAGAACAAAGCTCGAGGCATCCATTACTCACTTTGAATTATACTACAAGGCTATAGTCACCAAAGTAGTGTAGTACTGGTATAAGTATATACACATACATCAATGGAATAGGCTGGGCATGGTGGTGCATGCCTGTAATTCCAGCACTTTGGAAGACAGAGGGTGGATTACTTGAGGCCAGAAGTTGGAGACCAGCCTGGTCAACATGGTGAAACCTCATCTCTACTACAAAAAAAAAAAATCAGCTGGGCATGGTGGTGCACACCTGTAATCCCAGCTATTTGCAAGGCTGAGGCATGAGAATTGCTTGAGGCTGGGAGGCTGGGGCTACAGTGAGCCGATGTCACTCCACTGCACTCCAGCCTGGTGACAAAGTGAGACTTTCTGAAAAAAAAAAAATCAATGGAATAGAATAAAGAACCCAGAAATAAAGCCACATACCTATAACAAACTGACCTTTGACAAGCTCAACAAAAATAAACACTGGGGAAAGGACACCCTATTCAACAAATGGTGCTAGGAAAATTGGATGGCCATATGCAAAAGAATGAAACTAGACCCATACCTCTCGCCATAAACAAAAATTAAATCAAGATGGATTAAAGACCTAAATGTAATGCCTGAACTATAAACATCTTCAAAGAAAATCTGGGAAAAACTCTTCTGGACATTGACCTAGGCAAAGAATTTATGACCAAGTCCTCAAAAGCAAACATAGCAAGAACAAAAATAGACAAATGGGACTTGATTAAACAAAAAACCTTCTGCAAAGCAAAAGAACAGAGTAAACAGACAATTTACAGAATGGGAGAAAATATTTGCAAATTATGCATACAACAGAGGACTAATATCCAGAATCTGCAAGGAACTCAAAGAACTCAACAAGAAAAAAGCAAATAATCCCATTAAAAATTGGGCAAAGGACATGAACAGACATTTTTCAAAAGAAAACATACAAGTGGCCAAAGAATATAAGAAAAAGTGTTCAACATCACTAATCATCAGAGAAATGCAACTGAAAACCACAATGAGATACCATCTTACACCAGTCAGAATGGCTATTACTAAAAAGTCAAAACAACAAATGTTGGCAAGGATGTGGAAAAAGGGGAACAATTATACTTTGTTGGTAGGCATGTAAATTAGTACAACCTTTATGGAAAACAGTATGGAGATTTCTTAAAGAACTAAAGATAGAAGTACCATTCGATCCAACAATCCCACCAATGCGTATATATCCAAATGGAAAAAAATGATTATATCAAAAAGATATCTGCATTAATGTCTTTATTGCAGACTATTCACAATAACAAAGATGAAATCAAACTGTGTCCATCAGCAGAAGGTTGGATTAAGAAAATGTATTTTATATATAGCATGGAATACTACTCAGCCATAAGAAAGAATAAAATCATATCTTTCCCAGCAACACTGGTGGAACTTGAAGCCACTATCCTAAGTGAAATAACTCAGAAAGTCAAATACAGCATGTTCTCACTTATAAGTGGGAGCTAAACAAAGGGTACCTATGGATATACAGTGTGGACTATTAGACACTGGAGACTACAGAAGGTGGGAGGGTAGGAGGAGGGTTAGGGTTAGAAAATTACCTGTTGGGTACAATATTCACTATTTGGGTGATGGGTACACTAAAAGTGCAGACTTTACCACTATGCAATATATGCATGTAAGAAATCTGCACTTGTCTCTTCTGGGGAGGTTCCAAGATGGTCGAATAGGAACAGCTCTAGTCTACAGCTCCCAGCGTGAGTGACGCAGAAGACTGGTGATTTCTGCATTTCCAACTGAGGTACTGGGTTCATCTCACTGGAGCCTGTCAGACAGTGGGTGCAGCCCATGGAGCGTGAGCCAAAGAAGGGTGGAGCATCACCTCACCTGGGAAGCACAAGGGGTTGGGGAATTCCCTTTCCTAGCCAAGGGAAGCCGTGACAGATGGTACCTGGAAAATTGGGACACTCCCACCCTAATACTGCGCTTTTCCAATGGTCTTAGCAAAGGGCACACCAGGAGATTATATCCCACACATGGCTTAGAGGGTCCCACGCCCACAGAGCCTTGCTCACTGCTAGCACAGCAGTCTGAGATCGAACTGCAAGGTGGCAGTGAGGCTGGGGGAGGGGCGTCCGCCATTGCTGAGGCTTGAGTAGGTAAACAAAGTGGCTGGGAAGCTCGAATGGGCTGGAGCCAACCACATCTCAAGGAGGCCTTCCTGCCTCTGTAGACTCCACCTCTGGGGGCAGGCCATAGCTGAACATAGCTGCAGAAACTTCTACAGACTTAAACGTCCCTGTCTGACAGATTTGAAGAGAGTAGTGGTTCTCCCAGCATGGAGTTTGAGATCTGAGAATGGACAGACTGCCTCCTCAAGTGGGTCCCTGACCTCCAAGTAGCCTAACTGGGAGGCACCTCCCAGTAGGGGCCGACTGACACCTCATATGGCTGGGTGCCCCTCTGAGATGAAGCTTCCAGAGGAAGGATCAGGCAGCAACATTTGCCATTCTGCAATATTTGCTGTTCTGCAGCCTCTGCTGGTGATACCCAGGCAAACAGAGTCTGGAGTGGACCTCCAGCAAACTTTTAACAAACCCACAGCTGAAGGTCCTGACTGTTAGAAGGAAAACTAACAAACAGAAAGGACATCCACACCAAAACCCCATCTGTACGTCACCATCATCAAAAACCAAAGGTCGATAAAACCACAAAGATGGAGAGAAACCAGAGCAGAAAAGCTGAAAACTCTAAAAATCAGAGCACCTCTTCTCCTCCAAAGGAAAGCAGCTCCTCGCCAGCAATGGAACAAAGCTGGACGGAGAATGACTTTGACGAGTTGAGAGAAGAAGGCTTTGGACGATCGGTAATAACAAACTTCTCTAAGCTAAAGGAGAATGTTCGAACCCACCGCAAAGTAGCCAAAAACCTTGAAAAAAGATTAGATGAATGGCTAACTAGAATAAACAGCATAGAGAAGACCTTAAATGACCTGATGGAGCTGAAAACCACGGCATGAAAACTGTGACAAATGCACAATCTTCAGTAGCTGATTCGATCAAGTGGAAGAAAGGGTATCAGTGATTGAAGATCCAATGAATGAAATGAAGCAAGAAGATAAGTTTAGAGAAAAAAGAGTAAAAAGCCACTAACAAAGCCTCCAAGAAATATGGGACTATGTGAAAAGACCAAATCTACATCTGATTGGTGTACCTGAAAGTGATGGGGAGAATGGAACCAAGTTGGAAAACACTCTTCAGGATATTATCCAGGAGAACTTCCCCAACCTAGCAAGGCAGGCCAACATTCAAATTCAGGAAATACAGAGAACACCGCAAAGATACTCCTCAAGAAGAGCAACTCCAAGACACATAATTGTCAGATTCACCAAAGTAGAAATGAAGGAAAAAATGTTAAGGGCAGCCAGAGAGAAAGGTCGGGTTACCCACAAAGGCAAGCCCATCAAACTAACAGCGGATCTCTCACAGAAACTCTACAAGCCAGAAGAGAGTGGGGGCCAATATTCAACATTCTTAAAGAAAAGAATTTTCAACCCAGAATTTCATATCCAGCCAAACTAAGCTACATACATGAAGGAGAAATAAAATCCTTTACAGACAAGGAAATGCTGAGAGATTTTGTCACCACCAGGCCTGCCTTACAAGAGCTCCTGAAGGCAGCACTAAACATGGAAAGGAACAACTGGTACCAGCCACTGCAAAAACATGCCAAATTGTAAAGACCATTGATGCTAGGAAGAAACTGCATCAACTAACGAGCAAAATAACCAGCTAACATCATAATGACAGGATCAAATTCACACATAACAATATTAACCTTAAATGTAAATGGGCTAAACGCTCCAATTAAAAGACACAGGCTGGCAAATTGCATAAGGAGTCAGTGTGCTGTATTCAAGAAACCCATCTCACGGGCAGAGACACACAGGCTCAAAATAAAGGGATGGAGGAAGATCTATCAAGCAAATGGAAAACGAAAAAAAGCAGGGGTTGCAATCCTAGTCTCTGATAAAACAGACTTCAAACCAACAAAGATCAAAAGAGACAAAGAAGGCCATTACATAATGGTAAAGGGATCAATTCAACAAGAAGAGCTAACTATCCTAAATATATATGCACCCAATACGGGAGCACCCAGAGTCATAAAGCAAGTCCTTAGAGACCTACAAAGAGACTTAGACTCCCACACAATAATAATGGGAGACTTTAACACCTCACTGTCAACATTAGACAGATCAACGAGACAGAAAGTTAACAAGGATATCCAGGAATTGAACTCAGCTCTGCACCAAGCAGACCTAATAGACATCTACAGAGCTCTCCACTCCAAATCAACAGAATATACATTCTTCTCAGCACCACATCGCACTTATTCCAAAATTGACCATATAGTTGGAAGTAAAGCACTCCTTGGCAAATGTAAAAGAACAGAAATTATAACAAACTGTCTCTCAGACCACAGTGCAATCAAACTAGAACTCAGGATTTAGAAACTCACTCAAAACCACTCAACTACATGGAAACTGAACAACCTGCTCCTGAATGACTACTGGGTACATAATGAAATGAAGGCAGAAATAAAGATGTTCTTTGAAACCAATGAGAACAAAGACACAACATACCAGAATCTCTGGGACACATTTAAAGCAGTGTGTAGAGGGAAATTTATAGCATTAAATGCCCACAAGAGAAAGCAGGAAAGATCTAAAATTCATACCCTAACATCACAATTAAAAGAACTAGAGAAGCAAGAGCAAACACATTCAAAAGCTAGCAGAAGGCAAGAAATAACTAAGATCAGAGCAGAACTGAAGGAGATAGAGACACAAAAAACCCTTCAAAAATTAATGAATCCAGGAGCTGGTTTTTTGAAAAGATCAACAAAATTGATAGACCGCTAGCAAGACTAATAAAGAAGAAAAGAGAGAAGAATCAAATAGACGCGATGAAAAATGATAAAGGGGATATCACCACCGATCCCACAGAAATACAAACTACCATCAGAGAATACTATAAACACCTCTAAGGAAATAAACTAGAAAATCTAGAAGAAATGGATAAATTCCTGGACACATATAGCCTCCCAAGACTAAACCAGCAAGAAGTTGAATCCCTGAATAGATTGGTAACAGGCTCTGAAATTGAGGCAATAATTAATAGCCTACCAACCAAAAAAAGTCCAGGACCAGACGGATTCACAGCTGAATTCTAGCAGAGGTACAAAGAGGAGCTGGTACCATTCCTTCTGAAACTATTCCAATCAATAGAAAAAGAGGGAATCCTCCCTGACTCATTTTATGAGGCCAGCATCATCCTGATACCAAAGCCTGGCAGAGACACAACAAAAAAAGAGAATTTTAGACTAATATCCCTGGTGAACATCGATGCAAAAATCCTCAATAAAATACTGGCAAACCGAATCCAGCAACACATCAAAAAGCTTATCCACCATGATCAAGTTGGCTTCATCCCTAGGATGCAAGGCTGGTTGGACATATGCAAATTAATAAACATAATCCAGCATATAAACAGAACCAAAGACAAAAACCACATGATTATCTCAATAGATGCAGCAAAGGCCTTTGACAAAATTCAACAGCCCTTCATGCTAAAAACTCTCAATAAACTAGGTATTGATGGGACATGTCTCAAAATAATAAGAGCTATTTTTGACAGACCCACAGCCAATATCATACTGAATGGGCAAAAACTGGAAGCATGCCCTTTGAAAACTGGCACGAGACAGGGATGCCCTCTCTCACCACTCCTATTCAACACAGTGTTGGAAGTTCTGGCCAGGGCAATCAGGCAGGAGAAAAATAAAGGGTATTCAATTAGGAAAAGAGGAAGTCAAATTGTCCCTGTTTGCGGATGACATGATTGTATATTTAGAAAACCCCATCGTCTCATCCCAAAACCTCCTTAAGCTGATAAGCAACTTCAGCAAAGTGTCAGGATACAAAATCAATGTGCAAAAATCACAAGCATTCTTATACACCAATAACAGACAAGCAGAGAGCCAAATCATGAGTGAACTACCATACACAATTGCTTCAAAGAGAATAAAATACCTAGGAATCCAACTTACAAGGGATGTGAAGGACCTCTTCAAGGAGAACTACAAACCACTGCTCAATGAAATAAAAGAGGACACAAACAAATGGAAGAACATTCCATGCTCATGGATAGGAAGAATCAATATTGCTAAAATGGCCATACTGCCCAAGGTAATTTATAGATTCAATGCCATCCCCATCAAGCTACCAACGACTTTCTTCACAGAATTGGAAAAAACTACTTTAAAGTTCATATGGAACCAAAAAAGAGCCCACATTGCCAAGTCAATCCTAAGCCAAAAGAACAAAGCTGGAGGCATCATGCTACCTGACTTCAAACTATACTACAAGGCTACAGTAACCAAAACAGCATGGTACTGGTACCAAAACAGAGATATAGACTAATGGAACAGAACAGAGCCCTCAGAAATAATACCACACATCTACAACCATCTGATCTTTGACAAACCTGACAAAAACAAGAAATGGGGAAAGGATTCCCTATTTAATAAATGGTGCTGGGAAAACTGGCTAGCCATATGGAGAAAGCTGAAACTGGATCCCTTCCTTACAACTTATACAAAAATTAATTCAATATGGATTAAAGACTTAAATGTTAGATCTAAAACCATAAAAACCCTAGAAGAAAACCTAGGCATACCATTCAGGACATAGGCATGGGCAAGGACTTCATGACTAAAACACCAAAAGTAATGGCAACAAAAGCCAAAATAGACAAATGGGATCTAATTAAACTAAAGAGCTTCTGCACAGCAAAAGAAACTACCATCAGAGTGAACAGGCAGCCTACAGAATGGGAGAAAATTGTTACAATCTACCCATCTGACAAAGGGCTAATATCCAGAATCAACAAAGAATTTAAACAAATTTACAAGAAAAAAATCAAACAACCCCATCAAAAAGTGGGCGAAGGATATGAACAGACACTTCTCAAAAGAAGACATTTATGCAGCCAACAGACACATGAAAAAATGCTCATCACTACTGGCCATCAGAGAAATGCAAATCAAAACCACAATGAGATATCATCTCACACCAGTTAGAATGGTGATCATTAAAAAGTCAGGAAACAATAGATGCTGGAGAGGATGTGGAGAAATAGGAACACTTTTACACTGTTGGTGGGACTGTAAACTAGTTCAACCATTGTGGAAGATAGTGTGGCGATTCCTCAAGGATCTAGAACTAGAAATACCATCTGACCCAGCCATCCCATTACTGGGTATATACCCAAAGGATTATAAATCATGCTGCTATAAAGACACATGCACACATATGTTTATTGCAGCACTACTCACAATAGCAAAGATTTGGAACCAACCCAAATGTCCACCAATGATAGACTGGATTAAGAAAATGTGGCTCATATACACCATGGAATACTATGCAGCCATAAAAAATGATGAATTCATGTCCTTTGTAGGGACATGGATGAAGCTGGAAACTATCATTCTGAGCAAACTATCACAAGGACAGAAAACCAAACACCACATGTTCTCACTCATAGGTGGGACTTGAACAATGAGAACACTTGGACACAGGATGGGGAACATCACACACCGGGGCCTGTCATGAGGTGGCGGGAGCGGGGAGGGATAGCATTAAGAGATATACCTAATGTAAATGACAAGTTAATGGGTGCAGCACACCAACATGGCACATGTATACATATGTAACAAACCTACACGTTGTGCACATGTACCCTAGAACTTAAAGTATAATAAAAAAAAGAAGAAATCTGCACTTGTATCCCGTAAATATATAAACATTAAAACAAAATTTTAAGAGTAAAAAATAAAACCACAATGAGATAGTACATATCCTCTAGAATGGATATAATCAAAAGACGTACAATAATTTGCTTAGAATGTGGTACCATGTGCTACCATGTCATGAAGACACTTAAGCATCTCTCTGGAGATGCCCACATGGGGAGAAACTGAGGCCTCCTGCCAATAGCCATAATCAACTTGCCAGCTGTGTGAGTGAGCCACTGTGGAAGTGCATTCTCTATCCCCAGTCAATCTTTCAGGTATCTGTAGCCTTAGCCAATTATATCAAATGCCACATCCAAGGAAACTTATAATTAATATTTATTGTTTTAAGCTACTAAGTTTTGTGGTAATTTGTTATGCGGTGATGGATAACTAATATAAAACAATATAGGATTAGAAAATAATAATGTCTACATTGGCTGGCACATAGTGAGCCGCTCATAAATGCTGGCTGTCAGTTACCATTGTTGTATAACACATGCATGTCTTTTTTCACCAGAGATTTCAAGTTTCTTGAAAAGCAGGACTATAGCTTCCTAGCTTTTTTGTTTTTTTCTTTTTTTGTACTCTTTGCCCCTCCTTATCCTTCTCAGTCCCTTAACATACTGCTGGGTACACACATAACTGAAGCCTGATAAGTAAGTCATGAAGTAAGTGAATTAAATCCAAAGGATAAGTGATTTAACTTTGTCGCTATGAGAATAACTTTCCATTTCCTAAAATATGGGATTATCTCTTTTGATGCAGTTGATGTAAATGCCTAGGCTGTGTGTGTGTGTGTGTGTGTGTGTGTGTGTGTGTGTACCCATGGTGCTGGCCCAGTCCTTGGAATAAGATCAGTGCCAAGAAGGTAGCCTGGGGCGGAGTAGGGGGATGGGGGGGCAGGGAGTCAATGAGATTTCATGAAGCAATGAGGTTGAGTAAGAGTTATTACCTAGTGGATCAAGCTTGGTCCTCTCCAGGGAATTTTTTTTTAGGTTGAGTTTAAAATTGGGCATTCCTTGAAATTGAGAAAATGGGATTTATTTTATTTTTTAAAAAATTTTCCATAGGTTATTGGGGTACAGGTGGTATTTGGTTACATATGTTCTTTTGTGGTGATCTGTGAGATTTTGGTGCACCCATCACCCATGCAATATACACTGCACCCTATTTGTAGTCTTTTATCCCTCGCCCCCCTCCCACCCTCATCCCCAAGTCCCCAAAATCTATTGTATCATTCTTATGGCTTTGCATCCTCACAGCTTAGCTCCCACATATCGGTGAGAAGATACAATGTTTGGTTTTCCATTCCTGAGTTACCCTCACTTAGAATAATGGTCTCCAATCTCATCCAGGTGGATGCAAATGCCATTGGTTCACTCCTTTTTATGGCTGAGTAGTATTCCCTCATATATATATTATTGAGAAATATATATATATTTATATATGTTGAGAAATATATATATATCACAGTTTCTTTATCCACTCATTGATTGATGGGCATTTGGGTTGGTTCTACGATTTTGCATTTGCAAATTGTGCTGTTATAAACATGTGTGTGCAAGTATCTTTTTCATACAATGACTTATTTTCCTCTGAGTAGATACCCAATAGTGGGATTGCTGGATCAAGGGGTAGTTCTACTTTTAGTTCTTTAAGGAATCTCCACACTGTTTTCCATAGTGGCTGTACTAGTTTACGTTCCCATCAAGCAGTGTAGAAGTGTTCCCTGATCACTGCATCCATGCCAACATCTACTGTTTTTTAATTTTTTGATTATGGCCATTCATGCAGGAGTAAGGTGGTATCACATTGTGGTTTTGATTTGCATTTCCCTGATCATTAGTGATGTTGAGCATTTTTTCATATGTTTGTTGGCCATTTGTATATCTTCTTCTGAGAATTGTCTATTCATGTCCTTAGCCCACTTTTTGATAAGATTGTTTTTTTCTTAGTGATTTGTTTGAGTTCATTGTAGATTCTGGATATTAGTCCTTTGTCAGATGTATAGATTGTGAATATTTTCTCCCACTCTGTGGGTTGCTGTTTACTCTGCTGAATGTTCCTTTTGCTGTGCAAAAGCTCTTCAGTTTAATTAAGTCTCAGGTAATTATCTTTGTTTTTCTTGTATTTGCTTTACTGTTCTTTGTCATGAAATCCTTGCCTAAGCCAATGTCTAGAAGGGTTTGTCCAATGTTATCTTCTATAATTTTATAGTTTCAGGTCTTAGATTAAATTCTTAATCCATGTTGAGTTGATTTTTGTATAAGGTGAGAGATGAGGATCCAGTTTCATTCTCCTACATGTGGCTAGCCAATTATTACCATTTGTGGAAAAGGGTATCATTTCCCCCACTTTATGTTTTTGTTTGCTTTATCGAAGATCAGTTGGCTGTTAAGTATTTGGGATTATTTCTGGGTTCTCTATTCTTTTCCATTGCTCTGTATGCCATTCTGTACCAGTACTGTGCTATTTTGGTGACTATGGCCTTTTAATATAGTTTGAAATCAGGTAGTGTGATGCCTCCAGATTTGTTCTTTATGCTTAGTCTTGCTTTGGCTATGCGGGCTCTTTTTGGTTCCATATGAATTTTAGAATTGCTTTTTCTAATTCTGCGAAGAATGATGACGGTATTTTGATGGGGATTGCATTGAATTTGTGGATTGCTTTTGGCAGTATGGTCATTTTCACAATATTGATTCTACCCATCCATGAGCATGGGATGTGTTTCCATTTGTTTGTGTCATCTATGATTTATTTCAGCAGTGTTTTGTAGTTTTCCTTGTAGAGGTCTTTCGCCTCCTTAGTTAGGTGTATTCCTAAGTTTTTTTGTTTGTTTGTTTTTGTTTTTGCAGCAACTGTAAAAAGAGTTGAGTTCCTGATTTGATTCTCCACTTGGTCGCTGTTGGTGTATAGGAGAGCTACTGATTTGTGTACATTAATCTTGTATCCAGAAACTTTGCTGAATTCTTTTATCGGTTCTAGGAGCTTTCTGGAGGAGTCTTTAGGGTTTTCAAGGTAAACGATCATATTGTCAGCAAACAGTGACAGTTTGATTTCCTCTTTACCTATTTGAATGTCCTTTCTTTCTCTTGTCTGATTGCTCTGGCTGGGACTTCCATTACTATGTTGAAGAGGAGTGGTGAGAGTGGGCAACCTTGTCTTGCTCCAGTTCTCAGAGGGAATGCTTTCAACTTTTCCCCATTCAGTATAATGTTGGCTGTGGGTTTGTCATAGATGGCTTTTATTACATTGAGGTATGTCCCATGTATGCTGATTTTGCTGAGAGTTTTAATCATAAAGGGAGGCTGGATTTTGTCAAATGCCTTTTCTGCATCTATTGAGATGATCATGTGGTTTGTTTTTAATTCTGTTTATGTGGTATATCACATTTATTGACTTGTGTATGTTAAACCATCTCTGCATCCCTGGTATGAAACCCACTTGCTCGTGGTGTATTATCTTTTTGATATGTTGTTGGATTCAATTAGCTAGTATTTTGTTAATGATTTTAGCATCTATGTTCATCAGGGATATTGGGCTGTTGTTTTCTTTTTTGGTTACATCCTTTCCTGGTTTTAGTATTAGGGTGATGCTGGCTTCATAGAATGAATTAGGGAGGGTTCTCTCTTTCTCTATCTTGTGGAATAGCGTCAAAAGGATTGGTACCAATTCTTCTCTGAATGCCTGATAGAATTCTGCTGTGAATCCCTCTGGTCCTAGACTTTTTTGTTGTCGGTAATTTTTAAATTACCGTTTCAATCTCACTGCTTGTAACTGATCTGTTCAGGGTACCTAATTATTCCTGACTTAAGCTAGGGGTTATATTTTTCCAGGTATTTATCCATCTTTTCTACATTTTCTAGTTTATGTGCATAAAGGTGTTCATAGTAGCCTTGAATGATCTTTTGTATTTCAGCAGTGTCAGTATTGGATATTTCCTTTCTTCTGCTGGGTTTGCATTTGGTTTGTTCTTGTTTCTCCAGTTCCTTGAGATGTGACCTTAGAATGTCAGTTTGTGCTGTTTCAGCCTTTTTGATGTAGGCATTTAGGGCTATGAACTTTCCTCTTAGCACCACCTTTGCTGTATCCCAGACGTTTCGATAGGTTGTGTCATTGTTGTCATTGAGTTTGAAGAATTTTTAAATTTCCATTCGTTTTTGACCCAATGCTCATTCGGGAGCAGGTTATTTAATTTCCATATATTTGCATGGTTTTGAAGGTTCCTTTTGGAGTTGATTTCCAGTTTTATTCCACTGTAATCTGAGAGAGTGATTGATATAATTTCAATTTTCTTAAATTTATTGAGGCTTGTTTTATGGCCTATCATATGGTCTATCTTACAGAAAGTTCCATGTGCTGTTGAATAGAATGTGTATTCTGAGGTTGCTGGATGAAATGTTCTGTATATATCTGTTAAGTCCATTTGTTCCAAGGTATAGTTTAAATCCATTGTTTCTTTGTTGACTTTCTGTCTCTTGATGACCTGTCTAGTGCCGTCAGTGGAGTATTGAAGTTCCCACTATTATTGTGCTGGTGTCTATCTCATTTATTAGGTCTATTAGTAATCGCTTTATAAATTTGGGAGCTCTGGTGTCAGGTGCATATATGTTTACGATTGTGATATTTTCCTGTTGGACAAGGCCTTTTACCATTATACAGTCTCCCTCTTTGTCTCTTTTAACCACTGTTGCTTTAAAGTTTGTTTTGTCTGATATAAGAATAGCTGCCCCTACTTGTTTTTGGTGTTCATTCGCATGAAATGCCTTTTTCCACCCCTTTACTTTAAGTTTATGTGAGTCCTTATGTGTTAGGTGAGTCTCCTGAAGGCAGCAGATAGTTGGTTGGTGAGCTCTTTTTTTTTTTGAGATGGAATCATGCTCTGTTGCCTAGGCTGGAGTGTAGTGGCATGATCTCTGCTCACTGCAACCTCCACCTCCCAGGTTCAGGTGATTCTCCTGCCTCAGCCTCCCAAGTAGCTGGAACTACAGGTGTGTGCTACCACACCAGGCTAATTTTTGTATTTAGTAGAGACAGGGTTTCACCACGTTAGCCAGGATGGTCTCAATCTCCTGACCTCGTGATCCACCCGCCTCGGCCTCCTAAAGTGCTGGGATTACAGGTGTGAGCCATCGTGCCCAGCAGTTGGTGAGTTCTTATCCATTCGGCAGCTCTGTATCTTTTAAGTGGAGCATTTAGGCCATTTACATTCAATGTTAGTATTGAGATGTGAGGTAACGTTGCATTCATTGTGCTATTTGTGGTCTGTGTACCTTGGTTTTTTTGTTTTTGGCTTTGCCTTTTAACTAATATTTTTGTTTCATAGGTCCTGTGTGATTTATGCTTTAAAGAGATTTTGTTTTGATGTGTTTCCAGGATTTGTTTCAAGATTTAGAACTCTGTTTAGCAGTTCTTGTAATGGTGACTTCGTAGTGGCTAATTCTCTCAGCATTTATTTGTCTGAAAAAGGCTGTATCTTTCCTTCATATATGATGCTTAGTCTTGCTGGATACAAAATTTTTTGGCTGATAATTGTTTTGTTTGAGGAGGCTGATGATAGGGCCCCAAACCCTTCTAGCATGTAGGGTTTCTGTTGAGAAATCTGCTGTTAATCTGATGGGTTTTCCTTTATAGGTTACCTGGTGCTTTTGTCTCACAGCTCTTAAGATTCTTTCCTTCATCTTAACTTTAGATGACCTGATGACAATGTTGCCTAGGCAAGGATCCTTTTGTGATGAATCTCCCAGGTTTTCTTTGTGCTTCTTGTATTTGGATGTCTAGGTCTCTACCAAAGCCAGGAAAGTTTTCATCAATCATTTCCCCAAATATGTTTTCCAAACTTTTAGATTTCTCATCTTCCTCAGCAACACTGATTGTTCTTAGTTTGGTCATTTAATAGAATCCCAGACTTCTTGGAGGTTTTGTTCATATTTTCTTAATCTTTTTTCTTTGTCTTTGTTTGATTGGGTTAATTCAAAGACCTTGTCTTTGAGTTCTGAATTTCTTTCTTCTACTTGTTCAATTCTATTGCTGAGACTTTCCAGAACATTTTACATTTCTATAAGTGTGTTCGATATTTCCTGAAATTTCTATTGCTTTTTTTTATGCTATTTCCTCGAATATTTCTCCCTTTACTTCTTGTATCATTTTTTGGATTTCCTTGCACTGGGCTTCACCTTTCTCTGGTGCCTCCCTAATTAGCTTAATAACTAACCTCCTGAATTCTTTTTCAGGTAAATCAGGGATTTCTTCTTGGTTTGGATCCATTGCTGGTGAGCTAGTGTGATTTTTTGAGGGTGTAAAAGAGCCTTGTTTTGTCATATTACCAGACTTGGTTTTCTGGTTCCTTCCATTTGGGTAGGCTCTGCCAGAGGGAAGGTCTAGGGCTGAAGGCTGTTGTTCAAATTCTTTTGTCACACAGGGCATTCCCTTGATGTAGTACTCTCCCCCTTTCCTATGGATCTGGCTTTCTGTGAGCCAAGCTGCAATGATTGTTATCTCTTTTCTGGGTCTAGCTGCCCAGCAAGTCTACCCAGCCCCAGGCTGGTACTGGGAGTTATCACAGAGTCCTGTGATGTGAACTGTCTATTGGTCTCTCAGCCATGGATACCAGCACCTGTTCCAGTGCAGGTGGCAGGGGGGTGAAATGGACTCTGTGAGGATTCTTAGCTTTGGTGGTTTAGTGCTTTATTTTTGGGCTGGTTTGCCTCCTGCTGGGAGGTGGTGCTTTCCAGAGAGCATCAGCTGTGGTAGTATGGAGAAGAATCTGCGGCGAGTGGTGCCCTAGAACTCCCAAGTTTATGCCCTTTGTCTTCAGCTACTAGGGTGGATAGGGAAGGCTCATAGGTCTGCCTAGGCTTTTTTTTTTTTTTCTTAAGACAGAGTCTCCCTCTGTCGCCCAGGCTGGAGTGCAATGGCATGCGATCTCAGTTCATTCTCCTGCCTCAGCTTCCCAAGTAGCTGTGATTACAGGCATGCACCAGCACACCCAGCTAATTTTTTGTATTTGTAGTAGACATGGGGTTTTGCCATGTTGGCCAGGCTGGTCTCGAACTCCTGACCTCAGGTGATCCACCTGCCTCAGCCTCCCAAAGTGCTGGGATTACAAATGTGAGCCACCGCGCCTGGCCTGCCTAGGCTTTTATATGCTAGTTTGTAATGAGTAAGTTGTGAAGGCAAGAAAGGCTAAGTAATACAGAGAAAAGTGCTGGTTGATTAAAAGAAGGCAATGAAGAAATCAGCATTGGATAAGGCAGAAGACCAGGTATGAGTGTTGGGAATGTGCCTGTAATAAAAATGTAGTAAGAAATTGGAATAGGACCTGGAGAACAGCCAGGAAAATCACGCACACAGATAACTTGGGGATTCAAGGCTTATGGGGTTGAGGCCAACTTTTTTTTTTTAAATGAAAATGTTGTGTCCATGTTTGCTGCCTTCATAACTGGCTAGTTACTTTGATAATGCATCCCATATGTATAAAGTATACAATACCACAGAGCACTAAAAATACATCACATCTACTTCCATAAACAACTCAAAATTTATCCTGTGCTGATAGCTTATCGTTTTTGTATGTCAAAGATGATAGACCCTTATGTTATTTGATAACATTCAAGGAAAGCTTTGTAATTCTAGCTGTTTCACTTAAGAATTTGGTCTACTATTTATGATACAAAGTCAATGCAACAACTAAGGTCACATATGACCTAGTCCCAAAGTAAGGATGTTATTGTAGGAAGAAAAGGAAGCTAATTTGTGAGATACCCAAAATTTGGTGCTGTAGTTTAGCAACAAGTTGATTGTCTAAACAAGCAAAAGTTCCTTGCTCACAGTTGACCTGAAAAAAAGAAGTAGAAAGAATAAAAGCAAAGGACAGTAACTATGATAATTTTGGTTTCTTGCTTGGGAGTTAGGTGATGTGATGCCATTGATTTCTATGATGGTGGATGGACAGATATAAAGGAAAAAATAAGTAATCATTATAATAATAGTAATAATCCACATTTGTTGAGGTCTAACTATAGTATATAGTATGCCTGGTACTAAACTAAACTAAGCATTTAGCATTCTTTTTGTAATTTAATCCTTAAACAATCCAGTGAAGTACAGTTGTCCCTCAGTATCCATGGGGGACTGGTTCTAGGACACACACCCACCCCCTGCCAGCCTCCACAGATACCAAAATCTGCAGATGCTCAAGTCACTAATGTAAAGTGGCATAGTATTTGCAAATAACCTACACACATCCTCTCAGCTACTTTAAATAATCTTTAGATTACTTATAATACCTAATACAATGTAAATGTTATGTAGTCATTATACTTTATTGCTTAAAAAATAACATACTGGGCCAGGCGCGGTGGCTCACGCCTGTAATCCCAGCACTTTGGGAGGCCGAGGCGGGTGGATCATGAGGTCAGGAGATCGAGACCATCCTGGCTAACAAGGTGAAACCCCGTCTCTACTAAAAATACAAAAAATTAGCCGGGCGCGGTGGCGGGCGCCTGTAGTCCCAGCTACTGGGGAGGCTGAGGCAGGAGAATGGCGTGAACCCGGGAGGCGGAGCTTGCAGTGAGCCGAGATTGCGCCACTGCAGTCCGCAGTCCGGCCTGGGCGACAGAGCGAGACTCCGTCTCAAAAAAAAAAAAAAAATAAAAAAAAAAAATAACATACTGAGCGTGTTCAGTACAGATGCATTTTTTCCCATTATTTTCTCTCCCAGTTGGTTGAATCCACGAATGCAGAACCCATGGATACAGAGGGCATTCTATGCGGCCTATTAGAGTATTATTACTGCTTTACAGATGAGGAAAGTGAAGCTTAGGTCAAGTAAGGGAACTTCAGCTACCCTGGGCTATCCTTCCCATTCTCATTTTCTGGTGAGGAGTCATGACCAAAGCAAAGATGGGATGAGTCAAGAGATGAGGCTTTCTGTTTATACTTTTTAAAAATCATTTTTACTAACTCTGTTTTGTTAGTTTATTACCTTGATCTGGAGAAGCAGCAGACTGTGTATTTAAGAGTTTACACTCTGAAGTCAGGCAGATCAGAGCAAGGATTTCTGAGAAAGAAAAATAAATAAAAATTTAAAATAAGATATAATATAAAATTAAATAAAATAGACGAAGTCAGGAGACCAGTGTTTGAAAGCTGGTTTCACCACTAACCAGCTGTGTTACCTTGAGGAAGCTATGTTTCTTACAGCTCATTTCCTTATCTATAAAATATGAATAATAGCCCAGCTTCTAGGGTTGCTGCCCTCAATCTTTTTTCACAGAAACCAGTGACCTTTTCAAAATGCAAAATTGACCATGTTGCCCAACTTCAACTTAGAATTCCACAATGGAATCCCATTGTTCTTAAAATATAAACCAATCCCTTGAAACATGACTTTCAAAGCCTCTCAAGGACTGCTCCTTACTTACTTCCTAGGACTCAGACATGCTTCATCTGGCCTCACAAACACTGTTCTTGTCCTGTGACCACAGGACTCCTGCTATTATGTTTTCTTTGTCCAGAAAATTACTCCTTCCCTTACTCCTTCCACTACCTCCCTTACTCCTTCCACTATCCCTCCATCTGATGTAACCTAATTAACTCTTCTTATCTTTAAAATATTACTTCAAATGTCATTTCCCTTGTGCGACATAACCCCCTAGGCTAAGTTAGGTCCCCTTAACATATGATTTTAGTATATCATGTGCCTTTCCTTCATCTCACACATCCCAGTTGTAATTTTACATTCATGAATCTTTGGTTAATGCCTGTCTTCCCCAGAAGACTTTAAGCTCCACCAGAGAAGAGACCATGCGTGGATTTATGCATCTTTTATCCCTAGGACTTCGTTTAAGGCCTGGCACATATTGAGAGAATAAATGAATTGGCTAGCACTATTAAGCTTTGCTGCCCCCTGCTGAGTCATGGCTTTTAGCCTATTAAACTAGCACCAATTGGATGTTCAGAACTAGTGTGGTGATATCATAGCAATATTTTTCAAAATGTGGTCCAGGGACCACCTGTGTCAGAATGACCTGCTTATAAAATGCAGATTCTCATGCCTCACTCTGAAGATGATTTTTAGGCCTATGTTAGGGTCAAAAAGTTTGCATGGGCCAGGCATGGTGGCTCATGCCTGTAATCCCAGCACTTTGGGAGGCTTAGGTGGGTGGATCACTTGAGGTCAGGAGTTCGAGACCAGCCTCGCCAACGTGGTGAAACCCCGCGTCTACCAAAAATATTTTTAAAAAATTTGCCGGGGGTGGTGGTGCGCATCGTTAATCCCAGCTACTCAGGAGGCAGAGGCAGGAGAATTGCTTGAACCCAGGAGGCAGAGTTTGAGTGAGCTGAGATCTGTACCACCGCACTCCAGCCAGGGGTATAGAATGGGACTCCGTCTCAAAGAGAAAAGAAAAAGTTTGCATCCAAGCTCCCCTGGATGATTTGAGAGCCACTGGTATGAAAGGAAGGAAAGAAAGGAAAGAAGTGGAAGAAACTGCTTTACAGTCTCACTACCCTTTTTTTCCCTCTTCTTTTTTGAGATGGGGGTTTCCCTATGGTGCCCAGGCTGGTCTTGAACTCCTAGGCTCAAGCGATCCACCCACCTTGGCCTCCCAAAGGGTTGGGATTACAGGCGTGAGCCACTGTGCCGGGCCAAATTAACCATTTTAAAGTGGACTATTCAGTGGCATTTAGTACATTCACAATGTTGTACAACCACTACATCTACCTAGTTCTGACTCATTTCATCACCCTGATAGGAAACCCCATCCCCATTAAGCAGTTACTCTCATTCTCCCCTGCCTGCTGCATCTGGTAACCACCAATCTGTGTTCTGTCTCTATAGAGCTATCTATTCTGGATATTTCATATAAGTGGAATAATATGTGACCTTTTGCATTTGGCTTCTTTCAAGATTCATTCACATTATAGCATGTATCAGTTCTTTGTTTCTTTCTATGGTTGAATTATATTCATTGCATGTATACACAATCTATTTATCCATTATTTGTCTGATGGACATTTGGACTGTTTCCACCTTTTGCCTAGTGTGAAAAGTGCTGCTGTGAACATGCACGTACTTGCTTGAGTACCTGTGTTCCATTCTTTTGGAAATTGTCTTAGTCTTGTGTTGCTATAAAGGAATACCTGAGGTTGGGTAATTTATAAAGAAAAGAGGTTTTTTGGCTCATAGTTGTGCAGGTTATACAAGAAGCAGGGAACCAGCATCTCCCCAGCTTCTGAGGAGGGCCTCAGGCTGCTTCTGCAGAGATAATATGACAAGAGATGAGGCAAGGGGCATGGGGCAGGAGGTGCCAGGCTCTTTTTAACAACCAACTCTCACTGAAACTAATAGAATGAGAATTCACTCACCTGTCCCCCACAGAGGGCATTAATCTATTCATGAGGGATCTATTCCCATGACTCAAATACCTCCCAGTAGGCCCACCTGGAACACTGGAGATCAAATTTCATCATGAGATTTGGAGGGGACAGACATCCAAATTATAGCAGTCATATACCTAGGAGTGGAATTGCTGGGTCATATAGTAATTCTATGTTTAACTTTTTGAGGAACTGCCAAACTGTTTTCCATAGTGGCTGAATGATTTTACATTCTCACCAGCAATGTATGAGGGTTCCAATTTCCTCAGTGGTTGTTATTTTCTTGCTAATGGTTGTTATTTTCAACAATGATTGTGGTGGGTTTTTTTGTTTTGTTTTTGAGTCAGAATTTTGCTCTTTTTGCCCAGGCTAGAGTGCAATGGCGTGATCTCAGCTCACTGCAACCTCTGCCTCCCGGGTTCAAACGATTCTTCTGCCTCAGCCTCCTGAGTAGCTGGGATTATAGGCATGTGCCACCACACCCGGCTAATTAATTTTTAGTAGGGACAGGGTTTCTCCATGTTGGCCAGGCTGGTCTTGAACTCCTGACCTCAGGTGATCCACCCACCTTAGCCTCCCAAAGTGCTGGGATTGTAGGCGTGAGCCACTGCAACCGCCCAATGATTGTGTTTTTTCTTATAGCCATCTGCATAGGTATGAAGTGGCATAGCCAATAATCTTTTGACAAAGGAAAATGAAAACGTTTTTACTGCAAGCCTGAATAAACATTCAAGAAAATATAAAAGACAAATTTGTTTTTGACATATTTTCCTTTTACTTGATGGCATAATGTTGATCTGTGAAAACATGTAAACATGTACTTTCCCCATACTTCTCCTAGAAGTAATGCAAAATATAAAATTGAAACTCAAGTCGAGACATGAGTAAATGAGGAGTATTACTCAGCTTTTTCTTGTTTCTGACCAGAGAGGGATCATTGCCCTTTATTACTTCCCAGCATAAAAATAAAAATTGTAAGTCTTACATATCATAGTCCCAAGAGAGATAGGCCACAAACCTTGCCATAAATGTGCCACTTAAATGAAATAAGGCTCTCTCACCTTTAATATTTAATTATGCTCTCTTTACTTTGCTCTCAGGAGAATCTCCCTCCAGAAGCAATGTATTCTTTGATAATAGTCAGAGATTGGTATCGGTGATGTAAATAAAAAACTCACTGCTCTGTTCTCACTTATTTGTGGGATCAAAAATCAAAACAATTGAACTCATGGACATAGAGAGTAGAAGGATGGTTACCAGAGGCTGGGAAGGGTGGCGGGAACTTGCGGGAGGTGGGTAAGAATTGTTAATAGGTCCAAAAAAGAATTGAAAGAATGAATAAGACCTACTGTTTGATAGCAAAATAGGGTGACTATAGTTAATAATAACTTAATTGTACATTTTAAAATAACTTAAAAGTGGGCAGGGTACGGTAGCTCATGCCTGTAATCCCATCACTTTGGGAGGCTGAAGTGGGAGATCACTTGAGCTCAGGAGTTTGAGACTAGTCTGGGCAACATAATGAGACCTTGTCTCTACTAAAATTCAAAAAAATTAGCCGGATGTATTAGTGCTTAACTATAGTCCCAGCTACTTGGGGGACAGAAGCAGGAGGATCGCTTGAGCCAGGGGGGTTGAAGCTGCAGTGAGCCATGATCACGCTACTGCACTCTAGCCTGGGTGACGGAGCAGTATCTTGTCTCAAAAAAAAAAAAAACAAGATGAATAAATAAACAAATACATAAATAAAGAGTGTAATTGGATTGTTTATAGCTCAAAGGATAAATGCTTGAGGGGATGGATACCCCATTCTCCATGATGTGATTATTTCACATTGCAGGCCTATATTAAAACATCTCAGATACCCTATAAATATACACCTACTATGTATCCAAAAAAAGACTTTTTTTTTATTTTTATTTTGAGATTGTCTCGGTCTGTCGCCTAGGCTGGAGTGCGGTGGCATGATCTTGGCTCACTGCAACCTCTGCCTCCCTGGTTCAAGCCATTCTCATGCCTCAGCCTCCCAAGTAGCTGGGATTACAGGCATGCACCACCATGCCCGGCTAATTTTTGCATTTTTAGTACAGACAGTGTTTCACTATGTTGGCCAGGCTGGTCTCGAACTCCTGGCCTTAAGTGATCTGCCTGCTGTGGCCTCCCAAAGTGCTGGGAGGTGTGAGCCACCATATCTGGCCATAAAATTAATTATTTTTTTAAAAAAATACAAAGGGCAGGGTTAAAGAATGAAAGTGACTCATCAGACAGACAAAAGTGGAATAAGGAATCTGGGGAAGAAGGACTAACGGTGGGACTGAAAACTGCCCTCTACTTATATTTTCCTCAATAAATGAGAATTACAAATTAAAAAAAAAAAAACACTGCTCCACTGTACCATATTTATGTACACAGAATATCCCACATGGGCTGAAATTTCCATTCTTAAAGCCATGTTTTGCCCTTAACAGGAATATATGTAAGTCAGGGAAAGACATGAAGTCTACTGTTATATCTTGATTGAAGGCTTTGCCAGCACAAGGATTGTTTGACAACCTGGGTGTTTTTATGCACCCAGCGAATAAATGATAATAAGATGAGAAGTGAGTCAGGTCACACTTTTCTTTTGTAAGATAAAAGGACAGATTGAGAAAGGGGAGAAAGGAAAGAAGAATTGTTTCAACGGCTTTTTCAGGAAGAGGAATTTTAGGAAAGAATTAATCCAGATGAGGAGTAGCAAATTAATTCCCTTGAAACAATGTTTCCTAAATAACCCTTGGAAAGTCTTCCTGTACACAGTCTCCAGTTTGAAAACTAATGAGATAAATAATGATATCTCCTGATCCTTTCAGTCCTCACTGCTTACCCCATCTCTGAATTCCTGTAGCTCTTATGTTCTGTTTCTTCACCATTTAGGAATCAGTTTCTTTTTAAGTGGCTGTAAGGTTAGCAGTCTTATTTTCATGTGTGGCTGCTGGAATCAATCTCATTTTATACTACACTCATATCACATGCCCAGGTATGATGGCAGTTCAGAGAAGGGGGTAGTGTAAGCCGGACGCAGCAGTAGGACCTGTTTTGAACCTTCAATAATGAGAAATTTGATAAGAACAAAGGGGGAAATGCATTCTAAGGAAGAGCAGCTTCTCTAGGATATAAATTCACCTGCTGTAACAAAGATTCCCATTAACAGCAATTGCTTAACAAGCTTTCTCATGTCTGAGCACAAGTGGTCTGAGGTGATAGGATGCCTCATGGTGTTAAGGACACAGGTTTCTTCTAACTTTTGCTCTGCCACCAGCTAAAGTACAGGCCTTGTCCTCATGGCCAAAAATAATTATCTTCTGGGTCTGTGTTCTGACGAGAAGGGAGAAAATGAGCAAGAGGAGAACATATCCTTTTCTTTTAAAGGTACAACCCAGGTGTTTCAAACATCACTTTCCCTCACATCCCACTAACTAGAACTTAGTCACACCTCCAATGTTGATTGCCAGGGAAGCTGGGGAAAAATATATGGGCTTTAGCTGGGAAGCCACATGCCCAAATTGAAACTTGAGGTTTCTATTACTAAAGAAAAAAAATGAGTGGTCTCATAGAGAGATGTAGAAAATTACAAGACAGACGGGAGAATGTGAAAAAACAATTGTACTGGGAATGAGAGGTGAAGCCAGCTGGGCTTCTGGGTCAGGTGGGGACTTGGAGAACTTTTCTGTCTAGCTAGAGGATTGTAAACACAACAATCTGCGCTCTGTGTCTAGCTAAAGGATTGTAAACACACCAATCAGCACTCTGTAAAATGGACCAATCAATGCTCTGTAAAATGGACCAATCAGCAGGATGTGGGGGAACAGGGCCAAATAAGGGAATAAAAGCTGGCCACCCTAGCCAGCAGCAGCAACCTGCTCAGGTCCCCTTCCATGCTGTGGAAGCTTTGTTCTTTCACTCTTCAGAATAAATCTTGCTGGTGCTCACTCTTTGGGTCGGCAATATCTTTATGAGCTATAACACCCACTGCAAAGGTCTGCGGCTTCAATCATGAAGTCAGCGAGACCACGAACCCACTGGAAGGAAGAAACTCTGGATACATCTGAACATCTGAAGGAACAAACTCCAGACACGCCATCTTTAAGAACTGTAACACTCACCGCGAGTGTCCGCGGCTTCATTCTTGAAGTCAGCAAGACCAAGAATCCACCAGAAGGAATAAATTCCAGACACTGGAATACAAGAAAACATGACTATAGTACCTGAGGAGTTGCAGGTGCAGGAAACTGCTGAGGGTTTGTGAAGAATATCACCAATAAAGTTCCTTGCCTACTTTTTTTTCTTTGAGATAGGGTCTCACTCTATCACCCAGACTGGAGTGCAGTGGCCCAATCTTGGCTCACTGCAACCTCTGCATCCCGGGTTCAAGTGATTCTCCCACCTCAGCCTCCTGAGTAGCTGGGATTACAGGCACACGCCACCACGCCTGGCTAATTTTTGTATTTTTAGTAGAGACAGGGTTTCACCATGTTGGCCAGGCTGATCTCAAACTCCTGACCTCAAGTGATCTACCTGCCTCGGTCTCCCAAAGTGCTGGGATTACAAGCATGAGCCACCGTGCCTGGCCTGCTTACTTTTATAATTTTTTAGGCAGGTTTAGTGCTGGTGAGATGTACGACAGTGTGTATGGGTTTGTGTGCAGGTTAGGTGCTTACTATTCAAAGTGTGGTCCAAGGTCTAGCAGCATCAGCATCACTTGAGAGCTTGTCAAAAATGCAGAATCTAGGTAGGCGTGGTGGCTCACACCTGTAATCTCAGCACTTTGGGAAGCTGAGACAAGAGGATTGCTTGAGCCTAGGAGTTCTAAGACCATTTTGGGCAAGATAGCAAGACCCTGTCTCTACAAAAGAAAGAGAGAGAGAGAAAGAAAAAGAAAGAGAGAAAAAAGAAAGAAGAAAGAAAAAGAAAGAAAGAAACAAAGAAAGAAGGAAGGAAGAAAAAAAGGAAGGAAGGAGAAAGGAAGAAAGAAAGAAAAAGAGAAGACAGGAAGGAAGGAAAAAAGGAAGGAAGGAGAAAGGAAGAAAGAAAGAGAAGAAAGGAAGGAAGAAAGAGAAGGAAGGAAGGGAGGGAGGAGGGAGGGAGAGAGGGAAGGAAGAATCTTAGGCCCCAACCAGACCTACAGAACTGCAGTCTGCATTTTAACAAATTCTTCAGGTAACATCATTTATCATCACAGAAGTACTGGGCTAGTTTATGCTATGGTGTGGAATAATCCTAAAAGCTCTGTGTCTTGAAACAACTAAGATTTATTTCTCACTGATGCTGAAGTCTGTCTGGGAGCAAGCAGGTAACAAGTAGGGAACTCTGCTTCATGTCATTCTCACCAGGGCCCCAGGCTGACAGAGTCTCCACCATTTGAACAATCACTAGTCATGTGGCAGAGGAGGAAATGTGTGACTCTTGTGCTTCCCTCGTATTTCACTGGCCAAAGCAAATCCCAGGGCCATGCCTATCTTCAAGGAGGTGGAAAAAACATCCTACTGTGTACCTGGAAGGAGGAGAATCAAAATACTGCTGAAGCTAGGGGATCCTCGAGGCAGGCAGGCCTTTCAAGGGGTTATGACAATACAGATGTAATCAGATTCAGGGAAAGTATATCAATACGAAGGAAAAGGAGAGCATAAACAGAAGAAACAGTTCAGAATGATGATGATTCTGAATGGGCAGTCAAGGAAGACTCCAGCTTTAGAGTCTCATCTATTGGGCAAATAATGAAGACTTTCATGGAAAACGAACATTTTGGAGGAATGGGTTGGGGTGGGGAGTGGAAAGGCTGAGCTTGGAATGGACACGCTGAGTCAGAAATCAAGGTGGATATTCACCCCTTGTTTATCTTTCCAACTTCGTGTTGTATTCCCTCCCCACTCACTCACCATGCTCCAGCCACACTGGCCTTCTTTCTGTTCCTCATGCACCAACCTTGTTCTCACCTTAGGGTTGTCGTACCTACTGTTCCTTCTGCTGGCATGCCCTTCTCCAAGTCTGTCATGACTGGCTCCTGCCTATCATTCAGAACTCACCATACATGTCGTCTCCTCAGAAAGGCCTTCCTTGGCCATACAAATGTAGCCACCCAGTCACACTATATCATACCACCCTATTTCAAAGGTCAGCATAGCATCCAGAGCTGACATTTTTTGTGTGTATTTTTCTCTGTCCCACCTCCCCACCCTCATCATTAAAAAGCTCCATGAGAACATGGACTATGTCTGTCCTGTATCCCCAGCTTCAAGTACACAGTTGGTACACAATAAACATTACTGAATGTTCCCATGGAAATTTCAGTTAAAAGTATGCAATAAGGGAAATAAAGATAGGGTTCCAATGAGGACAACTGGTTTGGAATGGCAAAGTTCTCTAAGGTATTAAAGATGACCAAGAAGCATTAAACGTTTAGGGATGTTCCACTTCAATGGCTAGAGAAGTGTAAGCGACTGAGATGTCTAAAAGGTAGAGTGGTTTCTGAAGCTAGTAAAAAGTGCCAATGTGGTGTGGCGGCAAGTGTTATCTCTGTTAAGAAAAACGGGAATAGGAAAAAGACCGATGGATTTGGAAAGGTCATTTATGACCAATGAATAAAAGAGTGAAAAATGTAAAGAGCTTAAGGAGAGAAAGGACATAGAGGTGGATAGGTCATTAGTGGAGTAATCTGGCAGTAAAGGGAATTAGTACTCTAGCAGGATTGAATGGGTTTTTGTGAGACCTATTCATTTCTCAAGCTAAATATGCTAGAGAAAAGGAGAGACTGAACATGCTGTGGGGGAGAAGTTCCTTTTAAAAAAATTTTTTTGAGACAAAGTCTTGCTTTGTCACCCAGGCTGGAGTGTAGTGGCATGAACACGGCTCACTGCAGCTTCGACCTCCCTGGCGCAAGCAATCCTCCCCCAAGTAGCTGAGACTACAGGTGCACACCACCATACCCAGCTAATTTTTGAATTTTTGTACTTTTTTGTATTTATTATTTTGTAGAGACGGGGTTTTGCCATGTTGTCCAGGCTGGTCTCGAACTCCTGAGCTCAATAAATCGTCCCACCTCGGCCTTCACAGTGTTGGGGTCACAGGCATGAGCCACTGCGCCGGCCAGGGAGAGGTTAACCAGGTTAATGGACCCCTAGGGTGTCCACATGGCACCTTCAGGGACTCTGAAACGCAGAAATGATATGCAAAATTTTGAGTGCACACAGGGGATGGGAGGTGGAAGTAGGAGAAGAGAATTCGTAGTTTTATTATTTTCCAAACGGTCGCGACCTAAAGGTTAATAACAACTGCTGAAGAGAGTAGAAAAAGTTTTTAAAAAGGAAGCCCAGAGAAGAGCTAAACTTTAGAAAGAAAAAAGGAAAACATCTTTCCTATCCAAGGAAAACCTATGAACAGATGGAGAAGTCCACAGTTGCATCATCTGGGTAAAACAGAGAAGACAGAGCTGGAAACCGCGGGCAGCTTGTGCCAACACGCTCGGGGAAGGCAAATGGAAGAAGACGCCCGTGCTCCCTAGAGCAGGAGGTCCTAAGGCCGGGAATCGCTGGCCTTGCCTCTCAGGACCCGGGCTGACCCGAGGGAGGGAGAAGCCCTCATCGCCAGGCGGGGGACCCATCAGCGCGCCGGCTCAGGGACAAAATACTGATGCTTCAGACTCGGCCAGGCCGTGCGTCCGAGCTTCCCCACAGCCGCCGCACTTCCCTGCTGCCTTTGGGATGCGGCCTCCAGCCCCGCCTCGCCACCGGCCGTCATCTGTGAATCATCCCGCCCATTTCGACATCTTCCTCCCCCGCCTTCGGCTCTTGGCCTGGCGCAGAGCCCAGTGACAGCCGGGGCCCGGGGAACCTCATTCATTCAACACTTGTTGGGTTTACTCTGCGAATGTGGATGCGAGGCTCAGTGCCGGGCGCTGGGGCCTGAGGAGCACCGAGTCCGGCCAGAGGGCCCAATACTCCAGACCCGACCAGAGTCTAGCGGGCCGCCGCGGTCCCCCCTGGAGGTGAGGCGGTTCCCAGCCCGCATGTCGCAACGGCTTCCCGGACAGGCTGCGGGTCGCGCCAGCCAGGGATGACCGGCCCAGGCCGGCCCCGCCTCACGCCCGCGACGAGATCCCGCGGGAACACGGCTCTCCGGGGCCAGGGCCGCCCGCTCTCCAGCCACGCGTCTCAGAATTTGAGGAGCGCACGGGAGCGCGGGTCGTAACGGCGCCCGTCAGCAGTTTGACGTTGAAGGCCTGTCGCCGCCCCGCCCCCGACGCGATCCCGCGCACAGGGACCGCAGCTCTGCAGGCGCTAGTGAGGGGCCCGAAGTCGGCCCCTAGAGTCCCTGGGCGCGTCGCTCTTTCTGTAGCCAATCGGGGACCGACGTGGTGCGGGCCAATGGCCGCGGTCAAAGTATCAAGAGTGGTTGAGCCTATCAAAGTTCAGCCTTAAGTTTCTCCCGCCCTTCTAAAAGTCAGAGGCGGGTTGATCGCACATGTCGGCCAATCAGTGACCAATAAACAAGAAGCTTCTAAGATCAAAGGGGAAAAGGTGGGATGTAGGCGCTAGCAACGCCTCAGGGCGGAGGAATGACAGGCGACTTCGCTAATACTACCGGCTGATTTTTCGTACGTAAGGAAAGGGGTGGGTCTAACTTGGCGTCTCCACCAATGGTTGCTTGGGGGGCGTGTCCGCGGGGCCAAGCGGGAGCCGGAGGCCCCGGGCTCTCTGGGCCGCGCCTGAGGCGGACACTACGGGGCCGGGGGGCGGCGGCGGCAGTGGTGGCAGCGGCGGCGGGGGTGGGCGCCGCAGCTGGCCCGGGTGGATGGAGTTGGAGGGGCGGGGTGCTGGCGGTGTGGCGGGGGGGCCGGCGGCAGGGCCCGGGCGGAGCCCCGGGGAGTCGGCGCTGCTGGACGGGTGGCTGCAGCGGGGCGTGGGCCGGGGGGCCGGCGGCGGGGAGGCCGGGGCCTGCAGGCCCCCGGTACGACAAGATCCGGACTCCGGCCCGGACTACGAGGCGCTGCCGGCTGGAGCCACTGTCACCACGCACATGGTGGCAGGCGCCGTGGCAGGGATCCTGGAGCACTGCGTGATGTACCCCATCGACTGCGTCAAGGTGAGACCTGCACCCGGCTTCGAACCCGACCTGGGGCTGACCCGACCCCTGGGTCTTGTCCGGAGCCAGGATCCCGGCTGAGAGCCGGAGCCGACATGGGTTCCTTCCTGGCTCCTGCCACTACCACATGATTCGAACCGACACTCCATTCAAGCAAGGTCCCAGCTGGGAGTTGATCCCAGTCAGGAACCAGGACCTATTTCTAACCGTCAGTGAAATCTGAATCGGGACTCAGGATCGAAAATCTGTCAGCCAAAGCCCTGGACCCCACCTGGGACTAAACAGGAATAGGGTGGGATGGGGTATCCCGAAGCTCAGGTAAGTGCTACTAACTCGATTAAGGTGAAGCCAACTGGCGTGAACCAGACCCTGAAATGGATCTAACGGCTTGAGATGTTTTCTGGGCTAGTGCTTTTACAAACTCCTTGCTGTATCTTCCCTTACTGACGGGGCAGGAACCCGAATCTGGGATCTCTCAGCTAGATAAAGGACTTACATGTTAAATCTTAACACATGAGTGATTGGAAATCATTGTGCAGTGAGAATGCAGAATTCCAGACTGGAAGTAATGTGGGAAAGATCGTATTCAGGAATAGGTTTCAGTTTCTCTGTGAAGCAAGCATGATACCCCACCTATTTCCTGAACATGAAAATTGAGCTGGGATTAGGACTGTATGTTCAGGGAGCACATCAGCCTCCAAACAAGAGAGATGAAACTGATAGCATATTTCTTTGGCCACCTGAAGTTGGCAAAAAGGGAGAAGTTGCCTAGAAAGGAAGTGTGACGGTATTAGAAAGTAGATGTAAGTATGAAGAAAATGGAAAGAGATCAACAAGAGGACACGATTCTTGTGAAAGTAAAACTAATTGCATTCACAACCAAGCAGGATGATTTATGTGTACTGAAGTCAGGTCCTTCTGAAGAAAGCTGGGTGAAGAAAGAAACAGATTATTGTTCTTTACAGTTCTTATTCTTGTACATTAGTAAAGGTGCCAGCCATTAAAGGTGAGGACTGAATTGAGGGAGAGGTAAACTAGAGGGGACTGTTGATATGACAAAGACCGATGCCTCCTTTACATGTGAAGGGTAATAGTCAAACAGTGACCTGGCAGCTTTTTGATGTATGTTTTCTCTTCAAATCAGGAAAGTGTTATGTATTCAAAAGGAGGAGAGAATCAACTTGGGAAAGGCAAAGTAGATCCCTTTTACTTCCCTTTGGTTCCAGTACTGTTTCATGTTTTTCATTAGAATGTGGATAAGGAAATGGGGGGAGCGCTCATTAAGCTTTGTGAATGACAGCAAACTGGCAGGAGTATTTTAACACAAGGTAACTCCTAACAAGGGCCATATCCATTGAAAACGGGGTAAATGCACTTGACTAAAATGGACATTAGAATGTTAAATGTCCTTGTCAATTGGGAGAAATAGAAATAAACTGTAAAATCCATGAGAGAGAAGTAACAACATTGAAATGTAAAACAAGTATAAATAAAAAAGATGCACACATTATATGTATAGACTCTAGGTTGAATGACTTGTGAGTTAATAATGCCGTATATCCAAAAGTTAATATAATCTAGCTGCAGAGTAACCTCCCTAGACTTAGACTGTGAGTAGAGTGCAGGGTTTAGGATGCTGTTTTTCTGGATGAGTATTGAATGGAAAACAGATCAATGAAAACAGTGAAAATTATGTAATGGCTTGAAAAATACAGTGTAATAATTTGTCTTAGAAATATTACTGTAACTTATCAATTTAACCACTGTTCCATTATAACAGAACGGGAGGTTATCTCCTTACTCCATATATTTACATAGTGCTATTGTTGCTATAAACATTTTATAAATCCCTGTTAAAAATGCTTCTAGAATATTTGGGTGCATGTCCTTAAGGGAGGCAAATCTTTGCCCTGTGACAAGATGGAATTGATTTTGCAAGAACAAAGACTATTCAGAATCAAATATGGTGAATAAAGTGGGAGGTCAAAATGGGTAATACTGCTTGGCATCAAAATAAGGTGGGACTGGAAAGCAAGGAGACTGCTTTACTTCTGAGGCCTATAAACCCGTTGAGGAAACACCTCTGAAAGAGAAGTTCCAGAAAGGTTTTGCATAACCACAGCTTTGCTGGAATAAGTCAATTGTAGCCTTCCAAGGTAACTATTTTGAAGAACAGTTCTTACTCATTTACATAAACTTTGGAATTTTTGTTTTTTAAAAATTAGTCATACAACATAGCAGTTATGCCTGAAAGCCCTCTATTAAGGAAATAATGATTTGAGAAAAAAATGCTCAGGAGTTGTCAACAATACGAA
This sequence comes from Homo sapiens, assembly GCF_000001405.40. Taxonomy (NCBI): domain Eukaryota; kingdom Metazoa; phylum Chordata; class Mammalia; order Primates; family Hominidae; genus Homo; species Homo sapiens. The sequence goes on along the minus strand of NC_000010.11, from coordinate 99,617,729 downwards.
AGCTTATTTTAGAAGGCTCATTTTCACTTGCACTTAATGCTGGGATTTAAATGACTTAGAGGGAAGAACTAGGTGAGGCCAGTATGATTTAGTGTCAGTGAGTATGTTAAACACTTTTGTGCAGGCATGAAAGTAAAATTCAAATCTCTTCCTTCAGAAAAGACTTCCCAGTTTGCTTGTCCCCAGCAGCTATCCTTCTTCTTTTAATAAGTGGATGAGTGGGGAGGAAAAGCAGCCCAGTCTTTAAGACTGGAGGCAGATATCCATGTTGTTGGAGCCTAAAGGGCAACCACAATGTTTGCAAATGAAAGCTGACATTGCCTTTTGACATGCAGGCCTGTCCATCCTCAGCTACTTATCAGGGTCAAGTTGACTTTAAATATCCTTGAGAGGGACCATGAGAAGTCAGTGTAGCCTTGCTGGATCATGGTTATTCAACCAGCTATTTCCATGGCTATAATGGAGAGGCTTGGGAGCCCAGATAAATCCCAGTTTCCTTTTCTGGGCCTCAAAGGCAAGCGCCAGACTTTATCTATGGGGACATTCTGCAACCCAAAACAGTCAGAACCCTTCTCAAAATCCTCTGGCGAAGTACCCACCTATCATCAAGCTGCTGTTGTTGGCTCTGAAGTGGTAAAGCAAATATCCACTTATATAATAAAGAGGGGAAGAGCAGAGGGAGATAAATCTCCAATTTCCAGATGTAAATGGTATCTATACATATTCACCTGTGAAAGATTAGGAAATGGAAACATTAGCTTATTTGATTTTCTTGCATCTAGTAATAAGTATTCAGTGATCTTGTGTGCCAAGCACTATCTGAAGTACCTTACATACATTTATTCATTTAATCTGTGAAGCAACTTCATGAAGTAGAAACCATTTTCATTATTTTACAGTTGAAAGGAGGCTTAGGGAAGTTATATAACTTGTCCAAGGTCACACAGTTTAAGTAGCACAGTTATGATTTGAACTCAGTGTATCAGACTCTCAAGCCTTCCATATAGCTTCCCAAAAGCAGATTACAAGAACCAGGCAAGGCACAGAATTTCACAGTAAAGCTTGTCCCTGAACATATGACCTTCAGATTAATAGTGGGACATGTAAATCATTATAGCCACAGAGAAACTTTAAAAGGAAAACAAAAAATACAAAATTAACCCTGATTTATTGGTGGCTAAGGACAGTTAGTTGCCCATGTATATTTGTGAAATGACTTATACAGGAGGCAATGCTACCATGATCTGTAAATTCTTAGATATGAACAAATATAGAATCATTTTGAATACAATAAAAATCTTTGTATTTCTAGCATCTTATAAATTACCAATGGCTTTTACATATCTTATCTCTTTTAATCCCCACAACAGCCCTGTGAGCCAGTCATTCTTGGCCTCATGTTATAGATGACAATTTTGAAGCTTAAAGAGGTTAAGTGACATACCCAAGATCACACAACTAGCAAAGCTGAGGCTCAGACTCAGGCTTTTTGACTCAAATGTGGCTTGTCTTTTACCAAACCACTTACCTCTCTACTGGGTTGTTTGGCTTTTCTCCAAAGCCAGGTAGAAGTTTTTCACATTGAGGTTTTTCAGAAATTCTTACTTAGATATTTCATCTTTCTGTAAAAGGCAGATTTATTGGCCCACAAATTTGGGGAGCCATATTCATTTTTATATTTGGCATAGCTTATGCCCAGGTCCTCTCCATAAGGGTGTACTTTTATCGAGTTAGAATTGTTGAGTTAGATTTAGATGTGTATATAGAATGTTCAAAGTAGCTTCCCACAGTCCGGTTTTCTCTTGGGGGTGAGGAGTTCCAGGCCTCCGAAGCCAAACCGTTCAGAATTGGTAGCCAAATACACCATTGACTGCAGCAGAGCAATGCAATTGCTGAACATTCCCCTTATACAAGATCAGTTTTGAATAAATGCATGGAAACACGATAAGCTAAGAGGCTCAATTTATCTTTGCTTATTAGTAGCTCTAGCCAGCATATGACCCGTAGTCTCTATGAACAACTCTTCTGATGGATTTTATATGCCTTGTGTGATGTGAAAGATGAGTAAACAAACCCTTTATTGGAAATACATGAGGTTTTGTGGGGGGAAGTAGGAAAGAATGTGTCAAATTGTGATAAGTGATACTGTGTAGAGTATTTCTGATTGAACATCCAGTAACTAACCTTTTAAGCTTCCGGTTTTTTGTTGGTAGCAGGCAGGAGAAAATAACCAGAGGAATGTGGATTGCTTGCAGCTAACCGGGACCTGTTCATCTGGTTAGTTTCTTTTCTCCCATGCTCTTGAGGAAAGGTATTACTCTTGGATTCCAGTTGGCCAAGAGGAAGGTTCAAGCTTTTTTTTTTTTTTTTTTTGAGATGGAGTTTTGCTCTTGTTGCCCAGGCTGCCGTGCAGTGGCTCAAACCAGCGAAGGCTCACTACAACCTCCGCCTCACAGGTTCAAGCGATTCTCCTGCCTCCTGAGTAGCTGGGATTACAGGTGCACACCACCATGCCCGGCTAATTTTTTTGTATTTTTAATAGAGACGGGGTTTCACCATGTTGGCTAGGCTGGTCTCGAACTCCTGACCTCAGGTGATCTGCTCGCCTTGGCCTCTCAAAGTGCTGGGATTACAGACGTGAGCCACCGTGCCTGGCCGAAGGTTCAAGCTTTTAAATCCAAATAGAATCTAGTGATTAGATTGATGCAGAAATTTAAACTGTACTTGGGCATCACTTGCTTCCATTGGCTCACCAGTGATTGTAGCTGATACAGTTATGTGACAAAAGATTCATTCATTTAGCAAACAAATCAGAGGTGCTTATTGTGTGTCAGGCACCAGACATTGATTTTTCTTTTTAGACATTGATTTTATATTAACTATTAGTTTCCATGTTACTTTACCTTGAATTGGGTCAGTAGATGAGAAATTTTCCTGGGGAGACACACTCTTCAGAAAAGGTCTAATTTAGGGAGGTGTTTTGAATAAGATTAATTTCCCAAATTTCAACAAAACTTTGTCCAAGAACATCATACAAAGTGTCTACCCTACGCTTTTATTCCAATCATCAAATCCTTTAGAGAGATTCCAAGGATTATGTTTCACTGAGACTGATTTTATTTGCTAATGCCAATTTTGGGATTCAATCAGTTTAAATTAGAAATCTGGAAGGGCCCTTCAGGATTGGAGACTAGATTGGTTTCTAGCTAGACACTCCCACCTTTGCAGTTTCAGGGTAAACTTTCTTTCCCAAGAAATAAAAGCATGTATTAAGAATGCTGCTTCTGCCAAGACTCTGTGTAGACCCAGCCACCATTGCCAGATAGTCTGAAAAAGTATAAAAAAATTAGCCGCCCCTCAGTGTGTGGTCATGAAGCAGGGCCAGGGGCACTCTTTAGGTATACAGCATAAAGTATGTCATAGATAGTAAATACTGGAGTTTAGAATCCATTTGTAAAGAACTGTCAGCTTGAGTGTATTAAGGCACAAAAGCAACTTCTGAAACACAGGCTTGATATTTGTTGCTGGGGCTCTGAATCATTTTGGAGTACCAGGACACTTAGCAATAGGTGGGATTATTTTTTCAGGGAAAATAATGGTGTTCCATTCTTAGGGTCATAGATGACTAGAAAAAGAAAGGTCCAAGGCTTAGAAGAAAGATCAGCTATAGATTGGAAATAAGCTGAAAGCCAGATATCCCTCTCACAGATTGGCACAGCTCCATGTAGAAGGTCTGCCCAGTGTGTTGAGGTGGGGCGAGAAGTTGGCATTGCTGACATTGCGCTTCTCCTTGCTGTAATTTCAGACCCGGATGCAGAGTCTACAGCCTGACCCAGCTGCCCGCTATCGCAATGTGTTGGAGGCCCTCTGGAGGATTATAAGAACGGAGGGCCTATGGAGGCCCATGAGGGGGCTGAACGTCACAGCAACAGGCGCAGGGCCTGCCCACGCCCTTTATTTTGCCTGCTACGAAAAGTTAAAAAAGACATTGAGTGATGTAATCCACCCTGGGGGCAATAGCCATATTGCCAATGGTATTGAGCCTTCCTGTGCTGGTTCCCCCACTTTCCCAACTCTTTGGGCTTTGCTGCTGTCAGTGCTTTCCAGTCTCAGCATGGTTTGGAGCTGAAGCTTTGGGCTGGGATAGGCCAGATTATAAGGGAGGGACTTCCAAACCTGATGTTCTCAGACAACGGGCCGCTTCAACCCTGCCTTTTCCTTTGGGGCACCTCAACAAAGGGTTACAGTATCCTCCCTTACCTACCAGCTTGACTTGTTCCTCTCATCTCCCTGGCATCAACTTCTAATGCCCTGGTAATGTGGAGACACACTGAACTACCCCCAGTCTATGTTTGACAGTTGGGTGGTGTCCTGCTCCTTAGGGCAGGATTGGAGGCGACCCAGCCAGCCACCCAAGGAAGATACTAATGAAGCCCCTGCTTTTTGCCTCACCTTTTCAGGATCCCAACTCACCAGAGGCAGTTTGTGTTGAGAACATGACAAAGCCTCATGACAAAATGAATGGGGGTGGGGCCAAGGAACTGCATGAAGAAACCAGAAGGTTGTGTGGAAGTAAGAGAAAGGATAGCAGCCTAGGGCTTTAGGACCGGCTGGAAACCAAGTTGAGTGTGGAGAGGATGAGGGGTAGAGTAGTTCAGGACCTGAACGAAAGATCTTTGTAGACAAATGTTAGGCTCTGCAAATGGGTTCTGCGGCAGGACTGAGGTGGGATTCTGTGGTGAGGTTCTGTGAGATCTGACCACCTGGCCCCCGTATCTCCCTCCACTGGTGGCAGGTGATGTGCTGGCATCCCTAGGCAGCAGTGTATCTGCTTCCTGTCTGGGGTGTGAGCTGCATTTATTCTCAGAATGATCTTTATTGATAAGACTTGAGCTGGCCTTCCTATCATGGATGTGGAATACATTAGTGACCTTACAAAGTTGGTGGGAACAGATACTTTACCTTCTTAAACAGGAGTTTAGGAGCAGTGGGTCCCCATCTTTTGGACTAGCTCTTAACGTTACTTTTCCCCGCTGTAGTGTAGCACAGCCACTCCCCTTCACTGGGGGACCTCAATGAGTTGGTCAGCTCTCTTGGCCTTACATGTGGCAGTTGTTTTCTTGTTTGCAGGTGCGGCCGGGTGTGTGGCAACATTACTTCATGATGCAGCCATGAACCCTGCGGAAGGTAATGATTCCTCAACCTATCACTCTGTGGGCAGCTGCACCTGTATTTCTTTACAGTTTGCAGAAGAAAGCACATCAGTTTTGGTGGGAAATTCTGTTACCTTGTTTTACCACTAGAGGGTGCTCCCTCCATGTTTTTGGTACCTAACGAGGCACCCTCTTGGACAGGAAGCAGATTCACTGGGATTTTACTAATCCCTGGGGCTTCCCTAGAAAAAGATGTCTCCATGTGGCCTGTTTTTGGGCTTTCCTGGGAGCCTCCTTTGTCGTAGATTTGATCTGTCCTGAAAGTTTAGCAGATTCATTTTTCTTCAAAGAGGTGAAGATGGATTCTGACTTTTTTTTTCCCCCTTATGATTTGCAGGAATTGACACTTAAATATATTGCCTTTCTTATTGGAATGAAGCTAGTTGGGATAGGAATGAAAGGTTAAATCATAGAACTCAGTCCCTGCATTTCTGCTGGGATCTTGGCTTTTCAGTCGGAGGAAAATTCTCCAAAAACATTCTCCATGTGAGGATGAGCAAATATGAAGGGATAGCATTGTTGCCACGTTCATTTTCTGTCTGGGCAAGGCCATGGGGTGGAAAGAGCCAAAGCTAAGCTGAAGCTCCACAGAGCTCACACCATGTTATCTACTTGAGGGAGTGGGAGGTGTTTGAAGACTAAAGCCAACTCTTTTTGGCTAAGAATCTTTTCTTTGGTAGAACTTCTGTCTCCTCCCCTCTAGGAGGATCACCATCTCACATTTTAAAAGTTAGGTGCTCTTTGTATGCGAGGATTGGGATTGTTAGGGGCCTGTGTTCGTGATGATCACTATCATGGAGTCATTTCTTGTTGGGAATTGTTAGAGGGTAAGATCAGAGATAGGTACTTAGTTCAAGAAGACTCTCTGAAGCTCCCAAACTGTAGATATGTCCTGTGTGCGAACTGGCTGGCTTTACAGAAGTCCTGATGGAAGTGGGTTTATTGTTTTTTGACTCGTTACCAACCCTCTGCTTACTCCTTCCCCTCAAAAAAGGGAAGCTGACTTCTCAGGTTAGCCAGCAGCTCACTCATACTTTTTTCTCTCTCTATTCCATTGGCTGATCTGCTGACTTGGGGCTCTGAATCTGGATACTCTCCATCACCGGTTGGCTGCTGTCACCATTTCCTTCCTCGTTGATGGCACTACTAGTGGTCAAGCAGAGGATGCAGATGTACAACTCACCATACCACCGGGTGACAGACTGTGTACGGGCAGTGTGGCAAAATGAAGGGGCCGGGGCCTTTTACCGCAGCTACACCACCCAGCTGACCATGAACGTTCCTTTCCAAGCCATTCACTTCATGACCTATGAATTCCTGCAGGAGCACTTTAACCCCCAGAGACGGTACAACCCAAGCTCCCACGTCCTCTCTGGAGCTTGCGCAGGAGCTGTAGCTGCCGCAGCCACAACCCCACTGGACGTTTGCAAAACACTGCTCAACACCCAGGAGTCCTTGGCTTTGAACTCACACATTACAGGACATATCACAGGCATGGCTAGTGCCTTCAGGACGGTATATCAAGTAGGTGGGGTGACCGCCTATTTCCGAGGGGTGCAGGCCAGAGTAATTTACCAGATCCCCTCCACAGCCATCGCATGGTCTGTGTATGAGTTCTTCAAATACCTAATCACTAAAAGGCAAGAAGAGTGGAGGGCTGGCAAGTGAAGTAGCACTGAACGAAGCCAGGGGTTCAGATGACACTGCTGCATCCTGGTCACATTCTCTGTCTCCTGGAATGCTCCCACCTCAAGTGGAGTTAGAAGGAAGGTAGAGGGGCTCTCCCCCAGGATTTTGGTGTTTTGACTAACACCAGTTCCTGCCAACCTCTGTTGCCACCACCTTTCCTTCCAGGCCCTAAGCACGTGCAGCAAAGCACACCACAGCACCTTTGATAACCTCTCTCCATCCTGGGCCTGATGACCTGCTCTAGACTGTTATAGAGGGATAAGCAGCTCATTCCCCTGGTTCCTAATAAAAAGCCTTTAAATTAAATGGTTTCATTGGGTTTGTCTTGCTAAAGGGGAAGTGAAATGCTGTTAACTGTTCTTGACTTTCCTTTAAGCATAAATCAAGGGACCCAAAGGAAAGGTTTATTGAGTATGTCTGTAGTTTTCTGCTGATTTTCATGACAATTTAAGACATTAGTGGTAGGCCCCAAGCAATCTCCCTGATGGCTAGAACAACAAGCCCTTGACAGATCCCAACCAATCAGATGCTCCAGATCCCCACTGTCTTCCCTAGGGCGGTAGCGCAGCACAGAAGGGGCAGATCTCTGCTCTAATTCGCAGCTCTGCCTGCAGCAGTGCTTTACAGTGTGGCACTTGGTTTTCCATTTTAGTTGTGAAACTCAAATTATTCAGTGAAGCTGCAAGTCCTGAAGATTACATGGTAAATAATACATTTCATTTTATTTTAAGGCTTTCACAGAGTACTTGAGCATGTGTGATCTCATTTGAACCTCACAAAATCTCTGAAGTAGGCAGTGCAGGTGTCATTTGTATTTCACAAGCAAGAAAGCTCAGAGGCTGTGACTAGTCCAAAGTCTCACAGTCAGTGCAGAAGTGGGACCCCAGCCCAAGTGTTTTGACCTCACGAATGAATCTAAGCGTGGCTTCCTACAGATGGGAAATGAGTGGAGGGCATCTCACATCTACTGCCATCTACTGAGGAAGCTCCCTGCCTGATGACCAGTTAGGCTCTGCTTGGAGACTTTTCAGAGATGGGGCTTTCCCTGTGCTTGGTGGGTCAGTGTGTTCCTTTTTTTTTTTTTTTTTTTTTTTTTTTTTTTTATATATCACCAGTTATTAGCAAGTTCTTCAGTACATAGAAATGTACCCCTCTGAGTCTTCCACCTATCCTTGTTAGGTCATCTGTCATTCATTCATTAACTATTGAGTGTCTCTGTGGCAAGCACTGGTGTTGGAAATACAATGATAGATAAAAACAATCCCAGCCCTCAAGGAGCTTACTGTCTGGAGAGGAAGATACATGGAAACAGGCAATTACAAAACAAAATGACAGGAGAGAAGATAGAATAAACCTAGGATACTCAGAAGACAGAAGGATACCCAGCGTAGCCTTGGGTGACCAGGGTAGACATTTGGAGGAAGTAACATCTGAGGTGACACCTGGAAGGCAAATGAGCTAACTTGGTGAAGAGGGGAGGGGTTATGTTCTAGGCAAAGACCTGGAGGTAAGAGAATTAAAAAGTATTTGGGATTTGGTGTGCAAGTGGTTTGGTAGGACTGAAACAATCTGGGCAAGACATGCAGCCTGAGAGCCAAGCAGACACTGGGTCTTCAAAGCGATGCTATGGAGTTTAGATTTATCCTGAAGGCCATGCAAAAGCATTACGGAGTTTTAAGCAGAGGTGTGGTGTGATCAGATTTACAATTTAAACAGATCACTTAGGCTCTCTGGAGAAAGGATTAGAGGAGCAAGACTGGACAGGCAGGCCAACTGGTTAGGAGGCTGCTGTGGTAATCCAGGCAAGTGCATGGTGGTCTGAAGCAGGACTGTGGCATGGAGCCGGGAGCCATGTTAGGGTTGTAGAAGCAATAGGATTCGGTCACAGAGTAGATCTCGTCCTCCTCCCATCTGACAGCCCTTCAATATCTATGGAGAATCATGTCTGAATGCACTTGAAAAAAAACTGTCGAGAAACCAGCAGGGTCTCCTAAGCTTTATTTAAGTAGGCTATGCTGCCCCTCTGATTTAGCGTGGAGAGGAGAGATTAATAGTGCTAAGCGGTGGTTGCTGAGTAAAAAGAGTGTGATGATATCATTGTAAAGGTCATTTCAGAGGGTTTGCTAGTAAAAATGTAATTGAGTAGCTGCCTCCCATATGGACTGAGCAAGAGAGCAAAGGGATGGCTGTCAGGACCTAGTCTCTGCGGTCGGCTTTACAGAGCTGTCTGGCATGGTATCTGACACACAGTAGGCACAATGGCAATAAGGCTTATTTTTCAAGAATGGATTGCGGGGTAATTTCTTAAAGATTGGTAGCGGCTAGAGACCACCTCAGCTCTAATGCTGTTCACAAATAATGAGAAAAGAATACAAAAGTGATCTTCCAGCCTCCAGTTGTGCTGTAGCTACTGGAGGACATTTAGTTTGGAATCTGGACAGGACACTAGGTTCTGCAGGTCTCTTGGCCCAGTCACTAGAGGTCAAAGGGGAGATAGAGGCAGAATAATGTGACAGGTTGAACATTAGCAATGCCAGTGACTGGATACCTGGGTCATTTCCAAGGGGCTCAGCAGACCCAGGAGAACTGTGGGTGTTTGGGGGCATCCCCAGGTCCAGAGCCTCTGTGGAGAGCCAGGTAGTTCATGTGACACCTGGAGAATCCAGTACCAAGCCATCATCAAGTGGCCAATTCCTGCACAGTGCTATGTGTCAGGGAAAATGAGAAAATAAGTCACAATTTGGCCAGAGGAAAATGTTCTTCATTGGAGAGCTGAGACCAACATGAGTGAAACAAACTTTTAATAACACAAGACACTATATAGACATGTACTGGATTATACAGAAATTAACAATGAGATTTAGAGACAGGAAAGATAAGTGTAGGCAGAGTAAACAGAGAAGAAGGTGGCTTTGATGAATAGAATTAAAAAATACTTTCGTAAAAGCCAATAAATGTTGAATCATGCTAATTTCATAAAATTTAGAAAGCACAGATAAAAAGAAAATACTTCGAATCCCATTACCCAGAGAACTTGACCTTCTAACAGACAGAGCTTTGCAGCAATGACACGGATAGCATTGCACAGCAGCGAGCTCTAAAATACAGGAGCTGGGGCTGGTCAGCCCTGCCAGGGATGCTATACAGTGAAGTCGAACTCCTGGAGGGTTGCAAAGCAAGATGACCTCTAAGAAGCCTCCTAGATCTAGATGTTCTCAGGGCCAGCCTCAGCCCCACTATCCGGTAACCTGCGTCCTGGTCTCCAGGCCGGATATCTTCAATGCCTGTCAGGAGATGGTGCCAGACTGTCTCACCACTCTGAACTTTCTCTCTCCACCAACCTATCTATCCTCCTTTTGATCATTCAGATTCTACCTACCCATAGCAATGTTTCTGATATTATAAAGGTGCCACAGGGGGCCGGGCATGGTGGCTCGAGCCTGTAATCCCAGCACTTTGAGAGGCCAAGGCAGGCAGATCACTTGAGCCCAGGAGTTCGAGACCAGCCTGGCCAATATAGTGAAACCCCATTTCTACTAAAAATACAAAAATTAGCCAGGGTGGTGGCATGCACCTGTAGTCCCAGCTACTCGGGAGGCTGAGGCACAAGAATCACTTGAACCTAGGAGGCAAAGGTTGTAGTGAGCCAAGATGGTGCCACTGCACTCCAGCCTGGGTGACAGATCAAGACTCTGTCTCAAAAAAAAAAAAAAAAAAGTGCCACAGGGGACTTATTGAATAAGCTATTGATATTATTGAACATTCATACAATGAAATGTGGCATGCCATTTATACTGAGATGATGGAAGAAAATTTAATGATGCGGAAAGATAGACACTGTATTCTGTTATGTGAAAGAAATTGGTTATAGTGAGATCTCATTTTTGAAAATTACAAAAAAATTATACATAGAAAAAATACTTAATGATATATACATCAACCTACTGGATGTGCAGTATTTTGTTATTTCCTGGAATCTTAGACTGGTAAGTGGAGAACAAGTTCTGTTGGAGTCACACACAGTATTCCCTTTATTGCCACCACCGCCACCACCACCTCTGCCACCCTAAGTAGAATGGAAAATGTTTACACTTCGAGGCACTTAAATCTTTCTGTAATTTCCACCTGTGATAGTACCTTCTGCTTGCTGGGGCAGCACAGAATCAGACTAATCCTTCTCTCTGACAGCCCTTCAAAAATATTAAGACAGCTGTCATATCACCCTGGGAGGGGTCAGAGCATGGAGATCCTGAAAGCTAGGCAAAAGAGTTTAGACTTGCCTTGGCAGCTAATGAGGAGCTCTTGTGGTTCTTGAGCAGGTGGTTGCTGAGTAAAAATCTGAAGTAATATCTCAGGACAATTCAACCAGCAGCCCAGATACAGGAGACCCTGGAACAGGGAGAGCCTGAGCTAGAGACAGGGACTCTAGCAGAGGGGCTACTGTCATCATTTAAACAAAGATGAACCTGAGAAAAATTGTTACAAGATGAAAAGCACCTGACGATGGTTTAGACATTCATGTGGGAACTTACCTGTAGGTTGTCTTGCACTTATCTGACTGTTTTGTCTCTCTAGATTAAAATCCAGAATCTTGTATTTCTGGAATCACCCTCTGTCTGCACTGCACATAATGGATGCACGATAACTACTTGCTTCCCATGGTCAGACACCAAGACTTGTCTGGAACATGATGGTACTGGGGTTAGAAATGAGCCATTTCATTTCACAAACATAGATTGAGCAGATGGGGGCACTGGAGTAGAGGCTAGGCCTATGTGATGGTCAGTTTTATGCATCAGTAGGGCAAAGCTACAGTCCTCAGTTATTTAAACACTAATTTAGGTGTTGTTGTCACCTAGGTGATGATGCAACTCAAGCAGAAATTATGGTGCCTAAACAAAGGCAGTGATGGGAAGGAGAGGAAGAGACAAAGTGGAGGGATATTTAGGAAGCTGATCAACTGCACTTGGCCATCAGATGTACTCGGGGTTACAGAGAAGGAGGATTCTTGGATGGCTTGCAAATTTTAAAAGGAAAACCAGTTTTTTGGATAGGCATAAGAAATATAATTATGAACATGTATTTGGGGCCTGAGTAGATTTTCAGGATCTGCAATATGGATATAGAAATATACAGTATAGAGGTTACAGCTTAGCCATAGAGGGGATGGAGAAAGTTAGCATTTAAAGTAAGTACTCTTTTTTAACCTCTTTAAAAAACAACACACATAAAATGCACAGCTGGATGAAATTTCACATATATTTGCTCTTGCGTAACTACCACGCTGACACACAACAGTTCCAAAACCACAGAAGACTCCTTTGTGTCCCCTCATAGTTAATATCATCCCTCAAAGGTAACCAATATTCTGATTTCTGTCATTATAGCTTAGTCTTGCTTGTTCCTGAACTTTGTAAACATTAATTCATACAGTATATATTCTTTTGTGTCTGGCTCAACATTATGTCTGTAAGATTCATCTATGTGTGTGAATATAGCAATTTGTTCTTTTCCATTGCTGTGTAGTTTGAGTATTTATGCATTTTATGTATGCATTCTCTCATTGACTAATACACAACCCAAACATATTTGGGTTATATATTTGTCATGGTTCTCCAGAGAAACAGAACCAATTATATATGTTATATATAACCAATTATATGCATGTATGAGAGAGAAAGAGGAGGGATTTTTTTTTTTTTTTTTTGAAGAAATTGACTCACATGGTTGTGGGGGCTGGCAAGTCCAAAAGTCCTGCTGTTCTGTAGAGCAGGAGGCTGGAAACTCAGGCAGAGTTTCTATGTCATAGTCTTAAGGCAGAATTCCTTCTTCTCTGGGAAACCTCAGTTTTTGCTTTTAAGGCCTTCAACAGATTGGATGCGGCCATTATGGATAATTCCTTTTACCTAAAGTTAGTTGATTGTAAATGTTAATCACCTCTATAAAATATTTCACAATAACATCCAGACTAATATTTGACCAAACAACTAGGCACCATTGCCTAGCCAAGTATACATAAAATTAACCATCACAGGTTGCTTCCAGTGTTCCACTATTTCCAGTTTTTACTGCTATAAACATTCTTGTACCTGTCCTTTAGCGGAAAGAAGCACTCTTTTCCATTGGTTAAATATGAAAGCAAACTTGCTGGGTGACAGGGATATATGTGTTTAGCCTTGGAAGACATTACCGAAGTTCCAAAGAGGTCGTAGCAATTTGAATTCCCTCCAGCAATGTATGAGAGTTCCAGCTTAGCGGCCAGGTGCAGTGGCTCACGCCTGTAATCCCAGCATTTTGGGAGGCCGAGGCGGGCAGATCACGAGGTCAGGAGATCGAGACCATCCTGGCTAACATGGTGAAACCCCGTCTCTACTAAAAATACAAAAAAAAAAAAAAAAATTAGCCGGGCGTGGTGGTGGGTGCCTGTAGTCCCAGCTACTCGGGAGGCTGAGGCAGGAGAATGGCGTGAACCTAGGAGGCGGAGCTTGCAGTCAGCAGAGATCGAGCCACTGCACTCCAGCCTGGGCGACAGAGCAAGACTCCATCTCAAAAAAAAGAAAAAAAAAAAAAAAGAGTTCCAGCTTAGCTGGGCATGGTAGGATTGTGCCTGTAATCCCAGCGCTTTGTGAGGCTGAGGTGGGCGGATCACCTGAGGTCAGAAGTTTGAGACCAGCCTGGCCAACATAGTGAAACCCCTTCTCTACTAAAATATGAAAATTAGCCGGGCATGGTGGCACATGCCTGTAGTCCCAGCTACTCAGGATGCTGAGGCATGAGAATCTCTTGACCCCAGGAGGTTGCATTAAGCCAAGGTCGCACCACTGCACACCATGCCACCACTGCATGACAGAGCGAGACTCTGTCTCCAAAAAAAAAGGGCTCCAGCTTAGAGCAAATACTCTTTTTATCTACTTTTTAATTTTTATATAATTTCACACTTTTACAGAAAAGTTGCAAAAACAGTATATTCTTTACCAGATTCACTAATTGCTATAATTTTGCCCCATTTGATCTATTGTCTTTCTATCAATCCATATATGTGCATACACATATTTTTTCTGAACTATTTATGCCCCCTTTATCCATAAATATGTCAGTATTTCCTAAGAACAAGAATTTTCTCGGCCAGGCGTGGTGGCTCACGCCTGTAATCCCAGCACTTTGGGAGGCCGAGGCGGCCGGATCACGAGGTCAGGAGATCGAGACCATTCTGGTTAACGCGGTGAAACCTATCTCTACTAAAAATACAAAACAATCAGCCGGGCGTGGTGGCGGGCGCCTGTAGTCCCAGCTACTCGCGAGACTGAGGTAGGAGAATGGCGTGAACCCGGGAGGTGGAGCTTGCAGTGAGCTGAGATCGCGCCACTGCACTCCATCCAGCGTTGGTGACAGAGCGAGACTCCGTCTCAAAAAAAAAAAAAAAAAAAAAAAAAAAAAAAAAAAAAAAAAAGAATTTTCTCTTACATAACCCCAACACATTTATGGAAATCAGGGAATTTGTAACATTGATACAAAATGCTTATCTGAGCTATAGTTTATATTTAAATTTCACCAATTGCTCCAATAATGTCCTTCATAGCTGGTTTTTTTCTGATCCAGCATCCAATTCAGGATCACACATTGCATTTACTGTTCATATCTCTTTAATCTTCTTTCATCTAGATCAGGTTCTCAGCCTTCCCTTATCTTTCATGAACTTGCTTTTTTGTTTGTTTTTAGATTACAGGCCAGTTGTTATGTAGAATGCCCTTCAGTTTGGTTTGTTTGATGCTACCTCATAATTAGATTAAGGTTATAGTTTTGGCAGGTGTACCATAGAAATGATATGGAGTCCTTTTCAAGGCAGTGAGGTCAGTGCATCCCTTTATTGGTATTGTTAACTGTGATTAAATGGTTATGGTTGTGTTCATCAGAGGAACTCACCATGGAGTTACTAATTTTCCCTTTGTAATCAATAAGTTATTTTCATGGGGGTGCTCTGAATCTATGTACATATCCTCTTCTTTATCAAACTTCTATCCACTAGTTTTAGCATCCATTGATAATTCCTGTCTAAATCATGGTTGCACAAAGATGATATTCTGATGTTATCATTTCTGCTATAAGAGAGAGCTATCCCTTCTCTTTTATTTATTTATATTCGTATGAGCTCATAGATTATTTTATTCTATGGCTATTCTATAGTGATATTACCACTGTAATATTGTGCTGTAATACCACTGTGATGATAATAAATAATTACCATTATTTATGCTGATGTTCGAATACTCCCAGATTTGGCCAATGGGGGTCCCTTCTGATTCCTGTGTTCTTTTTCTATATCTCCATTTTTTAAAAAGCACTTCCTTGCTTTCTGGCACAACACGATATTCTAAGCTTATCTTGTACTTTCCCCCTCTCAGTCCTAGAATTAGTCATTTCTCCAAGGAGCCCTAGTTTTTTTTTTTTTTTTTTTTTTTTAGTACGAAATGGTATTTAGAAACCAAGATCCAAGTGCCAGGTATACTCAATGCTACTGTAGTGTCTACTTCTAGGCCCTTTAGCCCACAGAGCTAAGAAATATACATATTTTATCTTAATTTCTACATCTGTACACACAGACACACACACACACACACAAAATCATGGATTCATATAGATACCTCCAGTTCCAACTCAACACCACAAAATTCATTTTAGTCCTCCCTTTCTCCATATTTATAACTCTCCTCTCCAACAGCAAGAACTAGCTTCCAATATCCTCAGTACATTTACTCATTTGTGCAACTCTACAGCACACAAAAGGTATTTCAGAATTGCTCACCCATATCACTACAGAAAAAACTCCTTCTAACTAGAATTAAATATTTGTTGGGCTTGTTTATTTGGTTTTTATCCTCCCTTCAGCATCGCAATATTATTTGTTTAAAATAGAGTTATTTAAAATGAGTTAAGTTCATTCCTTTTTTTTCACGTCAGGTAACATGCTGATGTCTTAAGGTTTGAAGGAGGCACATCTCACATGTGTGTGAAAACCCAAATCATCATGTTCACGGGCTACAAAAGGATGCATTTGTTTCTATTTGTATTCCATTCTAAGTTTCTTCCCCCTTCTCATCCTTGTTGACTTTTTTTTTAGTGGAGCTTGTGGATTTTGTGGATGGGCTTTACCGGGTCTATAAACCCCTCGGAGTTTTATGCAAAATATTGAATATGTCTGCCTTTGGAGCAAGGGTAGAGAATCCATAAGATTCTTAAAATGATCTTTAACCTCAAAATTTAGGAGCACAATAGAGAAGAGCAGGAATCCAGGGACCCTCTAAGAGGCTTCCCACTAGTGGGGTAGGAAGTTCTGCCAGACTGTGAGACTCTCAGGACAGACAGGATCTTCTTTATCTTATATGTCCACTGCTGAGCATGCACATAAATGCAGAGGGAACAGAAACCAAAGGAAAATGGAAGAGAAATGTGGGAGCAAATCTGTACCTTGAAGCAAACTCAGGATTGCTCTTTCTTTCTAAGCATTTCCCCACCAGTGACATCAGCTCAGACGTCTTAGATTCTGGTCCTCCCAGGGCATGCCTAGAACCACACCATGGTGGGGGTGGGGACACAGCCTGGGCATCTGTCTATAGGCATACATAGAAAAATAAACTAGGCCAGGCGCGGTGGCTCACGCCTGTAATCCCAGCATTTTGGGAGGCCGAGGCAGGTGGATCACAAGGTCAGGAGTTCAAGACAAGCTTGGCCAAGATGGTGAAATCCTGTCTCTACTAAAAATGCAAAAAAAGTAGCTGGGCATAGTGGCGGGTGCCTGTAATCCCAGCTACTGAGGATGCTGAGGCAGAGAACTGCTTGAACCTCGGAGGCGGAGGTTGCAGTGAGCCAAGATCACACTGCCACACTCCAGCTAGGGCACAGAGCAAGACTCCATCTCAAAAAAAAAAAAGAAAAGAAAAATAAACTAGGCTGGGCACGTGGTGGCTCACACCTGTAATCCCAGCACTTTGGGAGGCCGAGGCGGGCGGATCACCTGAGGTGGGGAGTTCGAGACCAGCCTGACCAATGTGGTGAAACCCTGTCCCTACTAAAAATACAAAAATTATCCAGGCGTGGTGGCACACACCTGTAATCCCAGCTACTCGGGAGGCTGAGGCAGGAGAATCGCTTGAACCCAGGAGGCAGAGGTTGCAGTGAGCCGAGATTGCGCCACTGCACTCCAGGCTGGGTGACAGAGCAAGACTCTGTCTCAAAAAAAAAAAAAAAGAGGAAGAAAGAAAGACAGAAAAAGAAAAAGAAACTAGAAGAAAAACCCCAGTTCATTGCAAAGATAACTGACCCAATGCTCTGATTTACTCCCTGCACAGGTTTCTTTTGGCTGCAAGGCCCCTGCCAAATTGGAGAACAAGAGCAATTATACCTGAATAGAAAAGCCGTGAGTCATGAAGAATTAGTCCCCTGCAGGCACTAACTGAAAGCTTTCCCTGGGTATGGTGGGAGGTAGGGACCCCCACTGACATCTAAAGCAAGATTTTTCATTGAAGGGTGGCACTGCTCCTTGGGGAGCTTCTGCTGCTAGAGAGGGGCCTAGGAAGGCAAACAATAAGGTGAGGGACACTTGGTCAAGGAATATTCTCCCTGGATTGCCTCCTTTAAACAGTATATTCCACTAGGCACAGGTGAAGACAGAAGAAGATGCAGTCCCTGCCACAGGGCTGAAAGAACGTTTAGAAAATCAAGCGTCAGCAAAAGCCAAATTGTACAACACAAACCGAGCCCACACTAGCTGAGTGATCTGTGGGGTGGGGTAAATCAGAGGAAGCTCCCAGAGGAAGGGGTATGAATTTTGAAGAAGAGTTGAGCCTGAAAAAAGAAGAGAGGTGAGACAAGGGCACTCCATCTGGCAGTCATGGCTCAAGGAAGAAGCGGAGGTATGGAGGAGAGGCGGCTTGATCCTGAGAGCAGAAAAGGGAGGTCTTGCTTCAAAGACCAAATTGGAGGGGACTGGAGTCCTGTGCCTGTAAGAGGCATTGTTCTTCAGGAGGAAGAGATCGTGTGTGGGGCTGACTTGAGGAGTAAGGAGGATGGCAAGAAGTTACTGAGGTCCCCTGGGACCAGGGATGGAAAAATTTACCTGGCTGGACAGGTGACTGTGGGATCGTGTATTAATCCTATCTGCTAGCAGATGAATAAAAGATGAAAATAAGAATTGACACTTTATAATACTCTGTGCACTTATATTGCATTTTCACGTGTAGCATTTTTACAAGCAACAATTGAATTATAATTCTTGCACATCTATTATGTGCTGATCATTGCAGGTAGCTGCTCAGGTGAGCCTCACAACCACTCTCTGCGGGAAACATAAAGGAAGTCATGTACTATCACTTGATATCATGTGCTCTAAATTTGCTCAAATGTTGAGTCTCATGAGAACCCTATGAGTCAGATGTGGCAGGAATTATTATTCCTGTTTTATAGATGAGAAAACTGATGTTGAGAAAGGTTAAGGCACTTGCTCCCAGTCATATAGCCAAGGACTGTCAGCCGGCCCTTTTTGACTCATACTAAGATCTTAATAGCTTACTTCCACTTTGACTTCATGTGCACAGTGTTAACAGTGACCTCCATGTTTTTGTAATGCCATTTTGGCCTAGGTCTGCTGCCCACTTGAGCTAAACACTCTCAATTCCTGGCATTGATTTACCAAAGTTTAGTAATTCAGCTTGTTGAGGGTCTCAAGGTCACCATTATTTCTTCATGCCAGGGCTGGGTCTCAGGAAAGCAAACAAAATGCTGACGGTCACTTGGAATCTGAGCAAGCAAGGAGGCTATCCCCGGGGAGACAGCTTCCTCAGCCCTGTCTGCCACATACTCCTGCCAGCCGCTGGGAATCCACTTCCACTGCCCAGCCGCCTCCAGCCATCAGCCTACTGTCAGAATCCAAGCACCAAGCGCTTCTTTCCCTTTTCCGCAAATCCTCCCTTATCCAGGATGATGAGCTGCTTCTTTCCATTTTTCCAACCCACACAATTACATTGCCAAGATGGTCCTTGCAGGTCTCATCTCCAGGACGTGAGAACTTAAGGCTAAATCCTGAGATTCCTGCTTTATCTTCTGCCTAGCTCACCTTATTCTAAGACTGCTTTCCACAAATCTCAGAGGTGGCTACAACACAGTGCCAGGGGCAGGGTGGGGTGAGTGAAAGGCCCATACATGGCTCCAGAGGAGGCTAGTGGGAGCAGGAAGACATCCAAAGATATGTGGGGGAGTGAATGCTACTTCTTAGCTTCCAGTGAAGATCAGACACTGTAACTGTTCATATCATGTTAATGGTTTGACAAGGTTTCTACCTAAGAACAGGACATCAAAACAGGCTCTGGAGCAAGGGATCAGATTAGGAACTTGAGTCAATGTCGTGTCTCACAGGTGTTCTCAGACAGATGACTATATCCTTCCCTGGGTACTTGCAGGGTAAGCACATCCCCTCGAAATAGCAGCAGCTCTAAACATGAAATTCTTCCTGGAGGATTTTCTTACTCTTGAGTTCTATTCTACCAAATTTTTTGAGCACTTACTGTCAGGCATTCAGAATGTGAGCAATGACAATAATTTACCTACACTTTTGCACTTACAGTATGCTGGGCCCAGTTGATTCTCAAAACAGTTCTGGGAATTAGCTATAAAAATGCCCCCATCTTACAGATGAGGAAGCTCAGGCTCAGAAAGGCAAAAAAAAAACCATGCCTGAACTCACACAGCAAGAACATGACAGAACAAGCGTTCCAACGCAGGATTCCAAAGGTAGTGTGGCTCGCCAGTGCCCCTCAGGGTCCCTAAGAAGTGAGAAGCAGTCCTGCCTGCAGGAGCCCAGTCCCAGGGGTGAGACTGATTTGTAAAGAGATCATGAGACGTAAGTGCTGTAATAGAGGCATGAGGAAAGTTGTTTCCATTCTCTTTCTGCCTGTTCCTGGAGTGGTGCTCACGGGAGGGGACCCAGGACCTTTGGAAATGTAAAGTGTAATACTTAGGTTTTTGTAATTGGTCACTTCTTTGCTAGCTGTCAGAGGTTCAGGAGGCCAGTGAGGAGTGGCCGGCTTGGAGGGTCCTTGTGTTTACATGACAGCCCAGGGCTGTCATATCCATTGTCTCGTGTGATCCTACCCTGCTGCACTTGCTGTTCCCTCTGCAAGGAACGCTCTTCCCCAGATACCACCTGGCTCACTCTCTCTTTATCTTTTATTTATTTTACTTTTAGATAGATGTATTTTTTGAGACAGGGTCTCGCTCCGTTGCCCAGGCTGGAGTGCAGTGACACAATCTTGGCTCACTGCAACCTCCATCTCCTGGGTTCAAGCAGTTCTCATGCCTCAGCCTCCTGACTAGCTGGGACTACAGGTGCACACTACCATGTCCGGCTAATTTTTACATTTTTTGTAGAGACAGGGTTTCGCCATGTTGGGCAGGCTGGTCTCAAACTCCTGACCTCGAGTGATCCACCTGCCTCCCAAAGTGCTGAGATTACAGGCATGAGCCACTGCAACTGGCCTGTTTATACATTTTTTGTTTGTTTGTTTGTTTTGTTTTGTTTTGTTTTGAGACAGAGTCTCGCTCTGTCGCCCAGGCTGGAGTGCAGTGGTCTGATCTGGGCTCACTGCAGCCTCCGCCTGCTGGGTTCAAGCAATTCTCCTGCCTCAGCCTCCTGAGTAGCTGGGATTATAGGTGTGCACCACCACACCTGGCTAATTTTTGTATTTTTAGTAGAGACAGGTTTTCACCATGTTGGTCAGGATGGTCTCAAACTCCTGACCTCATGATCCACCTGCCTTGGCCTCCCAAAGTGCTGGGATTATAGGCATGAGCCACCGTGCCCGGCCTATACATATGTTTTTGAGAAAGGGTGTTGCTTTGTCACCTAGGCTGCAGCACAATGACGCAATCACAGCTCACTGCAGCTTCGACTGCCCTGGCTCAAGTGATCCTCCTACCTCAGCCTCCCAAGTAGCTGTGACTACAGGTGCAAACATCATGCCCAGCTAATTTTTTAAAAATGGTTTTGTAGAAATGAGGTCTCCCTTATGTTGCCCAGGCTGGTCTCAAGCTCCTGGACTTAAGTGATCCTCCTGCCTTGGTCTCCCAAAGTGCTGGGATTACAGGCGTGAGCTACTGAGCTTGGCCTGGCTCACTCGCTCACTTCTTCCTGGTCTTGGTTTCAGTCTCACCTCCCCAAAGAGATCTTCCCCAAATTCCTTATCTAAAATAGCCTCCCCTACCACTCTATCCCTTTCATTCCGCTTTATTTCTCTTATTGCACTTACCGCTGTCTGAAGTTTTTTATATGTTTGTTTATCATCCGTCTCCCCCAAATGAGGACTGGGACTTTTTCTGTTCTCCAGCACCAAGAACAAGACCTGGAACACAATAGGTACTTAATAAGTAATTTGTTGAGCAAGTAAACCAATTTAAGCCTTAAAACAATGCTGCAAGGTAGGTGTCATTAAAATTGTGAAGCTCATGGCCATCTGGTAAGGAAGGAAGCAGGCCTAGAGGAGTCATGTGGCAGGTCCAGGTCCCACAGTGCACACCCATCAGCCCGGGTACATGCCCGGGTCCCCCTCTTTCCCACCAGTCTCTTTGCCCAACACTATTCCTCTCCTCCCATGACTCAAATACTCCATAGTTCTGTGGTCCAGAGACTGTTAGTTCATTGTAGAAAGGAAAGAAACCCAACAATACCCGGGAGAGCCATTTATAATCCCTGGGCAGGGCAGGGTCGTGTCCTCTGAGGAGCATGACACAGCATCAGTGTCACCAGCTCTTCCAGGACCTCCCTGCCAGTTGCTGCCTGGTGTCCAGTTGCAGTGCAGTGGGCTGAGCTCAGATCACCCTCCAGGTGGAAAGAGCAGCTCAACCTCATGCTTTGCAATGAATACCTGCTTCCCCCTACCCCTTCAGGCCTTTCATGAGGATTCCTGGAACAGCATGCCAGAACGCCTGTCTCATAGGCTAATGCAGCGTGAAAGAAATCATCTTACCCTGTGGGGGCAGCAGGCTGCTCCCAGCTCTGCAAAGACTGAGTACTGGGTAAAGACCCCCTTCTGGGTTCCTTCCCACATAAGCGTTCGGGGTTGTGCTTGGCAGAGGCCACACAGAGGAAATAGCAAGGAAGGGGACATGAGTACAGGACTGTAGAGGTGTGTGTGTGTTGAGGGAAGGCTCAGAGCTCACTCATTCACTCAAACAAGCTAACAAACATGGGGTCTCAGAATGGAAAGAAATATCAAAGCAGTTGGGAGATGTGGGCTTGTGTCAAAGTCCACCTCTTATAAAAGGTGTGGTGTGACTTAGGGAAGTTACTTCCTTTGTTAAATGGGGATAATAAAATAACACCTACTCAGCTGGTTAAAGAATCAAATCCGGGCTGGGTGTGGTGGCTCACACCTGTGATCCTCCTGGGAGGCCAAGGTGGGTGAATCACTTGAGGCCAGGGATTTGAGACCAGCCTGGCCAACATGCTGAAACCCTGTTTCTACCAAAAATACAAAAATTAGCCAGGCATAGTGGTGCATGGCTGCAGTCCCAGCTACTCGGGAGGCTGAGGCAGGAGAATCGCTTGAACCTGGGAAGCGGAGATTGCAGTGAGCTGCAATTTTGCCACTGCACTCCAGACTCCAGCCTGGGTGACAGAGCAAGGCTCTGTCTCAAAAAAAAAAAAAAAGGAATAATGACACATAGAAATTATAATGAATATAATCAACATGTAAAAAGCTAAAGAAGAAAATAAAAATCTATAATTCTACTATGTATAATCACTGTTATTATTTTGTATATCTTCTTTCTTTTCTTTTTTTTTTGAGATGGAGTCGCACTTTTTCGCTGGAGTGCAGTGGCACAATCTTGGTTCACTGCAACCTTCACTTCCCAGGTTCAAGTGATTCTCCTGCCTCAGCCTCCCGAGTAGCTGGGATTATAGGCATGCACCACTGCGCCCAGCTAATATTTTTATTTTTTTTGAGATGGGGTTTAACTATGTTGGTCAGGCTGGTCTCGAACTCCTGACCTCATGATCTGCCCGACTCAGCCTCCCAAAGTGCTGGGATTACAGGCGTGAGCCACCGTACCTGGCCCCTGTATATCCTCTTTCATAATTTATCCAAAGCACATGTATGCAAATATATATTATATATGCATGTGCCCCCTCACCATAAGGCTGGATTGCATGGACTGTACCTCGAGGGCTTCTAATAATTTTTATCATTAATATCATTAGAGTAGTAACCTCAGTCTTCACTGGAACTTTATCATTGCTCTGGAAAAGTAAGAAGTTTTGGAAACTTATTGTTAATAACTCCTCTGTCCCTTAGTTTAAGAAATATGTAGTTATCCGCCACATGGCACACTGGGAAAAAGGAGATCGGCGCTCTTTTCCTGTGTTTGCCAATAAAGAGCAGCGAATACTCTGGCAAGAAGCCTCCACATCTCAGGTTCCGCATCTGTGAAACGAGGTAATAGCCTACACCTTGAGGCTCAGATGAGCTCATGCATGGGACAGCGTCTAGAAAAAGCACCAATCACCCACAGATGATAGGAAATACCGTCGTATCCACCTCCATATAGGTAGGAACAGCCAGGGATTAATCCCATCCCATTTAGCAGGTTCTAACAACCTAAGGCAAAGGCTACCCTGAGAGAGTCCGCTAGTTTCTAAGATGCTAACGTACAATTCCCCTTGCCTTCAGCACTTAGTCATGAGTCATTCCCATCTAAACCAGAGCTAAAATGGCCCCCAAAGTGGTTTACTGTTATTTCAAGAGTTAGGGAAAATGGTATAACTCCCAGATCAAAAGTCTCATCCCTGAGGAGTCAGAGCCACAGCCTCTCTGGGCCATCCGCTCCTGTGTTCTCAGCGTGAGCTCTGGCTTCTTCTGCAGCTGGGTCAAGAAGAAGCTTGTTGTCTGGGCACAGTAGCTCATGTCTGTAATCCCAGTACTTTAGGAGGCCGGCACAAGTGCATCACTTGAGCTGAGGAGTTCCAGACTAGCCTGGGCAACATAAAATACCAAAAATACATAAAAATAGCCAGGCATGGTAGCACATGCCTGTCATCCCAGCTACTCAGGAGGCTGAGGTGGGAGGATCACTTGGGCCCCAGAGTTCGAGACTGCAGTGAGCTGTGATCATGCATGCCACTGCACTCTAGCCTGAGCAACAGAGCAAGACCCTGTTATCAAAAAAAAAAAAAAAAAGAAAAGAAAAAAGAAAAAGAAAAAAAGAGGCTTATTAAACATGAAGATTCCCAGGGCCCCAGCACGGGGTCAAAGTCCAAAAGGGGTGGGGCTCAGGAATGTGCACAATTAGTAGCCGCATCCAAGGGATTCTGATTCACTCAGAAAGCCTGAGAACTTCAGATCCCGTCCAACCTCTCATTTACAACAGGGAAAGTGAGGCTCAAGGTTACAAAGCCATGAGCGGCCAAGTCAGAGACACAGAACCAGAACTCAGTTTCTTTCTCAAACTCTCTCCTTTCTTTCTGTATCCTTTTATCTCCTCACCTGCCTTTTCTCCTTCCTCCATCCCTTCCTTCCTTTCTTTCTCTTTATCTTCAGAACATAGACTTTTTTTCTTACCACAATACAGTCAGCACAGAGGTTCCAGTTTGTTGGACAGTTCTGATCCACATGGTTATAATTCAGATTTCTTATTTGTATTAAAATATATTCTAGTTTTTTTCTTTTAAAGCCATAACTATTAAAAATCAGCAAGGCTGGGTGCGGTGGCTCACGCCTGTAATCCCAGCACTTTGGGAGGCAGAGACAGGTGGATCACCTGAGGTCAGGAGTTCACGACCAGCCTGGCCAACATGGTGAAACCCCATCTCTACTAAAAATACACAAAATTAGCTGCGCGTGGTGGCGGGCGCCTGTAATCCCACCTACTCGGGAGACTGAGGCAGGAGAATCGCTTGAACCCTGGAGGCGGAGCTTGCAGTGAGCCGAGATCGCGCCACTGCACTCCAGCCTGGACAACAAGAGCAAAACTCCGTCTCAAAAAAAAAAAAAAAAAAAAAGAGTCAGCAATGAGGAAAGATGATTTGAAATATAATAATGAGAAGTCATAATTTTTTCATATACCGGCTGAAGCTAAGACATGTCAAGAGAGAAACAGGTCAGAATGTGAGGGTTCATCGAAAGGAATTTTATTTATTTTATTATTATATATATTTATATATTAATAATATATTAATATATATATTATTTTTGGGAAAGGGTCTTTGTCACCAAGGCTTGAATGTAGTGGCGCGATCTCAGCTCACTGCAACCTCTGCCTCCTGGATTCAAGCGATTTTTTTGCCTCAGCCTCCAGAGTAGCTGGGACTACAGGCATGTACTACCACACCTGGCTATTTTCTTGTATTTTTTGTAGAGATGGGGTTTTACCATGTTGGCCAGGCTGGTCTTGAACTCCTGACCTTAAGTGATCTGCCCGCCTCAGCCTCCCAAAGTGCTGGGATTACAGGCATGAGCCACCCTATCTGGCTGGAAAGGAATTTTATTCATTTATTCATGCATACAGGCATTCATTTATCCATCAAACTATCACCAAACATCTAGCAGCTGTGGTGCTGTGAATACAACAGCACCTACGCCAGGGCCCTACCTTTGACTAAAGTCACAGCATCACTGTGGCTGAAAAGAATGAAACCATGAGTTAGTAAGGAAGAGCTGGGGCCACAGGGGCTGGCAGCAGCCCCAAGGGAAAGAGAACATGGCCCAGCTCCACCATGTTAGCCCATCTGATGGTCACCCTCAGTCTCATCTTCCCTGACATTTGGGTCTGAGGTCCAGATGTCACATCATGTTTCTGTTTGCAGACTGGGCATGTCCTTGCTTCAAAAGTAAAATCCAGGGTGGAGAAAGACAAGACTTTTCTTCCCTCCCAGAGCCTCATTCCCCAGCATGCTGGGAATACCAGGGAGTTGATACAAGGTATCCCTCAACAGCCTGCAGGCTGAGTAGGCCATGCAGAGCCAATAAATGTCATCTCTCTGGTCTTTAATAAGGTTTTCAATGGGTTCCCACTTAAGTAGTCTTTGAGAAACTTAAAAAATCTGACTGAGCTGGGTGTGGTGGCTCATGCCTGTAATCCCAGCACTTTGGGAGCTGGAGGCGGGCAGATCACAAGGTCAGGAGTTTGAGACCAGCCTGGCCAACATGGTGAAACCCCATCTCTACTGAAAATACAAAAAATTAGCCAGGTGTGGTGGCGGGCGCCTGTAATCCCAGCTACTCAGGAGGCTGAGGCAGGAGAATCACTTGAACCCAGGAGGCGGAGGTTTCAGTGAGCTGAGACCACACCACTGCACTCCAGCCTGGGCAACGGAGCAAGACTCCATTAAAAAAAAAAAGAAAAGAAAA
This sequence comes from Homo sapiens, assembly GCF_000001405.40. Taxonomy (NCBI): domain Eukaryota; kingdom Metazoa; phylum Chordata; class Mammalia; order Primates; family Hominidae; genus Homo; species Homo sapiens. The sequence continues at coordinate 99,591,433 of NC_000010.11, read as the reverse complement.
GAAGAGAACAATCCGGCTGAGTGTGAAAGTTTTATTAAGCAGGAAGTTGTGAACATTGGTGGTGCCATTTAGCACCCCAAAATCATTGTTGGCATTAATTTGCTTTGCTCTAGGTGGTCTTCTAGCTATCCTCATCTCTTTTCTCATCTCAATGACCTTTTAGAATCATATACTGTCCTTCAAAGGGACTTATACAGCTTTGAGCAGGGTTGTAAACTGGTACTTGCATAAAAACTGGGGTCAAGGGAGGTAAAACAAAATGAGTTAAGAAAACAAAGGCCACTTTATGTTCAAACTTAAATGTCTAAAACATAAAACTATTCTTAAATACACGCTAGTTGAGTATGTGGAGAATAAAACTTCCTTTTGAAAACAAACTTTGTCGTCTACGCTCAGTTCATTTGTACACCACAGTCAAGGTGTGGTCTTGGCAAAGGGACCTGCACTGCTAGGCCAGATTAAGGAGCAGGAATTGCCCGGTGGGTTCACAGTGGGGAAAAGTCTTGGTGGCTGCAGCAACGGCATGAAGTGGCTGAGGCCAAGAACACTGCTCAGGGTTCTGCCTCTGTCCTCGGACAGTCAGCTCCAGAAGCTCACAACTATCCACCGCAAGAGGCAGAAAACAGAATTGAGAAAATAATAGCTCTCCGTATTTACAGCCCCTGTTTGCTGTGTGTCTTTTAAGTGCAGAACACTGTGTTAAGAGATTTTCATCATCCTCTCACTTGATTTCCCCCAAATTATGCGAGGGATGTGTGATCATTCCCTACTTCAAAGATAATCTTGCCATGGTCATCCAGCTAAGGTGGGATTAAACTCAGCCCTCTCCCAACAAGCTCCAAAGCCTAAATCTTTTTCTTTTAAACCTCATCATCGAGAAGATAAATAGTAAGTACCTGTGCTGGTGATGGCATGAGCATGTCTCATGGTTTCCTACATTTATTCTCATTTTTTTTTTTTTTTTTGAGATAGGGTCTTGCTCTCTTGCCCATGCAATGGTGCAATCGTGGCTCACTACAGCCTTGGCCTCTCGGGCTCAGTCAATCCTCCTGCCTCAGCTTCCTGAGTAGCTGGGACTATAGGCATGTGCCACCACAACTGGCTATTCTTTTTTATTTTTCACAGGGATAAGGTTTTGTCATGTTGCCCAGGCTGGTCTTAAACTCCTTGGCTCCAGCGATCCTCTCACCTTGGCTTCCCAAACTGCTGGGATTACAAGTGTGAGCCACTATGCCTGGTCTTATTAGTATATTTTGTCATTGAAAAATTATTTACTTTTTAAAATATACAAGTAGTGCATGTTTAATACATTCTTATAAATGTAAAATAATTCAGAGTGAATAGAATGAAAAGTAAGAATTCTCCTTGACATTCCCTATAATTGCAAGTATACATGTAATGTAAAGTATATTGGAGAAAAAAAAATTTTTTTTTTTTGAGACAGAGTCTCACTCTGTTGTCCAGGCAGCAGAGCAGTGGTGTGATCTCGACTCACTCCAACCTCCATCTCCCGGGTTCAAGCGATCCTCCTGCCTCAGCCTCCTGAGTAGCTGGGACTACAGGTGTATGCCACCATGCCTAATTTTTTTGTATTTTGGATAGAAATGGGGTTTCATCATATTGCCCAGGCTGGTCTTGAACTCCTGACCTCAAGCGATCTGTGGCCTGGAGGAAAAAAAATTTTTTTTTTGGGGATGGAGTCTCAATCTTTCGCCCAGGCTGGAGTGAAGTGGTGCGATCACAGCTCACTGTAGCCTCGAACTCTCAACCTCAAGTGATCCTCACATCTCAGCCTCCCAAGTAGCTGGGACTACAGGTGTGTGCCACCAGGCCCAGCTAATTTTTGTATTTTTTCTAGAGTCAGGGTTTCTCTATGTTGCCCAGGCTACTCTCGAACTCCTGAGCTCAAGCAATCCTACCCACCTCAGCCTCCCAAAGTGCTGGGATTATAGGCATGAGCCACTGCACCTGGCCTATCAAAATAATTTTTAAAAGGAGAAAAGTCCCTACAGTCTAATGAAACAATGGGGAGTAATTTAGAATATTACTTTTTGGTCTTGTTCCTGCACGGGTGTCTGTTGTGTGATAATACACCAGATGCATTTTGCAACCTGCTTTTCTCCAATTATGTTGTGAGCCCTTTTCACGTCATCTGTCTGGTCTTCTTACCCCTCTGAGTTAATGGCTGGGTAATGGAGTTAATCGAGATCCAGAGTTTGCTTAATCTTTCCCCTTTTGCTGAACTTTCTTTTTTTTTTAACTTTTCTTTTTGAGACTGAGTCTTGCTCTGTTGCCGAGGCTGGAGTGCAGTGGTGCGAACTTGACTCACTGCAACCTCTGTCTGCCGGGTTCAAGTAATTCTCCCGCCTCGGCCCCCCAAGTAGCTGGGACTACAGGCATGCACCACCATGCCTGGCTAATGCTTGCATTTTTAGCAGAGACCGGGTTTCACCATCTTGGCCAGGCTGGTCTCGAACTACTGACTTCAGGTGATCTGCCCACCTTGGCCTCCCAAAGTCCTGGGATTACAGGTGTGAGCCACCACGCCCCCCTTTTGCTGACATTGAGATTGTTTCTGGTTATTTGCTATTATCAAGTCTGTTGTGATTAAGTTCTCCATGCATTTTATTTCCTTTCCCTGGTTTGGATTATTTCCCTAGCATTCCCACAAGTGGAATTACTGGGTCAAAGGGTGTGAACATTCTTAAGGCTCTTGATCCACAGTTGTCAGACTGTTTTACAAAAAGATTGAACCAATTTTCATTATTTGGAAGCTTGCTACTTTCATGTGAAAAATTCTGGGGAAAGATTTTGTTTAAGGCTTCTTCTGCAGCTGCTGCTTAGCTGAAATCATTGCATTTTACTTTTGCTGTTTCACAAGGCCCCTTTCAAAGTCTGTTCACAATGTCTCACCATCTGATTACTGGGTGGAAGATTTATATTGGTCTCCCTGTCTCCAGGCTCTTCCTGCCTTCAATCTGTTTTGCACCCGGCAGCCAGATGAATTCCTCTGGAAACATCACTTGCCTCATGTCTCTGCCCTGCTCAGAAACTCATAGTGGCTATTTCTTCCAGAATCAAGTCCAAACTCCTCTACTAGGCCTTAAAGATCCTCCGTAATAGGCTCACCCGCTTTCCAATTCAATCTCACCTCCTGCCGCCCTCAACAGAAACCTTCAGCGACTTCCCTCTTAGTCCCCACATTATGCCCCATCTGTGTTCTCTTTTGCTTATTTTTTTCATCCACCTGGAAAGCTCCCCCTTCCTTTCTAGTTAGTCCAAATATTCTGCTTTCAGGGTGGTTCAGTCCCACCCAGTCAGTGTGAGAATTCTGCAAACAGTAGCCAGGGAAAACAGAAAAAGACTTGGAATCGGAAATGCAGAGAGAGGGGAAAACAAAGGAGAGAAAGCAGAGGGGGTTGCCATGCATGTCACCAGGGCCAGGAGGACGTGGGTGCACCATAGTAAGGGCCCGGATGGACTGGTGACAGAGATCAGAACCAAGGCAAAGTTCTTTGTTATTGATGGCATTTAGTCTGCTTCTAATGGCGAAAAGAGGGGATCTGTGAGACAGTAGGATTGTGGGCCAGGGCTGACAAAATAATGAGGAAAATAATAATTATAGTATATTAGTTGTGATTAGCTTCACTTTGAGAAACTAAGACCTGAAAAAGAATGGCTTAAATATGAGAAAAAAATTATATTTTATGAAAAGAAATCCTCAGGAAATTCAGGGCTGGAATGGCAGCTTCCTGTTCATCAAGGACCAAGCTCTTTAGCTGTCTGCAATGCCATCCGCAGGTTGTGGTCCCCCTCCTCATGCTCCAAAAGAGCAGTTGGGGCACCAGACATCACTTCCAGAGTCCAGACCAATAATAGGCAGAGGGATGATAGAGTGTCTCCTACATTTAGGGAGACTTCCTGGAAGTCCTGTGCAACATTTTTGCTCAGGACTCAGTGGCTTCATCAGGCAGCTGCACCTAGATGCAAGGAAGTTTCTACATCCAAAATAAGAATCAGTGTTCTATTACTTAAAGAAAAAAGAGAATAGATTTGGGGGTATGTGTCTACCAGCCTGCTATCATTGATTGAGGTTCTGCGGTAATTCATTTATACCTATTATCTCTTTTAATTTTTATACCAATTCTACAAGCTGGTACACATAGGAAAGGAGAGAGCTAGACTCTAAGTCCAGAGCCTGGACTCTTTTTTCTTTTTACACTTCATGAAAAATTATTTTTCATGATACAAAACACAAAATCGATAAATGTCTTTTTGTTGACAACACACACACACACACACACAAAGTTCACCTTTCTGAGACTGTGTTACACTTAGATATCATGCCATGTGGAACTCATTCAGGTCCCTCTTTTAATATATGTTCAGTTATATTTTTTGCTATACGGTAGGTTTTATCTGTGAGGAATATATTCCACTTTCTCTGTAGGTTGTAAACAGAAGTAGTTCTCAATAAATAATATTGAAGTGAGGGTCTAAAGGGAAAAAATATCAATTTATTTTTAATGAGAATATCTAAGGTCAAACAGTTTTCACAAGTGAGAGGTTAATTAAGAGTTGTGAATATGAAAGAGGGTGAGAAAGATGAAGTTCTTCATTCCTCAATTTGTGCTTTGTATTGTTACTCCAGTTTTTCTATAAAACAAATGAATTTTAAAAGTGCCACATTCAGGCTAGATGTAGTGGCTCATGCCTATAATCCCAGTGCTTTGGGAGGTTGAGGCAGGAGGATTGTTTGAGACCAGCCTGGGCAACACAGCGAGACTCCATTTCTTCCAAAAATTGAAAAAAGAAATTAGCCAGGCATGGTGGTGTGCACCTGCACTTCTAGCTGCTTGGGAGGCTGAGGCAGGAGGATCACTTGAGCCCAGGAGCTTGAGGCTGCAGTGAGCTCTGATTGTGCCGCTGCACTCCAGCTTGGGTGACAGAGTGAGACCTTGTCTCTTAATTTAAAAAAATTTGCCACATAGAGAGGTTGGGTAGGTTTGGTAATGCTAATTGTGACTGGTGTCTAATGCTAGGAAGTATGCACTCTTGGTGGAGCTGGATGCATATCATAACCACAGTCAGAGAGGTAGGGTGAGGGTGAGGCAGGATGATGGGAGCAGAAGGTATATTTGGTTAAAAAAGGAGAGCTGCTTAGAAAGGGGGTTTTGGACTAATGTGGATTGCAGACAGTGAAGGAAGTCTAGGGCAGAGACTAGTTTAGAAAATACAGTGGGCATGGAAAAGGGATGTGGGTCGCCAATTGGAGTGGAAGGATTTGCAGATAAGGCAGTTTCAGCTTTGGACCACTGGGGTGCCCTCAGTACCTTCCAAGACCAAATTTTACCCAAGGACAGCTGCTAAAGAATGATCAGGCCACAGTAACCGCCAACATCTTGCCATGTGCCCTGCCTTCTGTGACTGCGTGAGCCTGAGCCATCAGCATGCTGCAGGGAAGGAGTTTCTGTACTCTGGAATAATGACCAAGGTTGGGTGCTGCAGAGGGAGGGAATCTGGAAAAGACACAGGGAAAGACTAGTTCCTAGAAGGTGAGCACCCAAGGGCAAGCCACGTTAGTTTTGCTCCATGCCGTATTTCCATGCCAAGTACCATGTCTGGTCCATGGTTCCCTTCACCCTCACTCTATGAAGGTATGTTGAAGAATGAATGAAAGACTGTGGCCCCAAGGTCACAAGCAGATAAGTATTCATAAGCACCTTCCTGCTGGCCCTTTAAGATAACCAGTTGAGAATGTCAGGAAACATAGTATGGGCAGCAGCCCTGGACTATTCTCTGCCTATTTTACAAGGGCAACAGGGCCAAAGCCAGGGACTGGTTATGGCAGTGTGGTGTGTCCCTTGTGTAGGAGGTGTAGGATCTGGGGACTTAAATGGCAAAGACAAAGAAGTCATAGGGATTGAATAAGGGGAGGACTTTGTCCTTTCTGTGTCTCTCTTTGCCCTCTTCTCATCATTTGGGAGCCCTTACTATGTAAAGGGGCTTGTCCTAAAGAGCTATACATGCATTGTTGCATTAACCTCCTAATAGGCCTTTATCATTCCCATTTTTCAGGTGAAGAAACTGGAACTGAAAAAGGTTAAGGGGCCAGGCACAGGGGTTCATGCCTGTAATCCCAGCACTTTGGGAAGCTGAGGTGGGTGGATCTCTTGTGGTCAGGAGTTCAAGACTAGCCTGGCCAACATGGCAAAACCCCGTCTCTACTAAAATACACACACACACACACACACACACACACACACACACACACAAATTAGCTAGGCATGGTAGTGGGCGCCTGTAATCCCAGCTACTCGGGAGGCTGAGGCAGGAGAATGGCTTGAAAACCTGGAGGCGGAGGTTGCAGTGAGCTGAGATTGCACCATTGCACTCCAGCCTGGGCGACAGAGTGAGACCAGCCTGGCCAAGACGGTGAAACCCGGTCTCTGCTAAAAATGCAAACATTAGCCAGGGATGTCTCAAAAAAAACCAAAGAGGTTAAGGAACCCGCGCAAGGTGTGACAGCTCTGAAGTGGGAAAGCAGGATGTGAGCCCAGCTCTCCCAACCCTAAGCCCCCTCTTAACTACTCTACTCCCACCTCTATCTGCTCTAAGCTGTTTCTCCTGTTCTCACTCACTCGGTCACAAAACATATTTTGTTTTTCTATCTACCTAATATTTTATTTTGAAATAATTTCAGATGAACAGAAAGTTTGTAAAAATAGTAAGAAAAATCCCCATATACCCCCTCATCCACATTCCCCACATGTTGGCATTTTACTGCTGGGAGTAAATATTGATTACATTTCCTGATTACATTTTTATATTCCCTTGGACTTAAATTTTCATTTGTTTTTCACCCACCACAGCGCTTTGCCGAGGGCAAGGAGAAGTGGCGTGGCCCTGGCTGGTGGGCTGCAAGCTCCACTCACCACGCGGGAACCCCGAGCTCCCGACACAGCTGCGCCAATTGCCAGCATTCCCCCAAAGCACAAGAGGGTCATCCAGTAACTCGCCTCACGGGAAGTCTTCTGAGGAATGTCCCAGACACCAGGCCTTACGAGATTCATTAGTTACAAAAGACGTCCAAACAAGGGAAACATTAGCCACGGTAGGCCCTCAGAATAACTCCACCTCTTCCTCTCTTGTGCTGTCAACTCAGGGCAGAAAGACTCACTGTGACCCTACTGTGTGTCAGGTGCTGGAGGAAATGGTAATATTATCAATGATGCTGCCTCTATCAGAAAAACGAGGTGGCTGACTAGAAAAGATAAGAGTGTTGGTAGGAATTTCCCCACCAATAGTCAATCAGGGACCCTCATGTGGGGAAAGCACCTCACAAGTATTTTGGAAACAAAAATTGGGAGAGAGGGAGGGAGGGAGGGAGGGAGGGAGGCAGGAGAAGACGGGACAAGTTCTCGCATGAAAACAAGGCAATCCAGCTCTGTTTCCTGCCTCGTGATGGTGGTCTTTGGAAGGGGTGGGGTAGGGCTCCGGGGGAAGGAGGCCCTGTTAGGTGTGGCCCGGAAAGCAAGGAGCAGAACACTGCAGTGCTAAGGGCGGAACCCAACCGTAACACAGGGAGAGCCCTAGTTCAGCCCCCAAGCAAATCTACAGACTGTGCAGAGAATAAGCAGGGATTTGGCTAATGCTTTGGGGACAATATTTGCATTCACAGCAGAGGAGAGAGCCGATGGAAGTTGAGGAAGAGGTTCTGCACCTCCAGGATCAGTCATTGTGCCTGAAAGTCTTCCCGATCCTCTTTCCTTGCAGTGTTGTCTGTGCCTCCCTCTTGCCCAGTTTCAGCCTATAGACTTTCACTCACCTGAAAAGCCCCAGTGGAGACCTGCGGAGGCTCTCAAGTTGGACAGATCTGGATTCAGGTCCACAACTCTGCTATTAACTAGCCGGGTGACCGCTTAGCCTCTCCCAGCTTCAGTTCCTCATCACTTTCATGAGTTTGAGGCAATGATTAAAGGGGGTTATGCGTGGAAAGTGCCGTGTGTGGCTCCAGGCAGGTGGTCCTCCTCTTGACTTCTCAGGCCGTGTTTCCCTCCACCTGCCTGCCCTGGAGCGCTGATACACTGGCAACCAGTGTGCTGCTCTCTCCTCCCCCATCTTTTCCACGTGATGGTGAAGACAGCTCTCAACCAAGGAGCCCGAAGATCTGGGCTTGACTCCTTGTTCTGCCACTAAAGAACATTGTGACCTCGGACAAGTCATTTGCCCTCTCTGAGCTCCAGGTCTCCCACTTGCAAAATGGAAATTATACCTACCTTAAATGAGAAACCATAGGAAAGTGCTTTGTGTTAAAGCACTTTATGAGAGTCAGCTGATGTTTTGCAACCCTTCCCACCTCCTCTACCCATTCCTCTCCTTCACCCTCCTCCCACCAAACCCAACTAAGGTGGAGAGAGCACTGCTCAGGGAGTTAGGAGCTCTGAGCTCGGGTCCCAGCCCCATCATCAATTCTGGGTCCTTAGGCAAATCGTAATCTGCCCAGAGCCTCAGTTTCCTCCTGAATAAATTAAAGTGTTTGAACAGAATATCTTTCGTGGCCTCTTCTACTGTGAGGTTCCACACAGGCATTGTTGAAGGGGTCAGGACTTTATTTTCCAACAGGAATACGGTTGAGCTTTGAAGACGTCACTGCCTCTGTTCTCAGATACGCTCTTGCTGCGTTCTATTAATATGGCTGGGATCATGCACTTCTCAGTCATGTGTGAGCCTGAGGGTGTCTCCAATACTCGGTTTAGGATAATTAGTCTTTTTGACCCTTAGCAGGGGAAATGTCTCCAGTTGGGGGGAAATGAAGTTGTCAAACATAGTCCTTAAGAAGAGGAAGATTTATAGGAGATCACATACAAAAACTCAGGAATTAAACAAACAAACAGGGAAAGAGCACTTAAAAGCTCAGACCAAACAATATATATCGCACGCTATGTTTAGCAGGTCAACCAGTGGCCCTCGGTCTCCCCAAGCACCACCCAGGCATAACAAGCCTGGACAATTGTTCATCTTCCAAGAAGCCCTTCCCAGAAACCATAGGGTTGCAGGAAGGTAAAGCCCATGATTTCATCAAGGGAAAGAAACAGCAGCAGCCAGTCCATTCCCTTGGAGACTATTTTATTTTTCTAACTTGTTTTTCTGTAGCCCAAGATTTGGGCCCTGCTCTCTCTTTTATGCTCATGGCACCCCTGTTTCCTGACTATCCCAGTGACACTGCTCCTCCTCATATCCCTCCAGCACCACTCCCCCACTTGGTCCTTTTGCAGGGTCCCAATAAAATACAGAACAATCAGTTAAATTTTTCTTTTCGGCCGGGTGCAGTGGCTCACGCCTGTAATCCCAGCACTTTGGGAGGCCGAGGTGGGCGGATCACCTGAGGTTGGGAGTTCGAGACCAGCCTGACCAACATGGAGAAACCCCATCTCTACCAAAAATACAAAATTAGGCGAGCGTGGTGCACATGCCCGTAATCCCAGCTACTAGGGAGGATGAGGCAGGAGAATCACTTGAACCCAGGAAGCGGAGGTTGTGGTGAGCCGAGATCGCGCCATTGCACTCCAGCCTGGGCAACAAGAGTGAAACTCCATCTCAAAAAAAAAAAATTTTTTTTCTTTCTTTCTCTCTCTCTCTCTCCCCCTCCCTCTCTCTCTCTCTGTCTCTCTTTCTTTTTTTTGAGACAGGGTCTCGTTCTGTTACCCAGGCTGGAGCGCAGTGGCATAATCATAGCTCACTGTAGCCTCAGCCTCCTGGGCTCAAGCAATCTTCCCACTTCCTCAAGTGGCTGGGACTACAGGGCTCACTACCAGTCCCAGCTAATTTTTTTGGTATTTTTTGTAGAGACAGGGTTTCGCCATGTTACGTAGGTTGATCAGTTAAATTTGAATGTCAACTAAACCACAAATCTTTTTTAGTATAAATATATCCCATGCAATATGTGGGATATACTTGTACTAAAAAATATTAATGGTTTAGCTGAAATTTAAATATAACTGAGCATTCTTTATTTTTATTTGCTAAATCCAGCAACCTTGTTTCAGGGCCTTTTTTTTTTTTTTGAGACAGAGTCTTGCTTTGTCGCCCAGGTTGGAGTACAGTGGCGCACTCTTGGCTCACTGCAACCTCCGCCTCCCAGGTTTAAGTGATTCTCCTGCCTCAGTCTCCCGAGTAGCTGGGACTACAGGCACACGCCACCACACCCGGCTAATTTTGTATTTTTAGTAGAGATGGGATTTCACCATATTGGCCAGGCTGGTCTCAAACTCCTGACCTCGTGATCTGCCTGCCTCGGCCTCCCAAGTTTCAGGGCATTTTTACTTGCTGCTATCTCTGCCCAGAAAACACCATGCCCACTTCCTCCCTTGGCCAGCTCCTTGTCACTCAGGCTCCACTCAAGCAACTCCTCTTCAGAGAGACAATCAATCACCACCACTTCCCAGCTTAAAGTAACCATCCCTCCCCAGAGTGCCTCTCTAGCACATCCCCTTGTCTTACTTTCTCACTCTGAAATGAGTTTGCTATCTTGCTTACTGTCTGTTTCCTGCAGCTAGAATGACAGACCATGCTGTGCTTTTCCCTGATCACTCTCCATCACCTGTGTATACCTGGCACACACCAGTTATTTAATAAATTGGTTGAATGAATGAATGGAATGTATGTTTTACAGCGGTGCTTCACAAAGTATAATAAAAACCCTAGAGATTTTGTTCAATTTTATTAAAATTCAGATTCTGATTCTGTGGGTTGGGCCTGGGCCCGAGATTTGCATTTCTGACCAGCTCCCGGTGCTGCTGATTCTGCTGGTCTATGGACCACACTTTGAGAGGCAATAGAATTCTCCACGATGAGGCAGAGCTTGCAGTGAGCTGAGATAGCGCCATTGCACTCTGGCCTGGGCAACAAGAGCAAAACTCTGTCTCAAAAAACAAACAAACAAACAAACAAAAAACAGATGCCCAGGACTCACTCTCAACCTCAAATGAAATCAGAATCTCCGGGTTTGGGTCTTAGAGCATTGGTTGTTATTGTTGCTGTTTTAAGCTCTCCTAGGTTATCCTAAAGTACATCCAGAATTGAGGTTCCTGCCTTAGAGTTTTCAGAGCAGCAATACTCTCTTTTGTTTATTCAATCCTTACCACAACCTGGACAGCAGATAAGACAAGTGTGACTAAATAGCATCAATCCCATTTTGCTGAGGGTAAGTGAGGTTCATGAAGTAGTGAAGGAATTTGCCACAGGCTATACAGACAGTAATTGAAGGAGCCAGGATTCCACACAGCCCCTGTGTTTCCCCATCTGTGCCTCAAGTCCTTTGTGAAAAGAGGCAAATCTGTCCTCTACTCAGTCCGGCAAGGCCATCCTCTCTCCACAGCTGCCTCTGGCTTCCATCTGCCTCTGATGCTCCCTTTCCCAGGCCCTTGTCTGGCCTCATCATTCCCTGGGAAGGAGAGATGAGTAGAATTCTCACCCCGTTTTCACCACTGATCAATAAAAGAACTCGCCTCTCTCTAGCAGACAGAAAGGAAATCCAAGTTTGAGTGAAGAGGGTAGCTCACCATGGAACTCAGCACTCCCAGGGTGGGGCCTCCCGGTGGAACCGGACAGCTCTTTCCAGCCACCCTTGCCCTCAGGGCACGGACTGAGGGGTATTAGTGAGAGAAGGCAACAGTGACAAGATGGTGACCCAGGAGAGCCTCCACAAACATTGACAGGCCTTGCGGGGGCTTCCCAGGGCGTGGTCTGGATACCACTAGTGATTTTAGGTGATTTGGGGGAAATTTTTTAAATGTTTAATATATATGTATTTATTTTAATGTGTCTTAAGAAACATGTAGCTCATTAAATTTGTAATTACACGGATATTACTGACATAATGTTCCTGTCAAAATTAACTGACAATAAAAAAAAAGAAAGGAAAGCCATTTAAAGCAAAATATTAAAGAAATAACAGTACAAGCGAGACTTTGATATGGCAAACATGGTGAGGATGGCCTGGGTGTGCCCCTGTGGGCGCGATGGGAATGGATGGACAGTGTGATTTGTACAGAAGGTCGGGGTGAAAGGGAAGGCTTACGTGAGAGTATTTTTGTCCGAAGCAACTCTTTAAATAAAAATTACTGCTGCTGTAAGAAATCCATTATCTTGGAATAATGGCCAGGAATGAGGTAGCACAGCCTCATCCTCCCCAGGCCTACAGTAAGGTCCGGCTGAGGAAAGAGACTAGCAGCTTCTCCAACCCTTTCAAGCCCAACAAGCCAGAGCCTCAGCTCCTGTTACAAACTTTCCCCATATCTCAGGGCAGGTCCTAGAGGAGGTCAAAGAGCCTGGCTCCAGCTGTCCAGGGACAGGACTTCCTCAGTCTCACCAGCCCCTGCTCCTGCCCAGAGCACAGGTGGACTTCGCTCAGAGTGGTAACTGCCTAAAAAGACACACGGGGATCTATGGGGCAAACCCCATGTACACTCACTTTACACCTGTCATTTGAGACTCAGAACTCCCTGGGGAATGGATGATCTGAGAACCTGGGATGGAGGAAGGATGTGTGGACAGTATAATGGGCTGGCAGCCCCTCTCTGAGAATGAAATGGGGTTGCATCCAGTTGTTAGTTATGAGAGTTGCTATCTCTAAAGTGTCCCAAGAGAACACCCCTAATCCATTCAAGGTGATCTGGGGGCACCACGGGGAGGGGAGGAGTTGGTGCTTCACTTCAGGGAGACCTGAATCGATCATGAATGTAACTGCAGAAGCTTAAACTGATTATATTGTATGGGGCTCTAGTGAAAGAAAGTGCTTAGAACTGGGACAGTGCATATGAGGCAGCCGTGAAGGTGTACTCAGGGAGGCGGTTTGGCATTGTGTCTTCAGCGTGACATGGGGGACAAATGCCCATGTTACTGGTGGAGGGTGTCCAGGTTCTTGGGGTCTTGAACAAAGAATTGGACAAAACGCACAAACAAAGCGAGGAAGGAATGAAGGGCTTTATTGAAAATGAAATTACACTGCACAGGGTGGGAGCGGGCCAAGCGTGGGGGCTCAAGGGCCCCGTTACAGAATTTTTGGGAGTTTAAATACCTTCTAGAGGATTGCATCGTTTACTTGGTGTACGCCCTATGTGCATGAAGAGGATGAAGTAAATTTACAAAGTCATGTACTCGGCGTACGCCCTATGGAGAGGATATTTCCTATCATAGCTGAAGTGTGAATTGTTCTTATGTTCCCTGCCTCCAGACCCTATTTTCCTGCCTCACCCAGATCTACAATTTGGAGATGAGCTTTGGAGGCAGTAACAACCACAATCACAATCATAACATCAATAACTAACATTAATTGAATACTGAGTACCAGGCACCGTTTTAAAAGCATTTAATCCTGGCTGGCATGGTGGCTCACACCTGTAATGCCAGCAATTTGGGAGGCCAAGGCGAGAAGATCTCTTGAACCCACGAGTTTGAGAACAGCCTGGGCAACATAGTGAGACCTTGTCTTTACTAAAAATAAAAAATTAGCTAGTTGCAGTGTTGCACGCCTGTGGTCCCAGTTACCTGGGGGACTGAGGCAGGACAATCGCTTAAGCCCAGGAGTTCGAGGCTACAGTGAGCCACGATAGCACCACTGCATTCTAGCCTGGGTGACAGAGCAAGAACCTGTCTCAAAAAAAAAAGCGTTTAATCCTTAAAACGACCCTAGGAGGTAGGCACTAATATTACCCTCATTCTACAGATGAGGAAATGGAGGCAGGGAGAGGTTAAGTGGCTGACCCAAAGCCACGTTTGGACAGGGCAAATGGAGTTATCTGGGATTCACCGCTGCATGAATTGTCATGAAGACCATTCAAATGAAACCCACACTTAAGCTCATGGTCATCAAGCTGTCCCCAAAGGCAATGCTGGTTACCAGTCAGCCAAATGGGGTTCAAATCTTGGCTCTGTCCCAATTAAGGTTCTTAATTGCTTTATGCCCCAGTCCCTCGTCTTTAAAATGGGGATAAGAACACCTGCCCTGCATGAGTATGAAGATGAAATGAGAGGATGTACTCAAAGCACATAGCAGAGTGTGTGGCATGTGGGAAGCCTCAAGGTTACTCATGGCTACTAATCACTTAGTCTCCCCTGCAGGTAAGTCTTGGGAAGCCTGATAACAACAATGGCCCTTGCCCCTGCTTCCTGAGGGCTTCCCAAGGGCTGCGCAGCTTTGAGTTCATCCTTTCATCTGCAAGGCAGGCAGTGTTACCATCCTAATTCAAAACACTTGAATTATGGTTTATGCATTTGTTTCTTGTGAATTTAACCATATTTCCCCAGAGGCAAATCTCTTCCAGGTTTAGAAACCAAACAGCACCTCCAAGCCTGCAAAGCTGAAGCCCAGTTCCCCAAGGGTCCATGGGAGTGCCCAGCTGGCTCCCCCAGACACCAGCCACCTGACACACGAAGCCACCTGTATAGGCTGCCACAGGATATATCTGGGACACCCTGAAGCTGCTAATCCTAACGTCAACACTGTGTTTTTCCTTGAAGGATTTCCTTTCCTTTAACAAAATTGGTATTGAATAATAGTAACTAACCGTTAACACTGATGCCTGTTTCATGTGTGGCCTTCTAGGTATTTTCATATGTATAGATACATACTTTTATAAAAGCAAAATGGGATTCTATTTTATGTACTGTTCTTGCTTGCTTTTTTCTTTTCTCTTCTTTTCTTTTATTTATTTATTTATTTATTTTTTAGAGACAAGATCTGCTCGGTCGCCTAGGCTGGAGTGCAATGGCACAGTCACGGCTCACTGCAGCTTCGGCTCCTCTCTCAAGCAATCCTTCTGGTTCATCTTTTTTTTTTTTTTTTTTTTTTTTTTTTGAGACAGAGTCTTGCTCTGTCGCCCAGGCTGGAGTGCAGTGGCGCGATCTCGGCTCACTGCAAGCTCCGCCTCCCGGGTTCACGTCATTCTCCTGCCTCAGCCTCCAAAGTAGCTGGGTCTACAGGCGCCCGCCACCAAGCCCGACTAATTTTTTTGTATTTTTAGTAGAGACGAGGTTTCACCATGTAAGCCAGGATGGTCTCGATCTCCTGACCTCGTGATCCGCCCGCCTTGTCCTCCCAAAGTGCTGGGATTACAGGCTTGAGCCACTGCGCCCGGCTGGTTCATCTTCCCAAGTAGCTGGGATACAGATGCACACCACCACATGCAGTGAATTTTTTGTTTTTCAAGATGGAGTCTTGCTCTGTCACCAGGCTGGAGTGCAGTGGCGCGATCTCGGCTCACTGCAACCTCTGCCTCCCGGGTTCAAGCGATTCTTCTGCCTCAGCCTCCCGAGTAGCTGGGATTGCAGGCGCCTGCCACCACACCTGGCTAATTTTTGTATTTTTAGTAGAGACGGGGTTTCACCATGTTGGCCAGGCTGGTCACAAACTCCTGACCTCAGGTGATCCGCCTGCCTCGGCCTCCCAAAGTGCTGGGATTACAGGCGTGAGCCACTGCACCCTGCTGTGAATTTTTTTTTTTTTATGTTTTTTAGAGATGGGGTCTCTCTATGTTGCCCAGGCTGGTCTTGAGCTCCTGGGCTCAAGCAATTCTCCCACCTCAGCCTCCCAAAGTGCTGGGATTACAGGCATGATGTTCTTGCTTTCTCACTTAACAAATAATATAACTCTTTCCATGTCAGAATATATGGCTTTATATCATTTTTTAAAAGGCTGCATAGAATGCAGAATGATTTTTTCTTAACTGGTAATGGAGATTGAGTATTTTTCCTTTTTACTCACTTGTACTTTGTGATTCCTCAACAATAGAGATATATTAGGCTAGACGAGGTAGCTCTTGCCTGTAATCCCAGCACTTTAGGAGGCTGAGGTGGGACTATCACTTGAGCCCAGGAGGTTAAGGTTGCCATGAGCCATGATTGTGCCACTGAACTCCAGCCTGGACGACGGAGCAAGACCCTGTCTCAAAAAAAAAAAAAAAAAAAAAAGAAGAAGAAGAAAAAGTAGAAAAAAGATATATTACCTATGTGAAAAATGGATCATAAATGATTTTTTAAACTGGTATTGAAAGGGTAATGTAATAACACTGTAAAAGTAAACACAGCATTTCATTTTTGTTAATAACTTTCCCATTCTTGTTCAGATATAAAAACTAGAACAGATATTTGTACCTGGTTAAAACCATGCTTAAATCCTCCTTTATTGCATTGTGTCTGAAACATTTGTCCGTGTTTCCACAGAGTTCTCTTAAAGGTTTGTCGAAAGGAGTGGAAGGCATGGGGTAGGGGAGGGAGCTAGGCTAGTCCACGGGCCGGTTTCTAGAACAGAGCTCTAGGGACAGACCTCTTAGCAGTCTGGTGGAGCCCCTGGACCCCTTAAATGGATAAATAATGCATTTATCCATTTTAAATGCATAAAATATGAAGAATTACAAAAGAAACTAGTTACCTTGAAATACAGTTATCAAAATACAAATATGTAGTATAGCAAAAAATGTATATACTTCTTTGTGCATTAAGTAACAAGGTTCTAGCAGTGGATCTAATTTCTATTTTAAACTCAAAGTAGTGACTTTTCTTTTTTTTCTTTTTTTGAGGCGGAGTTTCGCTCTTGTTGCCCAGGCTGGAGTGCAATGTGCCATCTCGGCTCACTGCAACTCCCGCCTCCGAGGTTCAAGTGATTCTCCTGCCTCAGCCTCTAGAGTAGCTGGGATTACAGCATGCACCACCATACCCGGCTAATTTTGTATGTTTAGTAGAGATAGGGTTTCACCTTGTTGGTCAGGCTGGTCTCGACCTCCCAACCTCAGGTGATCTGCCTACTTTGGCCTCCCAAATTGCTGGGATTACAGGCGCGAGCCACCACGCCCGGCAGTAGTGACAAGTTATGGTACCTACAACACAATAATGTGATTTGAAAATACCTGTGATTTCTTTTAGTGACAAGTCTCAAGTTCATTCATACAACGATGGTCCATTGCATACATTGGTAACTGAAGCAAATGCTACGTTTCATTTGCAGTTAGTGAAGATGTCATTTTTGTCTCCACCCAAGTTCATAGACCTCCTGAATTCTATGTAGGTCAGTGGGTTCTAAGTCAACAGAGTCCCACTCTAGAGAATTTCTACATGTATTATCCTGGGAAAGGTGAAGGGAGAAAATTATCTCCAAATCTCTTTCCCCCTTTCATTTTTTTAAAAATCCCTTCTACCCAAACCATTAGCTTCTCCTTCAGCTTCCATGATTATGGGATCATTCAGAATTAATTTTGGGGTTTCTCCCAACTCTAGCCATCTTCCCAGCCCCCAACCACTTCTACCACCTGGTCATTCTCTGCACATACATAGAAAGAAGTTCATCTTGCCAACTTCCAACTTAGCATGCTTCATATTTGCACTAGATTTAACATGCACACCCCTCCTTCCTTCCTGATAGTTATGAAGTCGCTGAACAAGTCCAGTCAGTTCTAAACGAAGGAAGCTGGATAATCCGCCTACTTATTGGAGGCTGCCTAATCCAAATAGATGTTTTTCATCAGCGAAGGTATTTTCCAGGACTCTGCAAATCCAGAGGATCAGTCTTCTTCCTTCACACAAGCATTGGCCCTGGATTCATTTCTGAAATCACCGGCACCAATCAGGCTCTGGTTCTTGGCCCAGGCATCAGAAATGTGAAATTGTACTCATTTCCTTCCACCAATAATTATAAGCATATTGCATTTGTGTGGCAACTTATGCTTCTCAGAATTAATGTTCACATACAAAATACAGTTATCCCAGAGTCAGGATGTGGATACAGAGCTCCAATGTGTGTTTCATGATGCCATGACTCATTTTTTACTATTTCCATTACAACACAGGATTCCTTAAATGTAGCAAACTTATGTTCCCTTTAGCTAAACATAAAAATTTCATCCTCTCCTTTAATATTGTTTGAATATTTACAATACTTAAAATATTGTGGCTAAAACCAAATTGGATCAGTGGGGATTTAAAGAAAACTCTCCATTTGATTTTTTTTTTTTTTTAGACCGAGTCTCTCTGTGTTGCCCAGGCTGGAGTTCAGTGGTGCGATCTCGGCTCACTGCAACCTCCGCTTACTGGGTTCAGGCAATTCTCCTCTCTCAGCCTCCCCAGTATCTGGGATTACAGATGCACGCCACCACGCCTGGCTAATTTTTTGTATTTTTAGTAGAGACGGGGTTTCACCATTTGGCCAGGCTGGTCTCGAACTCTTGACCTCAAGTGATCCGCCCGCCTCAGCCTCCCAAAGTGCTGGGATTACAGGCATGAGCCACCCCACCCGGCCAATTGATTTTTAATAATGACATATATTTAACTTCAATCATACAATATCCTGTAGTGATCAAGTTGTGCCAATTTGCTGGGACTGTCCCCATTTTAAAACTTAAAATCCTGCATTCCACAAACTCCTCAGTCCCAGAAAACTGTCAGTCCTAGGCAAACCCTCAGTCCTGGGTAAAGCGGGATGGTTGGACATACTAGATGTCAATGTGAGCTTCCAGTTGGATTCATTGACACAATTTTTAAAAATCCTGCTTAGGATCAAAGACAGAACACAAGGTGGGTTGATTTCTTTCTCTTTTTTTCTTTTTGAGACGGAGTCTTGCTCTGTCGCCCAGGCTGGAGTGCAGTGGCACGATCTCGGCTCACTGCAAGCTCCACCTCCCGGGCTCACGCCATTCTCCTGCCTCAGCCTCCCGAGTAGCTGGGACTACAGGTGCCCACCACAATGCCCAGCTAATTTTTTTTGTATTTTTAGTAGAGACAGGGTTCCACCATGTTAGCCAGGATGGTCTCGATCTCCTGACCTTGTGATCCACCTGCCTCGGCCTCCCAAAGTGCTGGGATTACAGGCGTGAGCCAGCGCGCCCGGCCAACGTGGGTTGATTTCTTTGCCACATCTGTGCTGCCCCACGGAGATTTGGATCCTCCCCTGTCACATTTAGCCAGACACCATAATAAAATCAAATACTTATTATTTTTCTAAATGATTTTAAAAATTAAAAACATAAATTGAATATATTTTTCTTTTTTGAGGTAGCTTGGGGTCCTAACCATTATTTCCAATGGAATTACTATGGAAAAATATGTTTAAGTGCTAAAAAGTTGTAAGCAATAGAAACCAACTCACCCTAACTTAAGCATAAATGGAATTTCTCAGAAAAATATGGAGTAGCTCACAGAATCCAAGGAAAATTTGAAGAAGCAAGCTTTGAAATACATAAGAACCAGGAGAGCTCCTGGAACCTAAGTAGCAGGAATTAACTTTATCTGTAAAAGTCCAGATAGTAAATATTTTAGGTTTTATACAACAGACAATCTCTCTCATAACTACTCAATTTTGTCACTGTAGCACAAAAGCAGCCATAGAGCATACATAAACAAATGATTGTGACTGTGTTCTGATAAAACTTTATTTACAAAAAGAGCCAGAGGGCCAGAGTTTATCCACGGCTATAGTTCAACAACTTCACTTTAGGGTATTTCCTTTGGCATGGATTTGCTCTATTTTCAATCCTCACATTACTTGGCTCAATTCAGACTCAAGGGAGAGAGCATTTGTGTGTGTGTGTGTGTGTGTGTGTGTGTGTGATTTTTAAAAAATATCTTAAATGTTTTTTAAAATTTCTGTGGGTACATAGTAGGTATATATATTTATGGGGTATTTGTTTTTTTGTTTGTTTGTTTGCTTGTTTGTTTGGTTTTGAGGCCGAGTCTCACTCTGTCACCCAGGCTGGAGTGCAATGGTATGATCTCGGCTCACTGCAACCTCTGCCTGCCAGTTTCAAGCGAACTTCCCACCTCAGCCTCCTGAGTAGCTGGGATTACAAGCATGCACCACCAAACCCAGCTAATTTTTGTATTTTTAGTAGAGATGGGGTTTCACCATGTTGGCCAGGCTGGTCTCAAACTCCTGACCTCATGTGATCCACACCCCTTGGCCTCCCAAAGTGCTGGAATTACAGGCGTGAGCCACGGAGCCTGGCCACATGTGATATTTTGGTACAAGCATGCAATGCATAAAAATCACATCATGAAAAATGAGGTATCCATCCCCTCAAGCATTTATCTTTTGTGTTACAAACAATTCAATTATATCCTTTTAGTTATTTTAAAATGTACCAATAAATTATTATTGACTACAGTCACCCTGTTATGCTATCAAATAGGCCTTATTCATTCTTTCTTACTATTTTTTGTACCCATTAACCATCCCCACCTCCCCCCCAGCACCCCATTACCCTTCCCAACCTCTGGTAACCTTCCTTCTACTCTCTATCTCCATGGTCAACTGTTTTGATTTTTAGATCCCACAAATAAGTGAGAATATGTGATGTTTGTTTTTTTTGTGCCTGGCTTTATTTCACTTAATACAATAATTTCTGGTGGGGGCGGTGGCCCACGCCTGTAATCCCAGCACTTTGGGAGGCTGAGATGGGCAGATCACCTGAGGTCAAGAGACCAGCCTGGCCAACATGTTGAAATCCGTCTCTACTAAAAATACAAAAATTAGCCGGACGCGGTGGCGCGAGCCTGTTGTCCCAGCCACTCTGGATGCTGAGGCTGGAAAATCACTTGAACCTGGGAGACAGAGGTTGCAGCGAGCCGAGATCCAGCCACTGCACTCCAGCTCTCTCACTCCAGCGACCGAGCGAGACTTTGTCTCAAAAAACAAAACAAAACAAAAACAAAAACGTAATAATTTCCAGTTCTATCCATGTTGTTGCAAATGACTGAATCTCATTCTTTTTTATGGCTGAGTAGTACTCCATTGCGTATAAATACCACATATTCCTTATCCATTCATCTGCTGATGGACACTTAGGTTGTTTCCAATCTTAGCTGTTGTGAACAGTGCTGCAGCAAACCTGGGAGTGCAGATATACCGATTTCCTTTGTTTTGGGTATATACCCAGCAGTGGATTGCTGGATCACATGGTAGCTGTATTTTTAGTTTTTAAAGGAACCTCCAAACTGTTCTCCATAGTGGTTGTACGAGTTTACATTCCCACCATCAAGGGAGAGAGCGTCTGATTGGCAGAAAGAACTTGGGTCGCTCAATGACTTTTTGGCCAGGGGAGGGTGGGATCCCATGACTGGCCAGATTTTCTCTAATCTAGGATTTGCTTTCCCAAACCAAAATCAAGGACAGTCACCAGAAGAGGGAATGGATGCAGGTGAAGCTGAAACAGAGATGTTTACCACATCATCTTCTGACTTTCTTCCTCATCTTGTTAGTTTCTGTCTACCACTTTATTCTCTAGGGAAGAAGTCAAAGAAACCAGCTGGTACTAGCATCAGAATGCAGTGCTCTTTCAACTGAGACTAAGTGAGCTTTGTATGCCAGGACCCAATTTCTCCTGGTTTGGTGACTATTGACCTGTAAAGAATGTTAGCCAAATGATTAAGACTATCCTAAAATTTAGTCTTTTATTTTACAGAGGAGAAGAAATGGAGGGCTGGAGACAATATGGGGTCCCTGTATTGCCACCTACAAGGTGGCAAGTGGTGGTCCAGAGGTTAGGATTCGGTGCTGTTACTGCCACAGCCCTGTCCCGGTCAGGGAAGCCTTTCTTTGGCTCTGCCCAGCAACCTGCCCGGCACCTTCACACCTTCCCTTTTGGCCAACAGGCTCGCTTGCTTCTCCGGCGCCTCAGCCACAACCCCAGCAGCCTCCACATGTGGCTCTAACACTACATGTCTCTGGGAGTGACATGCACTCCCTGAAGTTATGCAGGAAGGCCCTGGGAGAAGTGGCTGACTTGGGGTTACAGAGTTAATTCATGAAAAGAATGGGATGAGAACTTTGATTTCTAAGTTTCAGACCAGGCCTCTCTCCGTTGCATCATTAAATTAAACCTAATTAAGCCCAAGGCTTGACTTCTCCAACACAAATAATTCTCCCTCCTCTCTCCTCCAACCAGCCAGGACCTGGCACTTTTGTCCTTGTGGATTCAGAGTCTGCTACATACCTTGGCAGAGTAGGCACTGCTTCAGTGGTAGGATTTGAGACTTGTATAACACGCTACCTCCCCAGCGATACGTCCTCAACTAGGCTTTTACAGTGCCTAAAGTTAGAATGATTCATGAGTGAGGAAGACGATTACTCTTTTACATTACAGCAAGTGAGTCCTGGGGAGACTGCTCTGTGTGTGTGTATGTGTGTGTGTGTGTGTGTGTGTGTGTTTAACTCTAGAAGCAAAGTATTTCAGTCTCCAATGTCATGGAGTCACTCTGCCTTGTTTGTTTTTTTGTATAGCCCTATTTTGACCCCCAGCCCCACTCCTCCTCTCCCAACCCCCGCACCTCCCCCCAACTTCTTGGGCATGGGGCGCTTTGATCTTGGCTCAGGTGGAAACCAGAGGAAATCCTAGATTAGGCTCTGATGGCCAAAGAATGTCTTCCTTTCGGGGGGAGGGGCACAAAATTGGAATGAGATAAGAGCATGGATTTTAAGTTTTTGAAAAAACTTACATTTTGTGATATTTCTGTAAAAGTTGAGTTAATCGATGTAGGAACTGAGTAGTATGATTTTGATAGAGGAAAACAAACACAGATTCTTTCTTTTTTTTCCCCCAAGACGGAGTTTTGCTCTTGTTGCCCAGGCTGGAGTGCAATAGTGCGATCTCAGTTCACTGCAACCTCCACCTCCCAGGTTCAAGTGATTCTCCTGCCTCAGCTTCTCAAGTAGCTGGGATTACAGGCATGCGTCACCACGCCCGGCTAATTTTGTATTTTTAGTAGAGATGGGGTTTCTCCATCTTTGTTAGGCTGGTCTCGAACTCCCGACCTCAGGTGATCTGCCTGCCTCGGCCTCCCAAAGTGCTGAGATTTGAGGTGTGAGCCACCACGTCAGGCCACAAACACAGATTCTTAACCATTGCACATGACAATAGGGTTTAGGGTGACTAAACATCTTGATTTGCTCAGGACTTGGGATTTTCAGTGATAAAATGGAGAAAGTCTGGGAAAATGGGGATCAGCTGGTCACCCTAGGGGTAAATCATAATGACAATAATTTACTATGTGTTAGGCAGTGTTTTAAGCATTTTACATTCATTTACTTCCTAACCAACTCAATGAGAGAGGTTCTAGATTTATTTCTGTTTTATAAATGAGGAACCTGAGGATCAGATAAGACAATCCACCCAAGCTCACACAGTCCTGGAGATTAGAGGTGAGATTGCAACCCAGGTCAGTCTGACACCCCAATCCATGTTCTTAAACATCATGATAATCTTTTTCCTTGAAATACATATGAAAGTAAACATATACTGGGACTGGCCTCTCAAGGATTCTTGTATTGAATTGGGTAACTCTGGACAAGCCATATCTATGACCGCTCCCCAAACTGGAAAGAGGTTTAGAAAATTCTTTATTATTATTTATATACACATCACACATAATCATTCTTAAAAATAAAATAGAATGTTCAGAAATAGACACAAATACAAGTAGGAATTTTACTATTTGATAAAAAGAGAACTTCAAATAAGTGGGGGAAAGGTGAATTATTCAA
Organism: Homo sapiens; assembly: GCF_000001405.40. Taxonomy (NCBI): domain Eukaryota; kingdom Metazoa; phylum Chordata; class Mammalia; order Primates; family Hominidae; genus Homo; species Homo sapiens. The sequence continues at coordinate 99,567,906 of NC_000010.11, read as the reverse complement.
TAAATATTACTGGGACATGTAGGTAGTCATCTGGGAAAAAAATAAAACTGGATGCCTATTTATACTTTACAATAAAATAAATTCCAAATGGAGCAAAGGTTTATTTCTGAGAATGTAACTACAACTGGTTAATACTAGAAGGAAGCATGGGAGTGGAGAAGATCTTTCTGAGAATGATACAAAATTCAGAAGCCATTAAAAACTGATAAATTCAACTACATTAAAAAATAATCTGCATGGCAAAACCAACAAAGTTAAAAGGACGAAACAGGCCAGACTCGGTGGCTCACGCCTGTAATCCCAGCACTTTGGGAGGCCAAGCCTGGTGGATCACGAGGTCGAGTTCAAGACCAGCCTGGCCAAGATGGTCGAAACCCCATCTCTACTAAAAATACAAAAATTAGCTGGGTGTGGTGGTAGGTACATGTAATCCCAGCTACTCGGTAGGCTGAGGCAGATAACTGCTTGAACCCAGGAGGCGGAGGTTGCAGTGAGCAGAGATCGTGCCACTGCACTCCAGCCTGGACATCAGAGTGAGACTCCATCTCAAAAAAAAAAAAAAAAAAAAAAGATAAAACAAACTGGGGGAAATATTTTCAAAACTCCCAAACCAAGAACTAATTTCCTCAATAGATTAAGCATTTACACAAATCATAAGAAAAAGACTAATAAAAAATCTAACAACACAACAAAGGAATAACAGTCTTTGTGAACAGTCAATTCACAGAAGAGGCTGACTCTTAGCCATTTGAAAAGATGTCCAGCTCCACTGATAATAAAAGAAATGAAAATTAAGACTATAAGGCTGGGTGTGGTGCCTTGTGCCTGTAATCCCAGCACTTTGGGAGGACATGATGGGAGGATTGCTTGACCTAAGGATTTTGGGACCATCCTGGACAACAGTGAGACCTTGTCTCTACAAAAAGTAAAACACCTAACTGGGCATGGTGGTGTGCACCTGTAGTCCCAGCTACTTGGGAGGCTGAGGCGAAAGGATCACTTGAGCCTGGGAGATCAAGGCTGCAATGAGCCATGATCATGCCATTGTACTCCACCCTGGGTGACAGAGTGAGAACCCATCTAAAAAAAGAAAAAAGAAAAGAAAAGAAAGAGAAACAAACAAAGAAAATTAAGACTACAATAGATCAGTGTCCCATCCATTAGATTGGCAAAGATAAAAAAAGTTGATAACTCTATATTGGTGGGGGTGTAAATTGGTACGATTTCTTTAGAGAGTAATTGACAATATCTATCACAATGTAAAACAAATTATAATCTTTGACTTGACACTCCCACAGAAACACTCAGGCATGTAGAAAAATGATCTGCAACAACTTTTGTTGCAGCATTTTTGGTAATTGGAAGCAATCTATACATCCATCAAAAGGAACTGGTTATGTCTATAACCAGTAGAGTGGAGTATAGTAGAGTGGAGTATTATGCAGCCATGGGAAAGAATAAGGAGACACCGTCTGCAGGGGTAGGGAATTATCTCCAAGATATATTGTTAAGAAAACAAAATACAAAACAATGTGTAATGTATGATACCATTTGTATGTGTGTGTCCTGAAGGAAGGTGCTCTAGAGGCTGAGGTGGGAGGATCACTTGAGTCTGGGAGGTTGAAGCTACAGTGAGCTATGATTGTGCCTTTGCACTCCAGCCTGGGTGATAGAGCAATTCCCTGTCTCAAAAAAAAAGAAAAAAGATACACAAACTAGTACCTACAGGGAAGAGAGCTAGAGACTTATGTTTGTATCTTTTAAAATTTGTAATATGTTAATGCCCTACTCTAATCAAACAATTGATAAACAAATAAATAGAAAATTTAAATGTAAGCAAGACGCAGGATTGGCATAGTGGATGTGGAACCTATACACTTGCAAAGGGCCCTGCTCTGGGCTTAATGCTTTGATGTTGCCATCTTGAAATTCTTAATGACTTTTGAACAAGGCATCCTTCACTTTCATCTTGCATTGGATCCTGTAAATTATTTAGCCAGTTCTGGTGAGACCCTTGGTTTACAGGTGCTGTCCTGATTTAAAAGGAGACACTTCTGGAGCTCAAACACATTTTCATTTTCCTTTTTTTTTTTTTTTTTGAGACAGAGTCTCGCTCTTGTCCCCCAGGCTGGAGTGCAGTGGTGCGATCTCGGCTTACTGCAACCTCTACCTCCTGGGTTCAAGTGATTCTCCTGCCTCAGCCTCCTGAGTAGCTGGGATTACAGGCACCTGCCACCATGCCCGGCTAATTTTGTATTTTAATAGAGATGGGGTTTCACCATGTTGGCCAGGCTGGTCTCGAACTCCTGACCTCAGGTGATCCGCCCACCTCAGCCTCCCAAAGTGCTAGGATTACAGGCGTGAGCCACCGCGCCTGGCCCACATTTTCATTTTCTTGTGTCCATTAATGACTACAATTAAAAAATAAGTAAGTAAATATTTGCAATTGCAGTGCAAGCAAGCAAAATCATCTCTATTTGCCTCATCAGTAAAAGCCACACATTTGCTGGCAGGAATATCAAATGATGAGTTGTACCCCGCCCACACTGCAACAGCTACTTATAACTCTCCAAAAACTACCTGACATTTCAGCTTTCTGTGAAAGGAAGCTCTGCACAATAAAAATCTTATGTGGTAACTGGGTGCAGTGGCTCAAGCCTGTAATCCCAGCACTTTGGGAGGCCAAGGTGGGCAGATCACCTGAGGTCAGGAGTTCCAGACCAGCCTGGGCAACATGATGAAACCCCATCTGTACTAAAAAAAAAAAAATACAAAAATTAGCCAGGTGTGGTAGTGTGCACATGTAATCTCAGCTATTTGGGTGGCTGAGGCACGAGAACAGCTTAAACCTGGGAAGCGGAGGTTGCTGTGAGCCGAGATTGTGCCACTGCACTCCAGCCTGGGCAACAGAGGGAGACTGTCTCAAAAAAAAAAAAAAAAAACCCACAAAATTTTATGTGGTTTCTGCCTGCCTGCTAATTAGACTAAACAAAATCCCATTCCCATTAAAACATATGTGCATGAGATATTTTGCTTTTTGGAACGTTGTTATGATAACTTTGGGAGGCAAACACACACAGCAGCCCTAGCTCCTTCCTAGCTGGCCAAGGTTGCCTTGGTCTGCCCATCTCAAGTTCAAATAGTTTTTTCAATCTGGGCAGTTGCAGCTAACGATGCTTATCCTCAACTGAATAGATTGCAAATATATTTTATTATATAACTAAAATAAGTGCTCAAAATACCACAGCAAAGTGAACCAAAGTCAACACTCAAAGGATAAGGAGGTAAGAAAGATATAGCTTACACAACAGTGACGCACATTTCTTGTGCATTTCTCAGCTGTAAAAGTGTAAAACACTTCCTGCTTCACAAAACCATGCCATGGATTACGTGAGATAATGGCTGTGAGCATGCTTTGTACACTGCTAATTTCTAAGGTGGCATCATCTGTATTATCATGTGAGGATATTAATTTGAGTGGGTATTTGTGTTTATACTACTGGTGCTGTCCTGAATGGACAGGAACAGTCACATTTAGAAAAAACAAACAAACACCTTTTTTTCTAAGTTACAAAAGTAATATAGGGCCTCACATTGTAAAATAAACAAACAGCCCAGAAAGACACAGGGTGAAAAATGAAAGTCCCCTTTCACCTTCTGCTACAAATCCTACTCCTCTATTAACATAGTGTGAATTCTTCCAGAAGGTTTTTTTTAAAAACAAAAAACATATGGATAATTTAAAGTAAAACCATTAGAACACTATGAGATGCCTCACTACCCCCTGCACCTGCTCCCCCCATAAACCTTAAGGAATGTCATTGTTTCTCATGGGATAAGATCCTTACCACTGAACCCTTTGCAGAAGCTGCAGAAGCAGAGATGCCTCTAACTCCTAATCCTGCTTCATTAAATTAGTTAACCAATGCCATCTGCTTACCAGCCATTGAGAATATTAACAAGAAGTCATTTTAATTGATTTTTTTAAAGACAGGGTCTTGCTCTGTCACCTAGGCTGGAGTATGGTGGCATGTTCATGGCTCACTGCAGCCTTAAATTCCTGGGCTCAAGTGATCCTCCTGCCTCAGCGTCCAAAGTAGCTGTGATATTGTCCGGCTGTCCCCCCACCCAAAATCTCATCCTGAATTGTAATCCCCATAATCCCCATGTGTCAAGGGAGAGACCAGGTGGAAGTAATTGAATCATGGGGATGTTTTTCCCCATGCTGTTCTCGTGACAATGAGTTCTCATGAGATCTGATGGTTTTGCAAGGGGCTCTTTCCCCTGCTTCGCTCCGCACTTCTTCCTGCTGCCTTGTAAAGAAGGTGCCTTGCTTCCTCTTTGCCTTCTGCCATGATTGTAAAGTTCCTGAGGCCTCCCCAGCCATGCTGAAATGCAAGTCAATTAAACCTCTTTCCTTTATAAATTACCCGGTCTTGGGCAGTTCTTTATAGTAGTATGAAAATGGACTAATACACTGGGATTACAGACATGAGCCACTGTGACCAGCTAATTTTTTAATTTTTTGTAATGATGGGGTCTCACTATGTTGCCCAGGCTGGAAGCAGTCATTTAAAAAAAATTGAGGTCTGGCATGATGGCTCACACCTGTAAACCCACCATTTTGGGAGGCTAAGGCAGGAGGATTGCTTGAGCCCAGGAGTTTGAGACAAGCCTGAGTAACATTTTTTGTAGAGACAAGGGTCTCTACAAAAAAATAAAAACATTAGCTGGGCATGGTGGCATGTGCCTGTAGTCCCAGCTACTTGGGAGGCTGAGGTGGGAGATCCCTTCAGCCTAGGAAGTTGAGGCTACAGTGAACTGTGATCATGCCACTGCATGCCAGCCTGGGTGAGAGAGCAAGACCTGTCTCAAAAAAAAAAAAAAAAAAGTAGACACTGCCATTGGTGTAATTCTAGATGGATTACTGGTTATACTGTTAAAGCATAAAGTCTCAGGGAGCAGACAGTATATAACCCTAATCACTAAAGGAAGGAGTAATCTCAAGTCACCTGCTATATTTTTAAAAAGCACTTTACATGTTTCACTTCTTCAATCTTCACAAAGACCCCACTAGGTAGGTAGCACTGTCAGTCCTACTTCAGAGATGAAGGATAAGAGGCGCAGAGAGGCTCAGTGGCTTGTCACACACTGGAAGTGGCAGTCAGTCCTTTAAAACCCACGTGGTAGATGCTCCCCAAGCAGTCTGTGGAAAATATAAACAGCTCCCATCACAGAAGCCTAATGTTCCTCCAAGACCACCTGCATCAAAATCCCCAGGGACTTAAAACTGCAGACTCCTGGGCCTTATCACAAACCTGTGGAATCAGTAGTGTAGGACTCAGGAATCTACACTTGATTTTTTTTTTTTTTTTTGCTTTGTATATTGTGGTAAAATACACACAACATAAAAATTTCCCATTTTAATTATTTCCTAGGTGCAATTCAGTGGCATTAAGTACATTCACATTGTGGCAAAGACATTATCACCATCTATTGCCAGAATGTTTTCATCTTCCCAAACTAAAACTCTGTACTGTTAAGCAATAACTACTCATTGCCCTGCCTCCCAGCCTTTGGGAATCATTATCCTACTTTCCTTCTTTATGAATTTGCCTCAAATTCATAGGTACCTCAAAAAGTAGAACCATGGGCCTGGCACAGTGGCTTATGCTGCAATCCCAACATTTTGGGAGCTGAGGTGGGAAGATTATTTGAGGCCAGGAGTTTAAGACCAATCTGGGCAACACAGCAAGACCCCCTTTTCCTACCTCCCCCGAAAAATTATCTCGGCATGGTGGCATGTGCCTATAGTCCTAGCTACCTTGGAGGCTGAGGCAGGAGGATCACTTGAGCCCAGGAGTTAGAGGCTGCAGTAAGCCACAATCATGCACTACACTCCAGCCTGAATGACAGAGCAAGATCTTATCTCTAAAAAAAAATAAATAAAAACAAAAATTTAAAAATAAAAAAGTAGAATCATACAATATTTGTCCTTTTGAGTCTGGCTGATTTCACCTAGAATAATATTTTCAGGGTTCATTCATGTTGTAGCACGTATTGGAATTCCATTCCTTTTTAAGGCTTAATAATATTCCATTGTATGCATATACCAGATTCTGCTTATCTATCCAGCTGTTGGTAGACATTGAGTTGCTTCTACCTTTTGGCTATTGTAAATAATGCTGCTATGAACACAGATATACAAATATCTGTTCGAGTCCCTCCTTTCAATGCTTTTGGGTATATACCTAGAAATGGAATTGCTAGATCATATGGTAATTATATGTTTAATTGTTTGAGGAAACACCATACTGCTTTCCTCAGTGGCTGCATTGTTTTACATTCCCACCAGCAATGCACAAGAGTTCAATTTCTCTATATCCTCACCAATACTTGTTATTTTCTGTTTTTTTAAAAATATATAATAGCCATCCTGATGAGTATGAAGTGGCAGAATCTGCTCTTTTGACGTGAACTCCCATATTATTCTTATTTATACTAAAATTTGAGAATTGTTGCTCTTTAGAGGTCTTATCAGCAGGAAGAGAAGCAGTGGGGAGCCTTCTCAGTCTGAGAACCAAAGCAAAGGATTTGGCTACAAGTATCATCCATAGAAGATTGAGAAAGTTCGACATACATCCCACACCCCCACATGAAAAGCTTTTTAAAAAAAGGAATGGTCTTAAACCACCAACCTTTTGGTCTTAAACCACCAAAGTCAATGGTCTTAAATCTACCATTTAAGAAGTTGGTAGATTGAGAAAGTGTAACAAGGAGACTGTTTCTGATCTTGGGAGCCGCTCTGAGTTGGGTCAAAGCAAGGAAAACGGTCCTTCGAACCAAAGAGTTCTCCACAGCAGCCTGGTCAATACTTTGAAACAACAAACAGCATTTATCCGCACAGTGCACAAAGGAAAAAAAAAAATGTTCCTTTCTGGAAATATCTGGCTAAGTTTAGTGAAGCTCTGCTACTACAAGAGAGGTGAACTGATACCACCAGTTAAGACAGAGAGAAGGGAAGGAGGCAAGTAAGAGGAGGTCCATAAAAGGGTGGAACTGTGAGCCTGTGACTGTGGGTTTCCCTCCACCTGCAAGCTTCCCTAACACTTAGGTTTGGTGGGAAAATGTACTGGTAAGAAACTGGGGAAATGGTACCCAGGCATTCCAGTGATGAAAGTGCGCCCCCTAGTGGTTGTTCTCTACAATGTTCAAGTCATTAAGGATTCCCAGAAAAAGCGAGGGAATAGGCTGGTGGAGGGGTCAGTGCTCAGCCCTTACTAATTCATGACAGTTGGCTGGAATGCGGAGAATTTTGAAAATATTCCGATCAACTCTATTTCTCGTGGTAATCTGGATGTTGGCAGTACTTTCACTCATGAAGAGTGAGAGCTGCACTTCTGTAATGCTTACATATCATACTGTGTTCCTCCGTACAACACTGACAGTTAGGTTTTATTATCGTTGGTGTTATTATTACTATTCTCATTTAATGGGTGATGGAACGGTGGCTTAGAGAGATTAAGTGACTTTTCCAAGGCCACGGGCTCTTAAACCATAGTTCCTCTCAATGTGTAAGCACATAATTACATAATGGAAAAGAAATAGTAAGATTTTTGGAAAGAAAATCCACACCACCTTACTTGAGTTCTCTGCTGTGGCAAGCGGGAAGCAGAGATATATATTAGAAAATAACTGTGGGGCCGGCGTGGTGGCTCACGCCAGTAATCCCACTACTTTGGGAGGCTATGGTGGGAGGATCCCTTGAGGCCAGGAGTACAAGACCAGCCTGGGGACACAGTGAGACCCTGACTGTACAAAAATGAAAATAAATCAATTAGCTAGGCATAGTGGAGCACATCTGTTGTCCCAGCTACTCGGGAGGCTGAGGTGAGAGGATCACTTGGGCTCAGGAATTCAAGGCTGCGGTGAGCCATGATTGGTCCACTACTGCACTCCAGCTTTGATGACAAAGTGAGACCCTGTCTCAAAAAAAAAAAAAAAAAAAAAAAAAAAAAAGGAAGAAAAAGTAGATTTATGGTTGCCAGGAGGCTGAGGAAAGGGTGAATGGGGAGTAACTGCTAAAGAATATGGGGTTTCTTTTTGGAGTGATGGAAATATTCTGGGCCGGGCGCACGCTTATGCCTGTAATCCCAACATTTTGGGAGGCCAAAGTGGGCAGATTGCTTGAGCTCAGGAGTTCAAGACCAGCCTGGTCAAAAGAGCAAAACCTCATCTCTACAAAAAATTAGCTGGGTGTGATGGTGCATGCCTGTGGTCCCAGCTACTTGGGATGCTGAGTTGGGAGGATCACCTGAGCATGGCAGGCAGAGGTTGTAGTGAGCTGAGATCACGCCACTGCACTCAGCCTGGGTGACAGAGTGTGACCCTGTCTTAAAAAAAAAAAAAGTTAAAAAAAGAAAATATTCTGGAATTACATAGTAGTAATGATTGCACAAATCTATAAATATACTAGCAATCACTGAATTTTACACAATTTAAAAGGGTGAAGATTATGGTATGTGAACTGTATCTCGAAGATGTTTAAAGACAAAAAAAGAGCTTCATAAATAATTGTATTTAAGTTACACCTCAATAAAGATAATAATAAAAGGGGAGAAGGCTTCACCAGCTTCCTCCTTGACTTTGGAAAGTTGGTCAGAAACACTTGTTTGCCTGGAGGATGGGACAAATTCCTACAAAGCCAGAGTCTCAGCTTCCAAAGCCTCCAGTGGGGAGACCTGCAGGGACTGGGGAGAGCCCAAGTGACATCTCAAGACCTCAGACACCCTCGGTCCTTCCTAAGGGAGCACAAATAGGGACACATGAATCCATCCTAACACACCTGGAGGGCTGTCATGGGACAGAGGGACTGGGCTTCTGAGTGACTCCAGTGAGCAGAAATAGGACCCGTGGAGGAAATGACAAGACAACACAGTCTGGTCAATAAGAAGAAAGAGTCCTGAGGGACTGGAGCGGTCCAGATGTGGTGTGGGTCACGCCCTGTGTGAGTGCCCAACCTGGGCTGCACTCAAGCCAGGCCGCAGAACCACATCTGGGACCTTGTATATTGATGTAGTCTCCTGGCAGGGGACTGGGTGTTCCAACACAGAGATCCTCAGAGACAATATAAAGGATGAAGGAGGAAACAAGAAGAAACTGGTGAGAAGGGAGAGTCCAGAGAGGGTGCTGGCAGAATCCATGAGAGAGACATCTCCGTGGGCATCCTCTCAGTGTGAAGGCGGCTGTTTCTTAGCAGATGAGCCTTCAGATGAAGCCGGCATAGCTGTCAGCAGAGCTAGACTATAGACAAACCCTGAGGAAACATTATTCAAATTTATGTTTATTTATTTATGTATTTATTTATTTTAAACGGAGTCTTGCTCTGTCACCCAGGCCGGAGTCCAGTGGCACGATCTTGGCTCACAGCAACCTCCACCTCCCAGGTTTAAGCGATTCTTGTGCCTCAGCCTCCTGAGTAGCTGGGATTACACGCACCCACAACCATGTCCAGCTAATTTTTGTATTATTAGCAGAGACGGGGTTTCGCCACGTTGGCCAGACTGGTTTCGAACTCCTGACCTCAGGTGATCTGCTTGCCTCAGCCTCCCAAAGTGCTGGAATTACAGGTGTTAGCCACTGTGCCCAGCCTCAAATTTAAACCCTCAAATACTCTCAGGCAGTAGTAGGTAGTGATTAAGCTAAAGGGTCTGGGGTTTTGCCAGTCCTGGGTTCAAATACTGACCCACTGCTTAAAGGCTGTGTGATCCTGGGTAATGCTTTAAGATTTCTGAGCCTCCTTTTCCCTGGTTAAAAAAAAAAAAAAAGGAGGCTGGGTGTGGTGGCTCACGCCTGTAATCCAGCACTTTGGGAGGCCATGGCGGACAGATCACTTGAGGTCAGGAGTTTGAGACCAGCTTGGCCAACATGGTGAAACCCAATTTCTACTAAAAATACAAAAATTAGCTGGGCGTGGTGGCAGGCACCTGTAGTCCCATCTATTTGGGAGGCTGAGGCAAGAGAATTGCTTGAATTCGGGAGGCAGAGGTTGCAGTGAGCTGAGATTGTGCCACTGCACTCCAGCCTGGGCACCTCAGTCCATCAAAAAAAAAAAAAAAAAAAAAAAAAAAGAAAGAAATAATAACAGGACTTACCTCACAGATTTGTTCTGAGGATTAAACCAAGTAATGTAAATAAAGCACTTTAGCCTATCATATATTAATAGTAGCTATTTCCAATTGAGCTAAACACATTTAATTATGTCGAAACTATTAGGTTTTTTTGGTAGATATAGGTAGCTGGCAAACATTATGGGTTGCTGAAAGCTATCTACTCCTCCTACAACTTCACATCACACAAGTTTTGAGTCAAATTCTGCCACATTTTGTAGACAAAAGACACACTTTTATCAGCCAATTCACACAAAAATAATCTGTTTTGAAAGCTGATTACAGCTCTGTCCTTCTGCGTGCTCCAAACATGCCCTGCATGAAAGGTCTGCTTGAGGGGGACTCCATAATCTGGAGGCAGGATTAGGTTAACCTAAGGCTTTGGGCAACTTGATTCCCTTGGCCTCATGGCTGGACTTGGGAACATTTCAGAATCTAGCCTCAGGTACCACCCAGAAAGGTGAAATAGATAGGGCCCAGCAGATTCTTTTTTCTTATCATGAAAGGGCAGAGAGTGACTGCAAACTATTCCAGCCAACTTGCATATCTTGGATACCACTGAGTCATGGGGCTTTTTCTTTCTTTTTTTTTTTTTGATGGAGTCTCGCTGTGTCGCCCAGGCTGGAGTACAGTGGCGCAATCTCAGCTCACTGTAACCTCTGCCTCCCAGGTTCAAGCGATTCTCCTGCCTTAGCCTCCCAAGTAGCTGTGACTATTGGTGCGTGCCACCACGGCCGGCAAACTTTTTGTATTTTTAGTGGAGACAGGGTTTCACTGTATTAGCCAGGATGGTCTCGATCTCCTGACCTCGTGATCTGCCCGCCTCGGCCTCCCAAAGTGCTGGATTACAGGCATGAGCCACCGTGCCAAGCCTGTTTGTTTTTGAGATAGGGCCTCGCTCTATCACCCGGGCTGTAGTGCAGTGTCAAGACCACATCTCACTGCAGCCTTGACTTCCTGGGCTCATGTGATTCTCCCACTCCAGCCTCCCAAGTAGCTGGGACCACAAGTATACACCACCATGCCCAGCTAATTTTTAAATTTTTGTAAAGACAGGGTCTCACTATGTTGCCCAGGCTGGTCTCAAACTCCTGGGCTCAAGCAATCCTCTCACCTTGGCTTTCCAAAGTGCTGGGATTACAGGTGTGAGCCACTGTGCCCGGTCTGGATACCATTGATTTTTAATGCTTAGCACTCATTTCTAACTGGGCTTATTAACACACATCTTTTCCCCAGTGAATCCCCATCCAATATATTTATTATGCTCATTACAATGCTGTGGTGCTAATGGGAGACAACAAAAGGCCATGTAGTAGCAGTGAATGTTTGACTAAATGCTAGCTGATCACTTCCGTATTATGTACAACCTCAGATTAAAGGGCTGACCTCCTCTAGAGCACAGTTTAAGTGAACATATATTTGCTATTATACTGTAGACCACAGACATCTGAGAGCTGACTGCATTTCTCCAGTGCTTCATACTTCTGAAATAGAAACTTGCTTTTAGTTTAGAGCAAAACACCTAGATTCAGAGTCCATTAACATTACAGAAAGCCTCCTATGAGCCAGGCAATTTTTTAAATCCTTCAGCTCATTTACATCTCACCACAGCCCTTTGAGGTGCAGAGTATGACTCACTTTATCGATGAGGAAACTGTGGTTCAGAGAGGTTAAGTTACTTGTCCGAAGCGGTCAGATATTAGGCAGAGGAACAAGGAAAAAAAAAAAAAGAATAAGAATCTCTCTGTAAAAGCAATATCTCACTTTAGGTGAGCATCAAAAAGGAGACTAAGTGTGGTCACCGAGCCTGCCTCCCATTTCCTGCAGAGAGCCTGCCCTTAGTAAGGAAGGCATTTTTCTTCTCGTGTCATTTCAGTGCATCTAATTTACCTCCATTTGGGCATTAATTTCATGCTTTCGATTGACTGCAGAGAAGTATTCTCTTTTCTTGCGGTCCGGCTGAGGATCTCCAGGCCTGTTCATGCTGCCTGGGCCATGCCCAGTCCCAGACCACCCCCATCTAGAGTTACAGCGAGCTGAGGGCTAGGGTTACTGCACTTAACACTGAAAGGCCCCCTCATTTCAGCCTTTTAGAGCCAGGAGGCTCATCGCTCATCACTCATCACTTGCCAGTTGGCCGTTGTATTTAGGGCTTGCTTTGTTTCTGCAAGTGCTGAAAACAAGCACTGGGTGAGGGGCCATCGAGAATGGAACAGGCTGAGCAGGACTGGAGGATGAGTGACAGGGGAATTAGGAGAGGCGACATTCCCAGGGTGTTGGGCTCGTGGACACGCGTGAGGGTTTCCACGGTTGACACTGTGCTTGTGACGAAGGACCGCCATGCACTGTTCCCAAATGGGATGACTGAGGGCCTACTACGTGCAAAGCATTTTTAAATGGGAACTTCAACACAGACCCTGTCTTTGAGGAGAGGCTTATAGGAAAAGGATAGGGTAGGTTTCCCCCAAATTTACCCCCAACACACACAATCAATCTGTTCCTCCTCCTCTCCCCTTCACATATCTCCAGTCTCCATGAAAGATAATTGCCCAAAGATGTAGAATATTTGGCAAAAAGAAGGTGAAGAAAAAAGAATGAGAATCTCTCTGTAAATGTGTCATTTCACTTTATGCGAGGAACAAAAATGAGAACAAGTGTGGCCACTAAGCCTGCCTCCCATCTGCAGAAAGCCTGCCCTTAGAAAGAAGATTCATTTATCCTCTCATGTCACTTACCTTCTCACCTAGTCCAGGAATCAGGAAGTCATCCTGGAGTCTCCCCTCTCCTGCACCTCTTACATCTGATCAACTATCACATCCTCCAAATATTATCTCCCCTTCTTTCCCATTTCTATGACCCTGGTTTAGTATTTCCTTGTCTCTTGCTGGGACTATTGCAATAGCTCCCCATGAGTTTCCCTGATCCAGGATCAGCCTCTTAGCCCACCCGCTCTCCACTGCAGCCAGAGTGATCTCTCTAAAGCGCACAGCTAATCACAGTGGAAATCTGCCCGCAGCTTTCCCATCACCCACAACATAAAGCCCAAGCTCCCTATTCATTCCGTCTCTCTTTCAGTAAGTATTTGATGAGCACATTCTGTGTCCTAGGATCAAGTATACTATGCCAGGATCCAGAATACAGGAGTGAAGGAAATCGACATAGTCTTTGTCCTCAGGAAGTTTTCAGTCTAGTGAGGGAAACAAGACAAGTAAATAAGGAAACATAATATCAAGTTGTGACACAAGCTGCCAAGTAAAGGAACTGGGGGCTAGGATAAAGAATAACCATGAGTATCAGAATCACAGATAGCTATGAGAGAGAGAGGAGAGATAGAGAGAGAGAGGAGAGAGAAAGAGAGGAGGATGAATAATAGTGGGCACCTACTTATGACCAGACACTCAGGGGGCATCTATGAGAACTGAAGAAGGAGTAGGAGGTGGCTGGAGGAAGAATGGGCACAGCACAAAGGAGCTTGATGCATTTGAGAAGCAGAAGGCAGTCGTGTGGCTGCACAGTGATGAGCCGCCGGGAGGCAGGGAGAGTGTGGGGTGGGGAGAGACAGGGTTGGACCGTGCCTTGTAGGCCACGAGGAAGCATCTGGATTGCATTGTAAGGACACAGGAAAGTCACTGAAGGCTTTTAAGCAGGTAAGTCATGCAATCTGACTTACATTCTTAGCACATCACTTTGGTGACTGCCTGAAGATTGGCTCAGAGGGACACAAGAGAAGTCACATTATGTGGTGAATTGAGTCCCCCAAAATTCATGTGTTAAAGTCCAAATGCCCAATACCTCAAAATGTGACTGTATTAGGAGACAGAGTCTTTAAAGTGGCAATTAAGTCAAAGTGAGGTCATTAGGGTGAGTCCTGACTCAATAGGACTGGTGTCCTCATAAGAAGAGGGGATCGGGACACAGACACACACACAGGGAAGACCACGTGAAGACAGGGAGAAGAAGACCGCCATCTACAAAGGAAGGAGAGAGGTGTCGGAAGAAACCAACCCTGCTGACACTTTCACCTTCGACATCTAGTCTCCAGATTTGTGAGAAAGTCGATTTCTGTTGTTCAAGCCACCCAGACGGTGGCACTCTGTTACAGCAGCCCTGGCAAACGAACACCAGAGGGCTGTCCAGTTAAGGGCCCATAGCCAGGCATGGTGACTCACGCCTGTAATCCCAGTACTTCGGGAGGCTGAGGCAGGTGGATCACGAGGTCAGGAGTCTGAGACCAGCCTGGTAGTGAAACCCCGTCTCTACTAAAAATACAAAAATTAGCGGGGCATGGTGGTGCGTGCCTGTAGTCCCAGCTACTTGGAAGGCTGAGGCAGGAGAATCACTTGAACCCAGGAGGTGGAGGCTGTGGTGAGCCAAGATCACACCACTGCACTAGGCAACAGAGTGAGACTCCATATCAAAAAAAAAAAAAAAAAAAAAAGAGCCTACTGAAGGGGCTGGGCTGGGGGAAAGATGAGGGTGGCTCTTTCTGGAGGAGAGAAAGAGGAGATGGACTTCAGCAAGAGCATAAAGTTCGATCTACAGAACTCTGCGATGGGCTAAGGTGAGGAGGATGGAAGGACTGAGGAAGATGCCCAGGTTTCTAACCTGTGCTAAGAGATGATGGTGGGGCCCTTCACTGAGGTGGGAGAGACGAGGGAGAAATAGGAGTGGGAAGGGAAGGGAGACACCTGATCACAACCTCCGTGGATTTCCATGTTTTCTATGACAACTGAGATAACTTCGGCTGCCCCCCAAAATAAATAAATTAACCCAACATAAGGGTTTTTTTTTAAATTAATAGACTTTATTTTGGGGAATATTTTTAGATTCACCAAAAATTAAGCAGAAAGTATGAGAATTCTCTTTTTTAAATCTTACATTTTTATTTTTATTTTTATTTTTGAGAAAGGGTCTCAGCTCTGTCACCTAGGCTGGAATGCCATGGCACAGTCACAGCTCACTGCAGCCTCACCCTCCCAGGCTCAAGTGATCCTCCCCGCTCAGCCTCTTGAGTAGCTGGGACTACAGGGGTGTGCCACCATATCTGGCTAATTTTTTCATTTTTGTAGAGATGGGGGTCCCACTAGGATGCCCAGGCTGGCCTCGAACTCCTGGGCTCAAACAATACACCCACATCAGCTTCCCAAATGCTGGGATCACAGACGTCAGCCACTGCACTCAGCCAAGAATTCTCATATGCCCTTCTCCTCTGCATGATTTCTCTTATCATTCCAACATAAATTTTTTAAAATTATTTTTAATTGGCAAATAAAAATAGTGTGTATTTATGTTGTACAACATGATATTTTCATGTGTACACAATGTGCAATAGCTGAATCAAGCTAATTAACAATCTATTACCTCCCATACTTATCATTTATTTGTAGTGAAAACACTTAAAATCCACCCTCTTAGCAATTTTTAAGTATACAATACATTGTTAATAACTGTCATCATCATGTTGTACAACAGGTCTCTTGAATTTATTCCTCTTGTTTAACTGAAATTTTGTAACTTTGTCTGCCACCTCTCCTCCCATCCCCATTCCCGGTAACCACTGTTGTACTCTCAGCTTCTGAGTTCAACTTTTTAAGATTTCACATACAAGTGAGATCATACAGTGGTTGTGTTTCTGTCCAACATAAGTTTTAAAGCCAAAGGAAATTGTTGTTAGAGTCAAAACAAAACCTATGCATTTCTGCCTGTTTCTCCTCAACGTAGAGAGATGGTGTCCATGTGGGGAAGCTTGGTAGTGATGTAGCAAGTGAGGACAACTGGCCCCTACTTCCCCCTCCAACCCCCCTCCTCTAATTTCCTACCTCCCCTTTTACAGAACTAGTTTTACTTTCCTTCATTCTGCCTGGCAAATGCCTTGCTATTTATGCCTCAAGGCTTGACTCAAATGTCATCTCCCTGAAGTCTGTCCTGACTCCTCCTATTGGGCCAATAATACCCTGTGCAGCCCCCAGGTTTTCACCTCCCATCGCAGAGGGAGGGAGATGTTCTTCCCGAGTCTGTCCTCGCCCCCACCCCACCATGACACTTAACTCACTGGAGGGTGGGGAGCCTGGCTTATTCCTAGTGCTCAGCACAATGCTTGGCTGTAGTAAATACCCATGAATATTTTTTGAACTGAACAGAAAGTGATGGGTGCCACTAAAAAAGAAAAAAAAAAAGGCAGGAAGAAAGACCAAAATGCTCTGGGAATTTAGGACTTCAGAAACTCAAAGTCAGTCGGCAAGACTGCCTACTAACTGCAGATCACAGCCTCCCCGGGAAGAGGAGTCATGTGGCTTATTGCAGGAGAAGGTACTTAGAGAAGGCTGAAAGCTGCTAGCAACAGGAGCAGCTGTTTGTGGTGAGCTGTTGTCTAACATGTCAGTGAGCGAGGCCCTGGGTATGTGCCAAGTGCTGAAGGGAAAACAGATCATCATCTGTGTGGATGGCCCAAATCCCTGACCCTCCATTAGCATGACCTATTGTGTGCGAATGTAATTTGACACGTAATCTGTAGACTTTTGGGTTGAATTTGATTTTGTCAACCTGGTAAATGAGTGTTGGTTCAATGATCTATCTTCTCCCTGGAGGTAGTAAATTTCATTTAAGAGGTGACTGGGTCTTATTAAGCTGTGTGAATTCTTGTAGCTCCTACAGAAGAGGATATTACATATCCCTTGTCATATATTTGTTGTGTTCGACAAATAGGTTCTGCTGGAGGTTTTGCCATGAACTGGCTGTGTGACTTTGGAGAAATCATGTAACTTCTCTAGACCTGCAGGGGGTGGGTAAGGTGCAGGGAGAGCCTGGAAACAAAGCAAAGAGCCTTGAAAATTTCCTTCCACATTCTGTGATCTGAAATCTTCCTTGCTGCTGGTATCCTGAAGAGGATTGATGCTCACCAGACGAGGGCCTCCCTGCGGGCTTCCTTCCTTTCTATAGGCATGCACCACGGTTTATTGTACAAACCGTGGTGGGGGAGATTTCCTTACAAAAATCACTGATGCACAGAAAAGAGCACTTATAGTTTATATACAAATAGAAGAGCCAGTTAATATGCTGCTATTTTTATTGGAGAAGCATGACTGGTTCAAGTTGTCTAATTTTAAAACATAAATAATAGAATGTATAAAGCTATTGAATATTCTTTCATTCCATTTTTATTATTTTTTGGGACGGAGTTTCACTCTTGTTGCCCAGGCTAGAGTGCAATGTCGAGATCTCGGCTCACTGCAACCTCCACCTCCCAGGTTCAAGCGATTCTCCTGCCTCAACCTCCTGAGCAGATGGGATTAATGGCATGCGCCACCACGCCCGGCTAATTTTTTGTATTTAGTAGAGATGGGGTTTCACCATGTTGGTCAGGCTGGTCTCGAACTCCTGACCTCAGGTGATCCACCCGCCTTGGCCTCTCAAAGTGCTGGGATCACAGATGTGTGCCACTGCTTTAATTCCATATTATAAAGTCAGTGAGTTGGAGGAGAGTGGCACCAGCGAGCTGCACATAATAAAAAAAATTAAAATTAGGCTGGGTGTGGCAGCTCATGCCTGTAATCCCAGCACTTTTGGGGGCCAAGGTGGGTGGATCACTTGAGGCCAGGAGTTTGTGACCAGCCTTGCCAATATGGCAAAACCCCGTCTTTACTAAAAATACAAAAATTAGCCCGGTGTGGTGGTGCACGCCTGTAATCCCAGCTACTTGGAAGGCTGAGGCAGGAGAATCGCTTGAACCCAGGAGGCAGAGGTTGCAGTGAGCTGAGATCGTGCCACTCACTCCAGCCTGGGCGACAGAGCGAGACTCCATCTCAATAAATAAATAAATAAAATAAAGTCAGTTAGTGGACAAAAGGAGAGGGAGGGAAGAAAGAGGGAATGGAAAAGGAGAGAGGAATGACAAGCAGAGGATTTCAGAGGAATACAGATACATAGAAAGAAAAGGGGGTGAAGCGAAGAGAGGGAGGAGAGACAGGGAGAGGAAAATAGGGGAGCAGAGACAAGTGGAAAGAGAAAGAGATTAGTATCAGGGAGACAGAAAACAACAGAGTCTAAAATGCCCGGACAAGGTTGGGCATGGTGGCTCACGCCTGTAGTCCCAGCACTTTGGGAGGCCGAGACAGGAGAATTGCCTGAGCACAGGACTTCAAGACCAGCCTGGGCAACACGGTGAAACCCTGTCTTCACAAAAGATACAAAAATTAGTTGGACATGGTGGTACATGCCTGTAGTCCCAGCTGCTCGGGAGACTGAGGGTGGGAGGATGGCTTAAGCCTAGGAGGTGTAGGTAGCAGTGAGCCGAGATCGTGCCGTTGCACCCCAGTCCAGACAACAGAGTGAGAACCTGTCTTAAAACAAACAAATAAAAATAAAATGCCCTGCCAGGCCCTGCTACCCACAGTACTGTCATTTTCCATCAGAGGGTCATTTATTCTCACTTGCCCTCAAAGTGCAAGTCTGAAATTCATCATTGTCCACAATCACAGTATAGGATGACGGTCAGCTAAGGGAGGAATTCTTCTTTAGGCTCTAGGGCCAGTGACAAGAGCACTGTTTGCCCCATGCCTGAGGAAATCAAGCAACCCCAGTCACAGGGCTGGGAATTTCCTCCCCCAGAGGCCACATCACCTATTTATGGCTGACTTTTTCCTAATGTAATGATTTAGTGTCCTTTAAATGTGATCAGCATATCCATTTGATTATTCAGGGAATAGAGAGAGGGATAAACAGAAGCTGATGGCATCAAAACCATGATGTTTAGCTGTGTGGTTATTCACTGAATGAGAACACCTGCCCCAAGAGAAATCCATTTCCATCCACCAAGCTGAGCACCTGGCAAAAGCCATACCCACTCAGAGGAAATGATGTCTTTTTCTAATTGACCCAAAGGCACTGGTGGTCCTAAGTAAGCCAGCATCCAATCAGAGCGGTGAGCTTATTTATCTGAAGGAACACTGAGATGGTGGACAGCCCTGGAGGCTTGGTCTGCACGTAGGCTCTAGTGCCCCGAGTCGACATTGGAAGAGGAAGGAGAGCTACTTTCAACCTCACCCCATTTTACACTGGCTCTCGGGCTTGATCCTCATCACATCCCTATAGGTAGGCGAGGCAAGAAGATTTTCATTCCCTTTTCAGATTAGGATGCTACTGCTCTGAGAGATTAAGAGACTGGCTCAAGGTCACATAAAATAAGTACATTTTGGAACTCATAACAATACCAGGCATAGGTGTGTATCAATGAACAAAGGGCCATGGAAGCTAAGAACAGACATCTGTTCTCTGGACTCTGAGTCAGATGCTTTCGCTGACTCCTTGAAAAGGAATTTGGGGCTATCACCAAGTCCCTCTCTTATCCGATTTTGGTCATTGTCAGGAATGTGTGGGTCTTCCTTAAAGGACCAGCAGGAGTGGGGGGCCCAGAGAACCCAAGACTTCCCTCAAGGAACAGCCCAGGAAGGAAGCCTAGGAGACTTGTACCTTTCTGTAGCCTTAGTCTGTGTGGCCTCTGGTCCCTGGCAACATCAGAAGGTACTGACAGGTCCCTCAGAGACAGTGCCAGGAGGAGTTGTGCATCCCATGGTCATCACTAGAGGGCAGAGGCAGGGCACTTGACTGCTTCTCACCACTCAGGAGATGCTAAACTAACAGGATCATTGATAGAGCCAAAGTATGGGTGCAGTTCTTAGCAGAGACATCACCAAGAGCAGCTATTGAGGAGGAAATGGACATCCACTTGAAGCGGCCAACAATTGGTCAATGTGTCTCAAAGAGTTTTCTGGAGAAGGCAAACAGATCAGCTTTATCTCCAGCTCTGATACTAGCTGCGTGATCTTGTACAAGTTGCTTAACCTCTCTGAACCCCTCAGTTTTCTCTCATCTGTAAAATGGAGCAACTATTATTTGGGCCTTCCATGTCCTTAACTAGCCAGTCATCTAGTGGACAATGTAGGTGCCTCTCTAACACATTCAGTCTGAGCAGGCAAGACAGTGCTGTTAAGGATTAAATAGAAGGAGGAAGAAGAACTCTGGGCCTGTTTTATTTATCAAATCCCTCAAGTTACTGTTGTTTGCTGAACTTGTACACAATTCCAACCAGACAATAAATTATCCCAATGTTTATAACATTAGCAATATTAAGAAAAATATGCTTCATTTATATTGCATTTTATACTTTTCTAATCTTTTTTTCCTAAATTATTTCATTTATATCCATCTCTGTGGGTAATACAAAGGAAGCAAAAAACATGATCCTTGCCCTCAAGGAGCTTATTTTCTAATTGAGAATGGAAATAATGAGACCACAAACAAGACTACTTTTTTTTTTTTTTTAAGAGATGGAGTCTCACTCTGTTGCCCAGGCTGGAGTGCAGTGGCACAATCATAACTCACTGCAGCTTTAACCTCCCAGGCTTAGGTGATGCTACCAACTCAGCTTCCTGAGTAGCTGGGACTACAGGTGCATGCCACCATGCCTGGGTAATTTTTGTATTTTTTTGTAGAGATGGGGTTTTGCCATGCTGCCCAGGCTGGTCTTGAACTCCTGTACTCAAGCCATCCACCGCCTCAGCCTCCCAAACTGCTGGGATTACAGATATGAGCCACTGCATTCAGTCACTATTTCATCTACCTTCAGAGAATGTGCAATCACTGTGGGCTGTGCTGGCTGGAAAAGACTTCATCATTAAGAGGCACTTGACTTGAAGTTCGGAGGAGTTTTGGAAGAACTGAGATGTTTCCCCAGGAATGAGCATAGTTAATAAAGGGTTAGCGGGAGCAGGATGGTAAGGAGATTGTGTAGATCATAAAAAAAAAGTGGGAAATTTGGTTGACTAGGCAAAGTAATAGGAGTTCATTAGTGGCCTGAGTGTATATTTGATCCTATGCACAGCGAGGAGCCATAGTGTGGTTGAAAAAAATATAGGTACCTTTAAGTAAGAGTCACTGGGGAAAATAAATCAGTGCCTGCATGAGGACTGGGTTTATCAACTATATACTCACACCAAGGGGGCAAGTTAGGAGGTTATTACAGTAAAGTGCTTAGGCTTTAAAATCAGATAGACCTTGATTTGAACTTGATTCTGTCACTCTAGAGCTGGATGTCATTGAACAAGTCTCAACATTCTCAAAGTTTGATTTCTTAATCCATAACATGAGAAAAATGGCACTTACTTTTCAGAATGTTTCTAGTATGAAATGGGTCAGGGTGAAAGCCCAGTACCTGAAAAGCATTAGGTGCTCAGTAACGTTAGTCCTCCCTTTCCTTCTGCTTTAAGTGAAGAGAGACTCTTGGGGAAATCATTTGTTGACTGATTGGTTCAACAAACAAACAAAGGGAAGAAAACAAGGACAGGTCATGCCATTGGCCGAAGCTGAGATGTGAGTACTTTTGGAGAGTGGTGATGAACTTGAGATGACAGTGGGGTGCACAAGTAGAATTATCCTCTAGGCATTTGGAAATATGACATTAGAGGGAAACCAAGGCCAAAGCTGTAGATTCAGGGGCCCGTAGTATAAAAGTGATAGTTGACACTGTACAATGACCAGCTTTAGGATCTAAAGAGTGTTGAAAAGCCACTGAGCCTTGGAAGGTTCCCTTAAGTGGGAATGGAGAAGGAAGACTGAGGAGCTATACTTTGTGCAAGGAAATCAGGCAAGTACGTGGTGTCAAAACTATGAGAAGACTTTCCAGGAAAAAAGTCATTATGCCAAATGTTAAAGAGAAGTAATAAAGGACAACCCTGAAGAGAAGCCACTGGACCAATGCTGACCTCAAAGAGTGACTCTTTGAGAACAATGACTCCTCAGGAGTGCTGGAAAGTGGGCACAGGTGTCTGGGAAGAACTGAGCCAGAGGACCACAAAGGCAACTTCCAACCAGGCATCAGTGTCCACCACCTAGAAAGCAAACATCAGTTAGGCTGGGGGAGAGGGAAGGAGCTGGTGAAAAAATAGGCAGAAACTGACAGAAAAAGGGAGGAAAGATATTTAAGAAAGAGGCACCAGTATTAAGAGAAGGTAATATGGAGAGATGGCTACATGTTTGAGAGAGAAAGGAAGGTAGAGAATATTAGATTGCAGGGTGGTAGGACCTCAGAACTCAAAATTTAGAAGAATTATTTCTTTTTCTTTTCTTTTCTTTTCTTCTTCTCTTCCTCCCTCTTCCGCCTCCCCCTCCTCCCACTGCTCCCCCTCCTCTTCCTCCTCGAGACAGGATCTCACTCTGTCATCCAGTGGCACCATCTCAGCTCACTGCAGCCTCAACCTCCCCAGGCTCAGGTGATCCTCCCACGTCAGTCTGCCTAGTATCTGGGACTACTGGTGTGCACCATCATGCCTGGCTAATTTTTGTATTTTTTGTAGAGACAGGGTTTGGCCATGTTGCCCAGGCTGGTCTCAAACTCCTGGGCTCAAGCAATCCTCCCACCTCAGCCTCCCAAAGTGTTGGTATTACAGGTGTGAGCCACCATGCCTGGCCTCAGAAGCATTATTTCTAGAAATAGGAAAGAAGCTTTTATCTAGACTTTAAAAGGAAACATTACTTGTAGAGAGAAGAATGGTACTTATTCCTCTGAAGACTAAGGAATAAAAACTTAATTTGAGGAGAGCCTCCCAGCTGGCCCCTTCCTTCTCAGAAGAGTGGGGGAGGATGGATAGATGTGTTTAAAGGCTTAGGAAGGGGGGCCCTCCCTTGAGGAACACAGCAGAACAGCCCAGGCACAGAAGAAACAGGGGAGCTAGAGAACATCTACTGAGGAATGGCCAGGAGGCTGAGGATAGTCAAAGAAACCGAGGTTATTTTACTGGGAGAAGAGAGGGTCTACACAGCATTCAATGGCTGACTTTTAAATATGTGAAGAGTTGACATGCAGAAGTAGACATCTGTGAAAACAGGAGTTGCCAGTGATGGAAGTTGCAGGAAGGCAGATTCCATGTGAACATAAGACAGAATTTTTTCACACTTATTGAGTAGAGGGGTGAGTGGTTCTCCTATGGGTAGTGTCCAGGAGATATGGGACAGTGCCTTGCTTAGGATGCTGCAGGCAGAACTGGGCATCAGAAAAGAGTTAGACTTTGGTGATTCTTAGGTGAAATGTACAGCTGAATCTACAGGCATGTAACAAATTTAGTTTAAAGACTCTCAAGGCTGGAAGGGGCCCAAAAGGTGATGTAATATAATAATCCTTTGACTCTTGAGTCCCCTCTGTGAGAGGTTCACCAAGTGATCAAGGACTGTAAAATATAGCCATACTGAGCCTGAATCCACCAGTAGCCATGGGGGCAATGGGTTTCTAGTTACTCATTATCTGGATTGAGAACAAATCTGCGTACCTCCCAGATAATTCACTCTCAAGATGGCCCCAGTGAAACTTTCAAGATAACCCTTCTCAATGAACCAGGAAATAGCTATGAAATATTGATGAATCTTGCATATAATTTTGAGTTGTTCCTCACTTTTTAAAAATTACTTGTAACCCTCAACTTAAGAAATTCTGGGTTATTATTCATATTTCAAAGGAATCCTTCCCTTTAAAAAATAATTCAGCTTGGGATATTTTTAAAGAACAAACTCCAGTGATAAGTTTAAATGTACTCAATTTTTCTCCCTACCCATGGCAAAAAGCCCTTTGCATACAACTTTCCAAGAACTCATTGTATCACACAAAGTGAATTTCACTGGTATTTTAACATAACAAATGCTTTGCTTAATTTCCAACACATAGGTGGTCAGTGGTCAGCCTAGGTCCATACAAAAGGAGGTGTAGCATAGGGCGTCTAATTTCATCCAGAATTTCAAAATCTGCACTAGTCAGTTTACCCAGAGGAGAGAGGTAGAAAACAGAAATGTTCTTAGTGGCACTGGGTGAAAAGTCCTATTGAGGTTATTGCTACTGTTTACTTGCTGTGGCACTTGGGGAGAGTGACTTAATCTCTCTGAGCCTCAGTTTCTTCATGTGTAAATAAGGAATCTTCACATAGCTATTCTGAGGATTAAAGAGAATATCTACAAAGCAACACACACACACACACACACACATACACACACACACACACACACACACACACAGCCTGACACATAGTAAGAAATCTCCCTGCTGCCTCCACAGGGTTGACTTTGCTTTAGTTCCCAGCAAGCACACCCAAGGGTTGTTTTGTGTTTTTGTTTCGTTTTTGTTTTTGTTTTGAGACAGTTTCTCTGGGTCACCCAGGCGGACTGCAGTCGTGCGATCTCAGCTCACTGCAACCTCCGCCTCCTGGGTTCAAGCGATTCTCCTGCCTCAGCCTCCCAAGTAGCTGGGACTACAGGCCTGTGCCACCATGCCTGGCTAATTTGTGTGTGTGTGTGTGTATTTTTAGTAGAGATGGGGTTTCACCATGTTGGTCAGGCTGGTCTTGAACTCCTGACCTCAAATGATCCTTCCCTCAAATGATCCTTCCACCTCGGCCTCCCAAAGTGCTGAGATTACAGGTATGAGCCACCGTGTCCAGCCTGTTTTGTTTTTGAGACAATCTCACCCTGTCGCCCGGGCTGGAGTGCAGTGGTGAGACCATAGCTCACTGCAGCCTCGACCTCCTGGGCTCAATCAATCCTCCTGCCTCAGCCTGCCTAGTAGCTGGGACCATAGGTACGCACCACTGCACCCAGCTAGTGTTTTTTTATTATTTTTAGTAAAGACAGTGTCTCACTGTGTTGCCCAGGCTGCTCTCAAATACCTGACCTCAAGTGATCCTCCCACCTCAGCCTCTCAAAGTGCTGAGATTATAGATGTGAGCCATCGTGTCTAGCCCCAAGGATTGCTAATGCTGTTTTACACATGGTAAAGCCAAGTCACAAACTAAAACTGCGGCCAGAACAAAACCTGGCTTCTCTATCCTGGTTGCAGCCTGCCAAGCAAGCTCACCATCTCTGCTGGTGAGGCATTCTAATAAGTAGCAGTAAAAGAAGAGCAGACACTGATTTTGAGAAGGCATAAAGTAACAAGAGCTATGGGAGATAGATAACCTCCAAACACACAGCCCTTCCCTCAAGTCCTGCTGATGCCCTAGGTCTAGTTCCTAAGGGAGAAAGCGACTGAGCGGGAGGTCTGACTGCAAGGTGGAGTCATGAAAAGGGTGGGCTTTAGACTCACATGGCCTCTCTCAGCCTCCAAGAAACCCCCAACCACCACCATCATCTTCTTCTTCTTCACTATGGTTAAATGGCAATTTCACAATCTTACACAAAAGTGAACAAAAGCCTTTTAACTACCTGCTCACCAGAATGGCTAAAATGAAAGAGAAATGAAATAAAAATACTAAGTATTGGGGCATGTGGTGCCAACACTGGTAGGAGTGTAAATTGGTCTAACCAACTGTAGAAAACTGCTTGGCAGACCCTATTAAGGCTAATATTTGTGTCTATGACATAGCAAGCTGGGCGCAGTGGCTCACGCCTGTAATCCCAGCACTTTGGGAGGCTGAGGTGGGCGGATCACCTGAGGTCAGGAGTTCGAGACCAGCCTGGCCAACATGGTGAAACCCTGTCTCTATTAAAATTACAAAAATTAGCCGGGTGTGGTGGCACAAGCCTGTAATCCCAGCTACTCGGGAGGCAGAGGCAGGAGAATCACTTGAACCTGGGAGGCGGAGGTTGCAGTGAACCAAGATTGCACCACTGCACTCCAGCCTGGGTGACAGAGTGAGTAAGACTCCGTCTCAAAAAAAAAAAAAAAAAAAAAAAAAAAAAAAATAGCAATTGCACTCCTAGGCATATACTGAATAGAAATATGTATTGTGGTCACCAAAAGACAAGCTAGAACTGTGCTGTCCAATAGAGTAGCTCTAGCCGTATTAGCTATTTACATTTAAATTAATTGCAATTTTAGAAAATTAAAAATTGAGTTCCTCAGTCACACCTGTCACATTTCAAGTGCTCAAAAGTCACATGTCACTAATGGCTACCATGTTGGACAACACAGATATAGAACATTTTTTATCATCGCAGGAAGTTCTATTGGACGCTGTTTTAGCATATCGTAGTGGTGCTATTCACAACAGCCTAAAAACTAGAAACAATCCAAATACCTATAAACAGCAGAATGGATACATTGATTGTGGTATATTCACACCGTGGAACACTCTAAAGTAACTGAAATGAACGACCTACAACTACATGCAGCCATATGGATAAATCTCACGAACGAATGAAGCAGGCGCACAAGAGTGCAATCTATATGATTCCATTTAGATAAAGTTCCCAAACGGGCAAAACTAACCTGTGCTGTTAGAAGCCAGGACAGTGGTTACCCTTAGTGGCTCCAGGTAGTAGTGACAAGAAGAGAGCATGGGGGTACTTTCCGGGGACTGATAATGTTCTGCTTCTTCATCTGGGAGTTGGTAGCATGGAAGGGTTCCGTTTATAAAGATAGAGCGAGCCGTACGCTTGGGGTTTTCTATATGTATCTCCCACTCCAATAAGAAGTTTACTAATCGCTCCTTTGGAAAACCTCAGCTGTTATTAATCTGTTACTTACAATCTAGGTGGGGTGGGGTGGGGGCATATTTTCAACAAAGCAAACGTGGTTTAGAGATCAGTGCCCCCTCCCCCTGACGCCTCCCCAGGACTCCCTGCAGGGGCCTCCCCGTGCCCCTTAAGCCCCACCCAGGACGTCCTACCTCCGCGACCGTCAGGACTGCTGGCTCTTGCAGTTTGGACTCTCACCTGCAGAGTCGGCTAGGCTCTCCCGGGGCTCGCCGGGGCACTCCCGGCCCAGCTGGCTCTGACCGCCCCGGGCCCGCCTGGGAAGCAGCGGCCGGCCCCTGAGCGCCCCGCCCCGTGGCACCTGCGCTGCTCCGGGCGGTTAGAAAGGATCCTTCCCTCTCGCGCGGGGCCAGACTGCACTGAACTCTCTCCAGTCGCGGACAAATCACAGTCCTTCCAGGGCTCGGGCCCCTGGAGTTGGGAGGAGGCGCCCGGGAAGTCCCCACTGGCGTCCTGAACCAGAAAGCGAGGAACTGGGCGGCTGCGACTGGGGCCTTGGACCTCCCGGTCTCCCGCGCGAGTCTCCAGGGAAGCCCCTGCCCACCCGGCCCCACCCTGGCAGAGGCGCGGCCCCAAGTCACTCCGGCGGCGCGCGCGGGCCCGGGAGAAGCCCCGCGGAGAGGGGCCGGGTTTCCACTCCTTACCCTTTCCTCCCTGCAGTGGTGGGCTAGAGAGGACTCGAACCTCCCCCAGGAAACGTCCTTCCACCTTCCCCTTCTGTCGAATGTCCCAGATGCAGCCGAAATCAAAGCCCTGCAGACCCCGCCGGGCGCCACCTGTCCCAGGTTTACCCGCAATGGCTCTGCCGGATCTCTGTGGTGACACGCGCCCGCGGAGCTGGGGTTTTCGGTCCTTGTGCCGCCCTGTTTCCCACGACCCCCCCCGCGCCCCTGTTCCCACCCCCCTGTTTCCACCCCCCTCACCCCGGGGACCTGGGAGTGCCTCGAGGGCGGAATAGAGTCCTAGACATCTTCCTAGAACGTCGACGCAATATCCTAGGTATTGAGATTGATCATCTTATTTAACTTTTAAAGCCAAAATGATTGATACACGAATGTTTACTATATAAACATTCACTGAGTTGCATCCTTAACTATTTGCATGTTTTACTGTAGGCAAAAAAAAAAAAAAGAGGTGCTACAAGCATACCCATTTTATAGAGGAAGAAACTGAGGTTCAGGGCACTTCTAACTTATTCAAAGTTTCCACTGCTGGTTGTGGTGCTGCTGAGAATAGAATAGACTCAGTCTGACTTCAGAGTTCATCCTCTTAACTCCTCAAGATCAGGCTTTGCAGGAAAAAGTACTAGCCATCTAAAACCTATCCCACTTCTTCCCTCAGTGGTGCCAACCCACCCTGAGCTTATTGGGTGGGGAGGGGTTACACACTCATCCAAGGGAACCCAGGAGGGTTGAACCTGAAGTGACCTCTGAAATCATATGGTTCACCCTTCTCTCTACCATAGATCTCAAAAACCACAGCCCAGAGGAACAACTTACTTGGCCTGTCCCAAGTCTCATGGGTCATTAGAAGGCCTGCCTGGATTTTGATTCCTCCTGACTCACAGGACAATTTAATGAAGCAGCAGTTTGTCCTGTCAGGGGGAACTTTTACCCTGGAGAGGGAGCCCAAGGAAGAGGTACCTGCGTTGGTCAAGGGTTTTCAACCTCTGATGGAGGAACCCCAGCAAGGAGCAGTAGGGAAATCCTCCAGTGAAGTGGTGGGAGCTATTTATACCTGGAGACTGCAGGCTCCGGAGCAGGGTAGGGAGCGGGCTGGTCTAGGCTGGCTTCAAGTATCTCAAGACACGCAAACTTGCGGAAGCCAATCCACAGAACCAGTTCTGTTTCCTCTGTGAGGATCACAAGCCACTTTTCCAGAACAAGAGGGAATGCAGAGTGAAGGAAGACCAACGCAGGGCAAGAGGAAGCCCAGCAAGGAAAGTGGGGGTGTGGTGCTGGGAGCACTGAGAGGCCAAGGCCCAGCAGGATAAGGGACTGCATTGGAGGCAAAGTAGTTGCTTACTTAGGAAACCCCCAGTGGAGCAAGGGCAGCTATTCCTAGAGACTTCAGTTCCAAGAGCGAAGGTGCTGGGGGAGTGAGCTCTCACAGGGTGCTTGCCCAGATCTTGCTGACTTTCCATTCCCTGCACCTAATGAATGTAGGGGAAGTCGAATTGGGTCCCAGACGCGGGTCCTGGGTTTCTTACACATCCTAGTGTTCCCCAGGCCCCAAATTTTGTGCCCTGGGGTCAAGGTCTTCACCAAGGTCTTAGCCTCCCTCCTATTCTAGGTATTGAGCTGTAGGACGAGGTGCAACATTGTGGGCAGGGATGTCCTTAGGCAGCATTAGGGGGTACAGAAGAGGTGGGACCTTCGGCTGGGTTGGAGATGGGTTGCCAAGTGTCCTGAACTAGGCCCAGGGAAGGCAAGATTCCAGTTCCACATTTCCCTCGAAGCTAGCAGCCAAGGCCACAGCTCAACAGCACCCAGGCAATTCAGGCAGCCATGAAGCACCAGGGAAGAGGTGCTGACAGAGCCCAGAGGGCATCCCACAACCCTCCTGGCCCCATGAGCTCCTACTGTGGTACCTGTCCCAGAGGGAAAAGATGCCAACCTGGCCCTCCACAACCTCCTGTGGAGAGAGAGAGACAAATAAATCTTTGCATGACACCATGTTATGATATTGGAAAGTACCTAAGACTCTGGTGGCACAAATGTGAGAGTGATTACCTCTACTTAGGTGGTTCAGGAAAGAAGCTTGGCCTTGAAGGAGAGGCAAAAGTTCACCAGAAAAATGGGGGTGGAAGGGCATTCCAGATGGACGGGAGGGCATGTGCTGAGGCATGGAGGCTGAGATAGCAAAGCACTGTTGGAATGACTTCGTTTTGTCATTCAGGCATTGACTTAAATGTAATCTCAACAGGCTTTCCCGACCGCCTACTTGAAAAGACCTCCGTTCCCAGCGTTTGGTTCTATTTCCTTTTTAGAATTCATCTTCTGTTTTTGCATTTGTTTATTGTCTCACCCTCCCTCCACCCACACCTTCACACCTGAAAATAAAATCCACCAATCTAGGGACACTTTTTTTTTCACCGTTCCCAGCAACTCAACAGTACAAGTGAATACATAGTAGGTGCTCAGTATACCTAGTTGAATGGATGAATGAATGAATGAAAGTCTGCAGCCGCAGGCTGTGAGAAGCAAGTAACAAGCCAAGAATTTCCTCTCCAGCCCTTGGCCTAAGCAATCCATGGAAAGGTAACGGCTCCAGAAGAGGGAGCGCGGTAGGGAAGGGGATTCGGGCATCACGGTGGTGGGAGGCTGTGTCCCAGTTCGGGGGCGACGTGAAAGAGGAGGGACCCGGCCGCGAGTTGCTGCGGGACCAGCAGTCTGGTGCACTGGCTCACGCTCGGCTCTGGGGTCTTTCTGCCGCCTGAGAGGCAAGGGGAGGGAAGGTCTTCGCTCCCCAAGTGCCGCTTCTCTAGCCTCCCGCTAGGCCCTTTCGGATGTGTCCAAGTCGCATCCTGGGCGGTCAGAGGGCTTCGGAGGGCTCCCTTGCCTGCCTGCCTCCCTCCCTCCCTTCCCTCCTTCTTTTTCTTCCTCCTCCTCGGGTCTCTACAGCTCCCCAGCCGGGCGGCCCCGCCACAGCCTAGCAGCCCCACCCCCTCCTGTAAGGGAGAAATTGCTAAACTTGTAGCAATAATGACCCAGCATTCAGGCCGCCGACTCCCGCTGAACGTCTCAGCGCCCCGGCCGGCCCGGCCTAATCAGCGCGCCCCTCCCTGCTGCCCGCCCAGCCCCCGTCCCCCTGCCGCCCCCTCCCCCAGAGCACAAAAAGTGGGGAACAAAACCCCCGCACATTTCTCCGTCCCTCTGTTGAGCAGACTGCTGCACAAAGCCCCCGCTCTGAGAAGCAATGGGGAGCTCGGGGGGGACGTCAATCCGACGCGCTGGGGTTTTTGTTCGCGCAGGGGACCTCGCCTTCCTACCACACCTTTTGTTCGGGACTCCAATAAAAAGCCATTCTTTCCGCACCTTCCCGGCCCGGAGCCGCCTTTCAGCGAGGCCCGGCCCCACAATGGCGCGGCGCTCTGAGGCCTCCCCATTCACCCGCCTTGGCACGCTCACAATCGGCCGTGTGGCAGCACAGGCCTCGCACAGGCATTCTCCGCAAGTGACAAGGAGCCGCATAAAGCCGCGGCCGCCGGGGGAGAAGGGAGGGCGGCCAAGGGGGAGAGCTCGGCCGCAGTGGGGCGCAGCGCAGCGCCCCCGGGCGCGTTGGTAGCCCTGGCTGCAGCCAGGGAAGGAGCCGCCTTCGCGCGGCCAACAGCTGGGACTGCGAGCGAGGCTTCCTTTTCCCTGGCGACCCTCGAGGTGGGGCAGAGTGCAAGACTTGACCGAACGCAGGTCTATACAGCTAGTCCAAGCATCTGGGTAAAACTTAGGGGGAACTGCAAAGCCAGGGACTTCAAATGGCCCTGAGCCTTCGACCTGTCCAGCCCTCAAGAGTAAACAGAAATTAATGAACAAAGCCCCGAAGAGATCAGACTTGCAGCCTGGGGCCTGGCTCATGGGAGACCAGGCCTGCGATCGCCCAGGGAGGATGGCTTTCCCCCTCGCACCTTTTCCTCCCCTTCCCGCCCTATTTAAAGGATTCCTCTCCACTCTTTGGGGCTAAACAAATTCTGTAGCCGGCCAACGATTTGAAAATATTGCACCTTGTTTATTGACTCCTGTAGTGTGTGGCAGCGGGTGTCTACACGGCGTGTGGTTATAGTTATATAGATAGATAGATAGATAACATGTGCTGAATACAGAATACGAAACAGAAAGGAAACCCGGTAACACCTCCGGTGGGCCACCAGGTCCTGAGTTTGTTCAGCCTCCCCCCACCCCCAACTTTTGATCTCATTCGGCTGGTTTTCCTCGAAGAGTCCTGCGTCCCCCGACAATCCGGAGATCTGGACCGAGGTATCTGCTGCGGAGGGGAGACAGCTGCGAAACGAAATCGACTGTGCTATGGCGCTCCAGGCCCGCAAAGGGGGCAGAGGATCGGTAGGGCCTGGAATTTCTCAAGCCACGACCCCCATTTTTCTCTCCTTCATGCTTTTAATTTGTTATGTCCTTGGGCTCCCCGCCAACGCTTCGCGGAGGCCGCGGAAAGGCAGAGGGAGAGAAGCCCTTCTCGCTTTGGAAGAACCAAGCGCGGCCAGGGTCCTAGCCTCCTGGTCTCCTCTCGCTGCCAGGGTCGGGGCCATCGTCCTCCCCGGCGCCCAGCCGGCGTTTCTGCCTCAGAGACAGTCCTGGCGACCGGACCCAGTCATCCTCCTCGCCCCTGAGTCCCCTTCCCCAGGCCTCGAGTGAGCTGCGATCCGAAGCCCTGAGGAGCTAGACGTACATATTTTTTTAACGAGGGGACCTGACCTTTAGGTCAGGCCCTTCTCGAGCTTCAGTCCCGCGGCGCCAGGCTGCGCTGGGGTGCCCGCCGCGTGACCCGCCCCGTCCCTACCAGGCCCGGATGCCCTGCAAGGTGCCCTGAGCGCACGCGGCCCCGGCTGCAGTACCCTGGTGCAACGGCTGTGCGCTGCCGCCGCTGCCGAAGCCTCCTAGGTTGCTCACGTTCACAAAGGGGCCGCCTCCGGCCGCGCTGCAGGCGGGCTGCATGGCAGTGGTCGCCGCGGAGGTCCCGCCGCCGCCGCCGCCGCCGCCCGCCGGGTACGCACAGCCATAGCTGCTGCTGTAGGCCGCCGCTGCTGCGGCGGCGGCGGCGGCGGCGGCGGCGGCCGCGGCCGAGTTCCCATAGCCGTAGGCGGGGAAGCTGTTGTAGGAGTAGGCGCTGGCGCCCACGCTGTAGGGCGCGCCGTAGGCCTGCGCGCTGGGCGTGACGCACGGCTTGCCGTCCCGCACCAGCACCGGGACAGCCACGCGGCGCGGCGGCGGCGGGGGCGCGTGTGCGCCAAGCTCCAGAGACTTGTCCTGCCGCTGTCTCTTGCACTTGTACCTGCGATTCTGGAACCAGATTTTCACCTGAGTGGATGTGAGCTTCAGGCTGCTGGCGAGGTGCTCGCGCTCGGGTGCCGACAGGTACCGCTGCTGCTTGAACCTGCGTTCCAGCTCGAAGACCTGGGCTTGCGAGAAGAGGACCCGGGGCTTCCGGCGGCTGCGTGGCTTCGGCCTCTCGCTCTCCTCCGCCGCCTTGCAGTCTCCGGCCGTCTCTAGAGACTTCTTCAGCTGGCAGCTTTCTGCGGAAGAAGCAAACAACAGCGTCCTTAGCTGTTCCCGGCCGCACCGCGGCTCCTGTCCTGGAGCACCGTGACCCTTTTTGGTGGCTGCGCAGAGCGTGCGGTAGTAAATGGCTGGACTTTTGGGAACGTTTGTGGCTCCTGGCGCTGTGGGACCCTGAGACAGCCCCAGTACCCAAAGAACGCCCTTAGCAGGCGGAGGCGCGTTTCGTGGAGAGGGGTAGTTAGTGCGTGTTTATTTGGATCTTGAGCATCTGCGAGAGAAGAGATTACTCTGTATTAAATATGCGGCTCGACGTGCTAATGACTATTTTCAGGATGAAGGCTTGCAACTACATAATAACTACAGTATTTGCAAACTCGTTTGCATTCTACTCCACCAAGGATAACTGAAGGTGTGAGGCGTGTTGGTATGAGTGGGCCGGTGGGCATGGGTTGCGCGAAAATCTGTTCTGAGTGTAACGCTTGTGCATGGCTCAGGGACTTGTGTGTGTGTGTGGCTTATAAAAGACTACAAGCGAATGTTATGACGACATCTGTGTGCACTTTGAAAATGAAGTTTGATTGACTAGTTATAGACAGTTTCATGCCGATTTTCGGCTCTGGGAACTATGAGAGCATAGGCCTTGGCCTCTGCCACATCAAACCGCCTCTTGGGGAAAGACTGTGATTCTGTCCTCTTAAATACACTTCCTTGGGGACTTTATTTGATTATCCCATCTCCCTATCAATTCACTTCCCATCCGATGTGAGCAGCCAAGATCTCGGACTCAAGTTCGGCGCGTTTTCTATTAGGCCCGCAGCCTGGGACACAAAGCAAAACGTTACGGATTTTCAAAAAAGGCTGGCGCCTTAGGGATGTGAGAGCTATGGTCGCGCGGAATAGACATTGTTCCCACGCACTTTCCGATCATCTCCTCTCTCTCTACCGAGTGCCACGGGTTCAAGGACGCTGAGCTCCAAGCAGAGAAGGGAGGAAACCGCCCAGCTGGCCTCCACCAAAGTTCCTGCCCCTGCGGGTGCGAGAGACACAGGCTGCTTGGGCTGTCTTTTCGGAGAAGAAGGGGTGGCTGCCCTGGGCTAAGAGAACTCATCTCACCCTAGAGGGAAAACGAAAAAGGTCCAGGCTCCTGCCCTTTTTGGGGGAAGAGCCTTTTGGGGCGGGGGGAAGAGCAAAAATACTGCCAGTTATGAGGACCCAGGCGCTGAGCCCACGTCGCCTCTCAGCATCAGGGCAGCAGTAACCACCTTCCCTTCCCTCATTTCCCCCTTTTGGGGGGAGTAGTTGTCAGGGTCACCTCGTCCTTGTCTCTCCACCCCGGCTCCCTTGCAGGTACCTGCGCTTTGTGGAGCTGTCGGTGACCAGGGCGGAGGCATGGCCCCAGCCAAAGGGTAAAGGGATGGGCAGCTGCGCTGGCAAGGTCTGTGGGCTGTTTGTGTGCGCTCTGCCATTGCTCCAGGTGTGCGGGTGCGTTTTCTTTCCCCCTCTACTCACTTTGGCTCCGGTCCCTCACGACCTCGGGCTCCTCTTCATGTTCCTTGGGCTCGCTGCACGAGTCTCGCAGGACCGTGTGGACATAGCCCTGGGGACACAGCCCTGAATCCCCGTGGCCGTCTGCTGCGGCTAGTGAGTTCAAATAGGACAATTTCTCGCCCTCGTCTTCCTCGTCCTCCTCCCCTCCGTCAGAAAATTGCGTCCCCTCAGCGGCGGCCAGCATGCAGGGCGCAGAGTGGAAGTGGTGCTCCAAGTCCGCCTGCAAGTGCGCACCATGGAAGTGCTGGTGCTGCTGCTCCAGATTCAAAATGTCTTTGACTGAGAAAGGGGTGGAGGTGACCGGGCTTGGTAACATCATCAGGGCCACTTAATTGTCCAGTCCAAATAATAAATCCCGGCGGGGGCGGGGAGGCAGCGCGGCGGCTCCAGCTCTCCTCCTGGACTCCGCCGCTGCTGCCGAGTCGGGCTTTTGACAGACGCGGTCCCACTCCAGTCTAAATCGCCTCCATTGGCCGGGACCTGGGGGTCTGGGTTTTGTTACAGCCACTGCAGGGACTGGGGCCCGGGCTCCTAAGCCTCTGTCCGGGAGATTTGCGTCACGTTGGGGGGGCGGGGCTGGCGCCCCAACCTCCCTCCCTATAGGTTCTGGCTCATGTGGGCCACGCCCCCTGCTCTCTGCGAGTGGGATGTTGCGGCTCTACCAGAAATAGACAAGGACTAGTATAGAGTCCTGAAGTCCGAGACGCTGCGGGCGAGGCTGCACAGATCCGGTTCCTGAACCATTGATTCCCGCGTGGCTGCACCTTCCCGACCTAGGCCAGTTCTGGGAGGCTTGCTGTCCACGAACCAACGCCAGGGAAGGATGCCCCAGGAGTGTGTTTTTTTCAGCTGCTGCGCGGGGCAGGAAAACTTCCTGGCGGGTAAATACTGGGCGCTGGATCCACGAGGAGATGCAGTGTTTTATCTATCTATGGGTGGGCGACATGTCCTTTTTCAACTTGTTGCCTTTGCTCAAGCTTTCTCTCCACTTGGAACATGTTTCTGACACTTAGCCTCCACGAGTGGAAACTGTTCTCCAAGGAAGAGCTCCTAGATCGTCTAGCCGGAAGTCCCCTCTTTCAGGCTCTGAACCTGCAGCTTGTGTTAGCAAAGGACATGCATGTCACTTATCACTTCCCACTTAATTCTATAGCTGTATGTGCCTGCCTGGTCGCCCCAGTTAGACTGTAAGCTCCATGAGGGCAGTGTCCCGGGGTTGCTTTTGCCCTTGTATCCCTGGCAGCAGCCGCACAGAGCAGTATGTGAAAGGAAGATAGAGTTATGACTAAACTTTGGTATTCGACAGCTCTTGCTTGGCCTAGTCAGTGTGTGATCTTCGGCGTTTCTAAGTCTGTTTTCTCGTCTATAAAACGAAGGCAGTAATACCTTTTTTGGTTGTTGCTAGGGTTGAATGAGGCAAAACATGCCAGAATCTTAGTGCACGGCCTCACGCGTGTTAAGCGCTCAGTACGTGTCAACGACTGCTTTTCTGTATGGGAGGTCAAGCAGTGTTTGTTGACTGCATTGGTGGTGCGTGGCTGGAGTGTGGCACATACTGAGAGCAGGATCTGTCCTCACAAGGGAGGTGACCCAGCCTTGGCAGCCTTCTTTTCCACCTATTGAAATCAGGAGCCTGAATGTAGGCCTTGCCTCTCCGACAGGCTTTTAAAATTTCTCTACCTACACGCCTTCTGGCACCTTCATGAGGCCCTGGTTGTTTTCTGGGGGAGTCTATACAGTCCCCCACAGATTCTGGAAACTCTGAGCTGGAAACTCTGGGACCATCTTCTCCCACAATAGGCATTTGCTCGCTACCAGGCCTAGCCCAGTGAGGAGCAGCGGGCGCTGCTTTGAGGGCCACAGAAAGACCCGTGTGCAGCGCTGGCCTTAAAAAAATAGGGAACGGTTCCAGCTCAACCGTGGCTGTCCTCATCCGGCCCCAGCCAATCCAAGCATTTTTTGGCGGTCAGGATGGCGGAGCTGAAAGAGACCCGTCTCACCTGGAAGGGGCAGGTGAAAGGTGCAGGGACGGTGGACATTGCCTCCGAGCGGCATAAGACACCGGCTGGGAGTGGGTACGAGGGTGGAGGGCTGCCACGCGGGTCCCGCAACGGCGACAGGAGTGGGTGCCCAAGGTTGAAGGGAGAAAGAACAGCCTGTCGGGAGGTGGGAGAGGCGGGGCTCTGCAGAAGGGAGCGGAACTGTTGTGGAGAGGCAGCCCCTGGGTCCGCCCGGGGAGCTGGGATGCCGCGCGGGCCACGTGCGCCCCGGAGTACTTAGGGTAGCGGCGGCCCGCAGGCAGTAGGGAGAGACCCTCTGTGGGCAGGGTCTTGTGCTGGAACCGCCATTCCTCAGCCACAGGGGCGCCCGGTGTCTTTCTGCTTTAAATCCTGAAACTATTGACGCCCCAGGCGGAGACCAGTGTCTACAAACCAGGCGGTGAGTCTGCAGAGGGAGGAATGTGCCTGGTTTTGCCGTGGATCCCGAGCGCTCGGGCACAAAAATTCCGAGGTGGGGGCAGAGGGGTGCACGGCACTGCGGGGTGGCGGACCTCGAGTGTGTGTGCATCACGGTGGCCGCCGAGCATAAAAGCAGGAAGCTGAGCTCCAGCGCCACTTCCCCACCCCACCTCCGGGGCAAAACTGTCTCAGGGGAAATGTTTCTGCTCTCTTCTAGTCCCCAGTTTTCTTCTCCTCGGTGATTTCATGATTCTGGAAAAAGAAAAGGAGAAAGGCTATCGAAACAATCTCTCTCTCCCCAGTTTCCAACCGAAGCCTGCATTTCTCCTTGTTACATTCCCTTGCTTCCCATCTCGCTTCGCTCCTAGGCCTTTCATAAATCTAGCCCAACAATCCAGGTCTTAAAACTGCGACCAGGACAAAGCGCCCCTCCAG
Source organism: Homo sapiens (assembly GCF_000001405.40). Lineage (NCBI taxonomy): Eukaryota > Metazoa > Chordata > Mammalia > Primates > Hominidae > Homo > Homo sapiens. The sequence continues at coordinate 99,530,556 of NC_000010.11, read as the reverse complement.
CGCCTGATCGCCAATACACGCCCACAGACGCTCTGCAGCCGCCGGAGCCCACCAGGGCGCCTCTGTGAGCTCATGCAGGGGGCTGTCTCCTCCCCACCAGCCGGCCCACGGGTGCCCCTCTACCCCAAATTCCGCCGCCCCAGCCGCTCCCGGGCCAGGTACCTTGCGCCAGGCCTAAGCGGTTGTCTCTTGAGGACCCTGGGCAGGTTGCTCCTCAGTAGGCCACCAGGGCCTGTGAGGACTTCCAGGCGAAGGGGCCTAGCGGGCGGCGCCTAGACCTTATCGCCGCTTCCTTTCCTCATACCCAGCCCAGTGTAGTGCTGTTCCAGCCTGCGGAAAACCTCTATCCGCTACCGCATCCCTAAGGTTGATCTGAGTTTTATGCCCAGAGCAGGAGTTTGGGTTGTCTCCAGCTACCCCCTCAGTATTGTTCAGACTCCCTTGGTCTGGTTCCCCAGTGGCGTGCTTCCCCGCAGGGATCCCCGCCAGGCCAATCTCATCTAGGTGGCCTCCTTTTCCCGCGCGCGCAGCCTGTACCCTCGACGGCCGCGGGCCTGAAAGGAGGAGAACTCGAGAGCCGTAGTTGTACAGCAGCAGTCGCTCCGCAGGAGTCTCTTATCAGAGTGGGATCTGGTTCCAACGCCTATCCAGTTACCATCGCCTTCTGGGGCATTTGCATTCTCTTGTCTGAAAAGTAGATCTTTGAAATCCTCGAGCTGTGCTCTACTAATAATAGGTTTTCGTTCCAGACAGTTTAGCTAATTACTGTCAGATAAAGTAAGTATGGCTGCATCCATGGAAGCGTTTGATTTTATTTTAATCGAGTGTATCTGCCTTCCTACCCTTTCATCACCTCATACATTTATACAAGCTCTCTCCCCCACCCTATGATTAAAGATCATCAGTAAATGGTGGCAAAGTCCTTGAAGGGGAAGTGCTGTATAGATGCCTAAACGTCTGTACCTTTTTTTTTTTTTAAGGAAAACCACATGCTAGCCATTACAATAAATGCATTATCAAATGAAAAATGTGACAATTTTTTGAAAACTGTTAAGTGTTCTCATAGCTGTTATTGTCTACACAAAGATTGCTTAATGCACATATAAATATAGGCAGATAATGGATAATTTTAGTTGTAAATGCCACTGCTTATCCCGTTGTCTCTCAACTTTTCAAATTGTCATTTAATTATGTAACCAAGGCTGCAAACAAGTTGAAAGTTATCGTGGCTTTCTAATCAAAATGTAACAATGTAACACTACAATCAGAAGAGATTTTTCTATTAAAGCCTGAAAAAATCATCCTGTGATGAACTCAGATAGCCAAAACATTTCAGGTGAATCTTTTCATTTTTTTAATTGCTCTCCTAGAAGTTTCATTTTCAATGTCAACTTATGAGAGAGAGACTCACTAAATGGGTTTTTGTTAATTTGTTGGTGGTAGTGATGGTGGCGGTGGTGGTGGTGGGTGTGTGTGTTTGTGTGTATGCGCAAGTGTGCTTTGCTTTGGTTTTTTGTTAAGGAATGTTAGAAAGCTATCCATTTTTTTTAAAGCAATTCAGAAGCAATAGCATTTTAATTGCGAGACGGGTGAATACATTTTGTGCTTTTAATGTCAACTAGGTTAGTGAGTCCTAGAAGGCATTAAACTGTTCTAATTTCTTGGGAGGTTTTTTTCTTGTCGAAGGAATTTCATAAAAGAGATTTTGAAATGCTGTTTTAAGCACTAGTTTGTTTTGCATGTGTTTGCAGGAATGCCAAATTTTCCTAGATTTTATTTGGAATTGAGTTTTCTAAATTAACCACTATTTCTCTTTCCTGGGAGAAAATTAGTCCGAATACAGTAATTTGTATAGTTCCTTGTAAATTACAGGTCCTTGCTGAGAATGTGACTTTCGATTTCTCAGGGAGAGGACTTCACAGCTATCTTTGTGGATCTGCCCCTCCAAAAATTTTAAAGATAAAAAGGTAAATTACCCTTTCTTTACCAAAACCAGTTCTGTTAATAAAACATGTCGAAAAGACTGTATCTTTGTTGAATGAAAATCAATTCAATATTTTTTCAAACGAAAAACACCTAAATAAAGGACTCCTGTATACAGACATTTATTTGTACTGTTTGCGTGTGCTATTTGGGCGTGCAGTGAGCAGTTTTAACTTGAGGATTAAATTGGAATTCTGAATGCATTCCTTAACTTTTTTTGTTGTTGCTAGCGTGCTTTTAACTTTCTGTAGCGAAATTTCAATGTGTATAAACTTTTAAAAATGTAATCTGACTTCAGAAGAGCGGCTGCTGTCTTGGGCAAATTAATTCATTCGAACCAAAGCGGCTGCCTGCTCTGTGCGGATTGCTGATTTTTAGTAGTGGGGTAACAGAGAAAGAAATGTGGTTATCGCGTTCCAAGAAGCAAGAGAGATTCTTCGTGTCTCTTCCAGCGCTATCTACTCGAAACTGTCTGCTCTCAACCGTAAACCGGCTCCGTGGGATCTCAGCCTCCTAGGACGTAGAAAGCTTCCTCCAAATCTCCCCGGGGGTCACGTTGGCACAAACACCTTCAAACCGTCTGAGAACGAAAAAGACCTTTCTCACTTGGAAAGAAACGTTTACTGCAGTCTTGTTTAAGTAACATGTTTAAGTAACGTCTTATGCGGCCTTCGCCGCGTCCAGCCTGGAGGTCCGGGCCTTCGGTCGGCACTGGGAGAGCGATCCCCAAGGTTCCGCTAGACCTTCGCTGCGTCAGCGGACGGCCAGGTCTGCGGGCCTAGCCCCCCGATTGCCCTTGGCCCCTGAAGCTGCAGGGACGCCCAGCCATCACCACTGCCCCGGCGCAGTTCCTGCTCGGCTCGCCTGACCCTGCGGAGATGTGGGGGTCGGGTGGGGCCGTGGGCTGCTGGCCTTGCTCAGAATCAGCCAGGGAACAGCAGAGAGGGCCGAGGCACCAGGCGGGTGCGGCGCGCCAGGACGCACGCCACAGGGGTCAGAAGGAGTGGCGCTCCCTAGGAACCAGGTCCAGGCTCTGGACCTCGCAGCCTCGCCTGCATGTCAGGTCGGAGTCCCCGGTTCGGTACCTCCAGGTTGCAGCGACTGTAAGGGCCCCAAGCCTCATTGTGCCCTGCCTGGTACTGGCGCCCCGTCTCCAAGCCCGTGCACGTAGGGCCTAGCAGTGCTGGGCTTTTTCCTGGGGCATCTCTCTCCATCCGCCCGCCAAGGGCCTGGGGCCCTAGCGAAGAGGACTAGGGAGACTTGGTTGGCCCGCACAAGGTGGGCCTTTGTCCTTGAACCTGCCTCTACGTTCTCGAACTCCCCTCCACCTCTCCGCACTCCTGCCAGCCAGAGGCGAGGACCTTCTTACCTCTTGAGGCTCGCCACATCCTGAGGCCAGGCAGAGCTTCTGAGTCGGGGATCCTAAAACGCGCGCGCTCTTCCGCCTGCAGTCCTCCTCCTCTCCCTCACTGCTAGCCTTTTTCCCCTCGTAGCCCCTTCCTCTCTGACGGAGCCCATTTTACTCTGCCACCCCTTTTCCCTTCTGCCCTTCCCCCACTTCCTTTCTTCCTCACCTCCTCCCCCATCTCCTCAGCTTCCTTTCTTACTGTTTCCACTCCTCCCCACCTGTTTCCCTCCTGCCCATTTTCTCACTCTTCCCCTCATCTTGTTTCATTCCCCTCTTTTCTCTCCCTTCTTACCCCCTCCACTCTGATGCTCTCAGGCTTTTTGATTGTGGCCCCTGCAGATGTTTGATGTGAAGGGAATCAGGGCAGCACAGGAGGGCTTCGCCGAGGTGGGGTGAGACTAACTGAGCAAGACTCCACTCCTGAGCCTCACATTCCTTCCCCTATCCCACCCCTCTGCTTCTGACCCTCAGGGCTGCTCAGGAAAATGCCCATGCATCCCTGGGCTTGTGAAAGGGAAGCTACTCTGTGCCCTGTTCCAACTGGTAAGACCTCTCCCACCTCCCAAGCCCCCACTCCCCCATGGCCTCAGCAGTGGGCCCTAGCTGGTCTGTGGGGCTCCAGGTGGCAGGCTTGGCTGCCCTCCCCATGGAAATCCCCACTCCAGGCAGATCCTTCTCCATTTCCTTCTATTGTGGCAGTCTGAAGAGAACCAGAACAGAGCTGGAGGTGACCATGAGGCCTGGGCCCCAGGCATCCCTGAGAGCAGATGGGGGCTCCCAGACCAGGAACACCCACCCCCACTGCACCACACACAGGTGAGAGCAAACTGACTTTCCTTTCTTTCCCAACAGTCCCACTTTAGACTGGGGGTTGTATTGTCTTGAGATCACCCCAACTGGAAGGTGTTTCAGAGATTGCCTTAAAATGCAGGGGCCAAATCTAAGAGAAAAGAGTGGGGTCCCTGGCTTCTCACACCAGCCAAGGACAGAGCACTCTAGCTGCTCTGGGTCCACCAATAATCTCCTACCTTTTCCCTAACTGGGGCCAGTGGGGGCCACTGAGTCACTGGCCTCCTGAGAGGGGACTAAGTCTCATGCATTCTCCCCTGGGAGCTGGGCTCCCCAGATGCATGGCAGGCAGCCAGCCAGCCACCCTCTACCTTTTACCTTCCAGCTGCAGCCATACTTTTGAGATTGGTGGCAGTTTCATCTCCTGAGAAATATAGGTTTCCAGTAGGTGGATAGAGACATGATATAAATGTTTCTACAGACATGTCTTTCTCCTTGAATGAAGAGGAAAGTGCTTTCCTGTGTAAACACATTAGTGAGTGCACATGTGGATGGGCATGGGGAAGAAGGCACTCAGGACTCCCCATAAATGTAGACTCCACATTAGGGCTCTGCTCTTTCAGATCATGTGGTCATTAACACAAGGCTGGCCAACACTCATTCTAAATTCCCTCCCTCCTTCCCCACCCACCCCGCCCCACAATAATGTGAATTACTGGTAGTGACATGAGATTTGGAGAGAAATGTTTATATGATCCAAGATGAAAATTAAGTTCCATGACTATCAGATGCACTATTTCTATAAGGCAATTTATGGGATCATTACAATTAGTCTTGTACAAAGTAGTTCCATAAGGGCCTGTCTAAGCTGTAGTCAGAGAAGAGGGAATAGATTTTATTACCAGAATTGTAATGACTGTGTGTGTTGTTGAAAGTAATAAAACTACATTGAAATATTCTGAAATTTAGACTTTTAAAAACTCCATGTGTCATGCCCTCCACATTAGTATAGTAGAAGGGTGGCCTGTATGTATATATATGTATGTATTGTGCCCCCACATAAGTGAGCATGTACACAGGCAGATGTGAATATCTTATACCTCCCACAACTGGTAAGTCAGTAAGCATGCATGTGAATGGCTGTAGACAGACCTCCTGAGCATTCATGTGCAAAGGTTGCCCCGGTGACACCCTCCTCTGCAAGGAGAGTCCATAGATGAGGAGGTTGAGTTTGGGATGGGGCCCAGGGAGATGTTGCTTTCTCTAAGTTATAATCATAAGTCATGCCTCTGTCTTGGGCTGGAGCACTGGCCCTGTAGTCCACCAGATCTAGGTGTGGAGTCCTGCTGTTTTTGTAGTCTTGTGACTTTGAGCCAGTCTTTCAACCTTGTTAAATGGCTGTTTTCTCACTTACAAAAGAAGATAATAATGGTGTGGACTTTATAGGCCTGCCTTAAAGATTAAGAAAAGCACTTACAGAGCGTTCCACACCTATGAGAGGAGAAACGGTTCTTGCGGTGGCGGCTGGGGGTGTGCGTGGTGAGGGGCGGTTGTTAGGCACAGAGGTGCCGAACCTCTCCTCTAGCTGAGCAGAGATCGGCGGAGAGTTGGGTTCCCAGGCCCTCTGTTTTCCCACTTAGAAAAGCATTATTTAATTGTCCATCAAATTTTGTGTTTTTGGGGGTCTTCAAACAAGGACACTAATTCTTAATCATTAGTTTTAGGAAATACTCTCAGAATGACCAGCAGCCTCCTCTCAGCCTCCCCACTCCCCCAGTAGCCACTCCCGACCCTCTGAAGCTAAAGCAGCCGCAAACAAAACCCGCACTCCAACCCAGCTTCCCACTCCCACAAATGCATCATTTTTAGCTGCTGTAAACAAATCCCTGAAGTCTCATGTCATTGTTATCGTGTTGAGATAAAGATCTGGCCAATTAGCCTCCCCGCTGGAATGCAAATAAATCAGCTGCTGGGGACCTGCCCTGGCGGTGGGTGTCCCTCTCTCACCCAGGCCTTGCCCTGCACCAAACTGTGCCCTCTCTCCTTTTACCTCTGCGGTGGGTGACAGCATCTGGCCATTGGATTTGCCTGGTTTCTTATCTCTCCGCTTGGCCCCACAACTGCTGTGTGACTTTAGGCAAGTCACTTACCCTCTCTGAGCCTGTTTCCTTTCCATAAAGGAGTTACTGGCGGCTACCTTTTAGGGTTGGTAGTGAGTGGCTGTAACAATAGAAATAATACAGCTGACAACAATAACATTAGCAATCCCACCACCAATGACCATACGGACAGAACTAGCTACTGTTCATGGCTTTTCTACAAGCACCAATGGGCTCAGAGGTGAAGAGCCTCCCCTCCCCACCCAGCCCCCACATAAACTGGCAGACCATGGTCAAGAGACTTCTACTGGGCTGGGAGAGTCCGCTGTCTCATTGGGTATGAAGATCCCAGAACATCTCCAGGCTGCTGTAAACTCTTGCTAAGTGTCCGCCATTGTTACTGCTTCTGCTTCTTGCAACAGCTCTTGTCTTTGGCCCTATTAATATAACCATTTCAGAGGAGGGAACTGAGGCTCAGAAGGGTGAGGTAAATTGCCCAAAGTTGTTAAAATTCCTTGCCTTGAACACTCAGCTTCCTCTCTTCCCCCGCGCCACGCAGGGACTGCCTGCCCAGACGCAGTTCTCTCTACTCTGCGAATTCCTGCTCCCTACTCGACAGCCCTCCCCCTCCTCAAATCTTCCTGCAGAGCCCTGACGGTGGTTCACAGCCCCCGAAAAGAATGTGCCCCGGTGACAGGATTGACGGGAAGCTGCCTTGAAAATAAACACTGCCGGACGGTGGGGCGGAGCCTCCTCTAGCCCCCTCCCCTTCCCTCCTACGTGTACCCCCACCTCCGCCCCCCAGAGCAGTTTCCTTTCTCCCTACCTCCGTCCTTCGCTTTCTATTCAGTATGGGGCTGCCAGCCCTCGTCCCCGCCTTCTGAAGTGCCCACTGTCAAGTTAACACTAATCATGATAATAAACTTTCCACCGGTGAACAAAGCGTTCCACACAAAGGTCTCTTCTGATCGCTACATCCCTCGGAGAAAAGTATCATCGCCCCTCCCGCCCCATGTTAGAGCCTTGGACATTGAGGCCCCAGAAATAAAATTATTTGTCCAAGGTCACGAAGCAAGTAAGGAGTGGGTGCAGGACGCCTCCGCTCCACGCCTGGGTGGGCTGGAGACAACGTCCTGCCCCAGCCAGACTCCGGGAACCATGACTCCACGGCCATCCGGCCCCAGGGAGGCGTTTTTCCAAGTGACCCCGCCTCCCCCCGCGACCCCCGCAGGGTTGACCTATTGTCCCGGAGGCCTCGCTCGCCTCCTCCTGGGCGGTATCTGCAACCCCGACGCCAGAGCAGGGCCCGCTGGGAGCCCACTGCTGGGTCCCTGGGAATAGGTCACAGGGCTTTCCAAGGAGGCTCCCCTCCTGCCTCTGTCCTGACCTCTTAGACCACTCTGCCGAGGGAGAAGTAGGAACTTCCCACTGGAAAGCAAACCCCCTGCAGCACGGCGGAGCCGGGAATGCGCTGGAGCTAGCCTTCAGACCTTGGCAGCCAGGCACCCCGGAATCTGCGCAAGTGGCTGCATCTCGGGGAGGCACCGTGCACTTCCTGGAGCAGAGCTGTGGATTCAAATTCTGTCTCCATGGGTCTCCAGGCAAATTCCGTAACCTCTCTGAGGTTTCTGCTTTTCTGACTTGTGGAACTGGGAATACTAGAAGCATCTACCTCTTAGGTCGCCTAAGGATTCAAGGAAATTACCTCTGTGAAGCACTTAGCGTGGTGCCTGGCACAAGAAACGCCCAATAAATGTTAGTTTATTATTATGAAGCCCGGGACAAGTGGAGGTTGATTTTTTTCCGTTTGGGGTGTGGGCTCTGTGTCCTTGCTCACACGGAGGCTGCCGATGTGACCAGGTGGCGCCCTTTGAGGCCTTGGCTGGCCACGGGGAGAGGGGTAGAGTTTTTGAAGAGCCGGGCTCACCCCGGTTACTCTGTTTGGGGCGGGCCCCGGCGGTTACGTTAATGCGAGCTGCGGCCGCCTGGCGACCTCGCTGTGTGCGTCTGTCCTGAGCCGCGTGCGTGTCGCGGCCTGTGAGTGTTAGGAGCCGGGTCCCCTTTGACGCGCTTGAGGGGACCTCACCTGCGCCTGGTTTAGATTTTGGCCGGGACAAGAACCTCAGATTCACCTGACGGATGCGTGGCGTCCACGCTGTGTACACAAACCCCAGCGAGGCTGGAGTCCGGGTGCTCGGTTCATCGAACAATTTGCGCTATTAATGGTTATTTTATTTATATCGTTAGAATTGTTCCCCCGGGTCTGTTTACACCAAACGTCTGGCCGTCCCGGCTGCACTGTTTGGACAGAGGATTATACTAATGGATAACGAGCTAGGAGGGGAGAAGAAGGCGCGGCTGGAAACGGGGCTCCAGGACACCGCGCCGGGTGGGCCTGGAGGGAAAGGGGAGCGGGGCCTCTCCCAGGCTCGACCTCTGACCTTAGAAGGGAAGGAAACTTGTCAGCCGCAATTGGAAACCTTGGCCTCCAGCGGGGTGGAGGCTGGCTGCTCCCGGGACCCCTACCCCTCTTCTCTCTAGGCGGATACCAAACTCGAGGTCGTCTTGCTTGGGTGAGCGCGCGTCAACAAGTAAACAAGACCGGGAGCTACCAGGATGGCGGCCGCTTTGATTTCCTCGCAGTCGGTGACGGCCTGCTTACTGCTTCGGCCTCCAAATCCGGATTAGGGCCAAGCCCCGGGCGCCTGGCGGCCGGCAAGGTTAGAGCTGCCTTCAAAGGGCGGCCGCCCAGCGAGTGCGCACCTCCAGGAGCTGGAGACTCCCTGCAGCGCCCGGCGCAAGGTGCGCACACGCTTACCCACTGCTAGCCCGGGAAAAAAAACGCTACCCGCGCACCCATCCAAAGCAGTGGAAAGGGCGCCATCTGACAATGGGCGAGTTGCCCACTGGCGCCCAGGACCAATGTAGGGTTTCATAGATCTTGGCAGCCTTCAGTTTGAAAAGACTAGGCCTGGAATTCTTGACTTTGGAGACAAGTGTCTTTGCTATAGGGCTAGGGGGTGATGCGTGAATGTAGCTAATCGTTTAGCATTTACTACATGCCAGACACCGTGCCTAGTGCTTTTAGTCTCCACATAATCGTAGGAACGATTATCCCTTTTTACAGAAGAGAAAACAGGAGGCTTCGGTAACCTGAGCAAGATCTCACAGCTAGTAAGTGGTAGAGCCAGGATTCTAGCCATATAGTGTGTCTACAGAGCTAGGGCGGTGGTTCTCACTGTTTTGTGGTTTGAGCACTTGCTTGGGATCCTCTCCCCAGATACGCGTGACCCTTTGCCAACAATTCCAGGGGCTTCAGGGAACCTCCTGGGTCCGGTTATAAAACTTGCATTTGATTTCACGTCAATTTTGAACACAGAATAAGAAGGTAGTAGTTTTTGTTTTACAACTTAAGATTCCTGAAGCTCAGAGGGGTAAAGTCACTTGCTCGAAATTACATTGCTGGTAAACGTGGAGTTAGGCTTTCAGGTTTTTGAGGTTTTGCCTTCGCGAGCACAACTTCTCCAGTCTCTCCAAACCCTGAAGTTCTCCTTTTCCTTCCCGCTTGGCTCCCTATCTCCTCTCTGGCAGGAGGACGTGGTACCAGCCCTTGAGAGGATCTGGGTTTCTTGCGGGGCCTCTGGGAGGTGATCGGTGGCGGGGGCGCAGCGCCAGACCCAGGTTGCCCTGTGCTCTGCGGACCCTGCTGCCACAACGCGCGCTCCGGTGAACGGTTTATCTAAAGACAACTTCTGTTTCTCGTTCGCGGTCTGGAGTCGCCCTGCAGCCAGCAATGAAAAATGCGCCTTTTCCCGAGACTCTGGCGCTGGTGATTTATGTGGGAACGGTGCTCGCCCGCCAGGCCTGGGCTGCTCAGCCTGGCCTAGAGGGTGGAGGGCGGGGGCGCCGGCCTGAAGGAGAACCTGGTGCCCCCGCCCTTCCAGCGCCCGCTTTTACGGCGCCCGTTCCATCCCTACCTCCAGGACATTTTACAGCCGCTCCCCCAGGAAGCCCAGCGCTTTATCGCGGTAAAGTAAACACCATTATCCTAGGTCCATTAACACGGAGATTTCGGCGTTGTAAATAGACCGCGTGAGGGAGAAGGGCAGCCCCTGCGAACTCCCTTGTAAAACGGTGAAGGTTCTCTAAGATTTATGGCTGCTGATTGGCCCCGCAACCTTCTAAGAAATCCCAGGCTTGGCCAAAGCCAGAAGATGGGGCATTCCCCCTAACCTAGAAATCTCGCCCCGGAGTGTTAGGACTGCAAGGGTAGGGGGTCCTCAGGACGTGTCTGGCTCAGTCATTAATTTTCTTTAAGTCACAAGCCTAGGAATGCCGATTCCTTTCCGGCTGTGGATGCAAAGATAAACTCTTAGCAGGAGCTGCCAGCCCAACCACCAGGATGCTTGTGTTCAGGCTTCTTTCTCATTTATAAACTGGATAGTGCTTTCAGCAGCTACTTTAGGAGTCTATAAAGCGGAGGGACTTGTAATTGGTGGGCACTGCCCAAACACCCATTAAGCCAAGGGAGGCATTTGGCCGGCTTGTTTGGCATTACTTCTTTAGCCTCTCTTTCCAAAATGATATGGCCACCATATTTATTCTTGGGCCAGCCTGTAAATATGAAATCATGTAGAGATGATGGTGCTGGCACAAGAGTGGGCAGTCCTAGTTCTCCACCTCTCTGGGTTTCTATTTCTGATGAATATTTTGTGAATGGTTCCAGGAAGTTTCTGCTCATCTGTGGAGTGGTTTTCTTAACCCCTCAAATCAATATTTGTATTAAACAGTGGATTCTGAACTAGGAAGAGTGGCTCAGTTTGACTGGGAAAACAAAGGGACAAGTTGTCCAGGCCCAGGCAAGCTGCAGGAGAACCCAGCCTCTCCTAACCCTTGCCAAAGTCACTTTCAGGACACAGTCCATGCCCAGAGTGGCTCCTTCTTTATCCCTGAGAACTCTGTAATTCTGGTGCAGTCCACCACCTGGCTGAAAGGTTGGGTTCTGGGGAGGAGCAAGAGAAAGAAAATAGAGAGCAGGGTTGCCAGAAATTGTTTCCTGGCGTAACTGGCTCTGCCTAGAGCAGGACTGTTTAAACTTTTTGTGTGTGCATGCCAAGGGCCCCATTGGCAGTCTGGTGAAGCCTATTGACACCCCCCCAGAATAATATTTTTAAATGTATAAAATAAAATACATAGATCACAAAATAAACCAATGACATTAAAATACAATTATAAAAATATATTTTTAAAAATAATGATATGGTAATATACACAATTCTTTATTATTTGATTAAATGACAAAATCTAGCGGCAGATCTGTCTAAACAACAACCATAATTTCAAAGCAGTGATGAGTGTAAATAGAATTTCAAGGTATCTGCCATAGCAGTAATGTTCTCTAACAATATCAATGATTTCTATTGGTGGCGGAGTCACAGGTGCTACTAATACTACTGGGTTTATTGCCTTTATCAAAAGACATTCAGAAGAAATGCTAGGCAGGGTGCAGTGGCTCATGTCTATAATCCCAGCATTTGGGGAGGCTGAGGTGGGAGGATCCTTTGAGCCCAGGAGTTCAGGCCCAGCCTGGGGAACCTAGTAAGATCCCATGTGTACAAAAAATAAAAATAAAAAAATTAGCTGGGCATGGTGGCATGTACCTGTGGTCCCAGGTATTCAGGAGGCTGAGGTGAAAGGATCACTAGAGCCCGGGAGGTCAAGGCTACAGTGAGCCATGATCACTGCACTCCAGCCTGGGTGACAAAGTGAGACCCTGTGTCAAAAAAGAAAAAGAAAGAAAAAGAAAGAAAGAAAGGAAAAGAAAGAAAAGTAAAGAAAGAAAGAGAAAGAAGGAAGGAAGGAAAGAAAAAGAAAGAAAGAAGGAAAAATGTTAACTTCTAGTTACAGCTAATAAAAATAAAAAAGATACACAGGTGACCTCATTTTATTACACTTTGTTTTATTGTGCCTCACAGATAATGCATTTTTAACAAATTGAAGGTTTGTGGCAACCCTTCATTGAGCAAGTCTATTGGTGGCATTTTTCCAAAAGTGTGTGCTCAGTTCATGTCTCTGGGTCACATTTTGGTAATACTTGTACTATTTCAAACTTTTGGATTATTATTCTATCTGTTATGGTGATCTGTAATCAGTGATCTTTGATAATACTATTGTAATTATTTTGGGGTACTATGAACTGTGCCCATATAAAACAGTGAGCTTAATCGATAAATGTTGTATGTGTTCTGTCTGATCCACTGACAGGCCATTCTGCCCTCCCCTCCTCAAACCTCCCTATTCCCTGAGGCACAACACTATTTAAATTGGGCCAATTAATAACCCTACAATGGCCCGTAAGTGTTGAAGTGAAAGGAAGAGTCACGTGTCTCTCTTTTAAATAAAAAGCTAGAAATAGGACTAAGCTTAGTGAGGAAGGCATGTCCAAAACTGAGATAGGCTAAAAGCTAGGCCTCTTGCACCATTTAGCCAAGCTGTGAATGCAAAGGGAAAGTTGTTGAAGGAAATTAAAAGTGCTACTTCAGTGAACATACAAATGACAAGAAAACAAAACAGCCTTATTGCAGATATGGAGAAATTTTGAATGGTCTGGATAGAAGATCAAACCAGCCACAACATTCTCTTAAGCCAAAGCCAAATTCAGAGCAAGGCCCTAACTCTTTAATTCTATGAAGGTGGAGAGAGGTGAGGAAGCTGCAGAAGAAAAGTTGGATGCTAGTAGAGGTTGGTTCATGAGATTTAAGGAAAGAAGCCATCTCCGTAATGTAAAAAAAAATGTAAGGCGAAGCAGCAAATGCTTATGCAAAAGCTGCACTAAGTTATTCAGAAGACCAAGCTAAGTTAATTGATGAATGTGGCTACACTAAACAGCAGATTTTCTTTTTCTTTTCTTTTCTTTTCTTTTTTTTTTTTTTTTTTTGAGACGGAGTCTCGCCCTGTCGCCCAGGCTGGAGTGCAATGGTACGATCTTGGCCCACTGTAGCCTCTGCCTCCTGGATTCACACAGCAGATTTTCAATGTAGATAAAACAGCCTTGTCTTGGAAGAAGAGATCATTGAGGACTTTGATCATGAGAGAGCAGAAGTCAATGCTTGGCTTCAAAGCTTCAAATGACAGGCTGAATCTCTTGTTAGGGGCTAATGCAGCTGGTGACTTTAAGTTGAAGCCAAAGATCATTTGCCATTCCAAAAATCCTAGGGCCCTTAAGAATTATGCTAAATCTACTCTGCCTGTGCTCTGTAAATGGAACAACAAATCCTGGATGACAGCACATCTGTTTATAGCATGGTTTACTAAATTTTTTTTTTTTTTTTTGAGACAGAGTTTCGCTCTTGTCACCCAGGCTAGAGTGCAATGGCACAATCTTGGCTCACCGCAACCTCTACCTCCCAGGTTCAAGCGATTCTCCTGTCTCAGCCTCCCGAGTAGTGGGATTACAGGCATGCGCCACCACACCCGGCTAATTTTGTATTTTCAGTAGAGATGGGGTTTCTCCATGTTTGTCAGGCTGGTCTTAAACTCCCAACCTCAGGCGATCTGCCCACCTCGGCCTCAGTTGAGATCTGCTGCTCAGCAAAAAAAAAAAAAAAAAAAAAAAAAATCAAAATATTACTGTTCATCAACAATGACCCGGTCACCTATAGCTCTTATGAAGAGGTACAAGGAGATTAATGTTATTTTCATGCCTGCTAACACAGTATCCATTCTGCGGCCCATGGATCAAGGAGTAATTTTCATTTTCAAGTCTTATTTAAGAAACTCAGTGTCTAAGTCTATAGCTGCCAATATATAGTGATTCCTCTGATGGATCAGAGCAAAGTCAATTGAAAACCTTCTGGAAAGGATTCACCATTTTAGATGCTGTTAAAAACATTTGTGATTCATGGGAGGAGGTCAAAATATCAACATTAACAGAAGTTTGGGAGAGGCTGATTCCAAGCCTCATGGATTACTTTGAGAGGTTCAAGACTTTGGTGAGGGAAATAACTGTAGATGTGGTAGAAATAGCAAGAGAACTGGAATTAGAAGTGGAGCTGTGACTAAACTGCTGCAATCTGAGGGTAGAGCTTGAATGGATGGCAAGTTGGTTCTTATAGATGGGCAAAGAAAGTGGTTTCTTGGCCAGGCGCGGTGGCTCATGCTTGTAATCCCAGCACTTTGGGAGGCAGGTGGATCACGAGGTCAGGAGATCAAGACCATCCTGGCTAACACGGTGAAACCCCGTCTCTACTAAAAATACAAAAAAATTAGCCGGGCATGGTGGCAGGCGCCCGTAGTCCCAGCTACTCGGGAAGCTGAGGCAGGAGAATGGCATGAACCTGGGAAGGTGGAGGTTGCAATAAGCCGAGATCGCACCACTGCACTCCAGCCTGGGCGACAGAGAAAGACTCCGTCTCAGAAAAAAAAAAAAAAAAAAGAAAGAAAGAAAGAAAGAAAGGGGTTTCTTGGGATGAAATCTGTTCCTGGTGAAGATGCTATGAACATTGTTGAAATGACAACAAAGGATTTCAAATATTCCATAAACTTAGTTGACAAAGCAGTGGCAGGATTTGGGAGAATTGACTCCAATTTTGAAGGAAGTTACTGTAGGTAAAATGCTATCAACCAGCATTGCATGCTACAGAGAAACCTTTTGTGAAAGGAAGAGTCAATTGATATGGCAAACATGATTGTCATCTTCTTTTAAGAAATCGCCACAGCCATGCCAGCCTTCAGCAACAACCACCTTGATCAGTCAAAAGAACCATCAATGTCAAGGCAAAAGCGTCTACCAGCAAAAAGATTATGATTTGCTGAAGTCTCAGATGATCGTTAGCATTTTTTTTTAGCAATAAGGTATTTTTAAATTATGGGATGTACAATCCTCTTGCACACTCAGTAGACTATAATATAGTGTAAACATAACTTTTATTTGCATTGGGAAACAAAAAAATTTATATAACTCACTTTATTGCACCACTAGTTTGATTGCAGTGGTCTGGAACAGAATCTACAATATCTCTGAGGTATGCCTGTATTTTTCCCTTTTTAAGTTCATGTACTTAACTAAGGACCTGGATTTGGTCCTCAGATCCCTTGGGAATTCATAAACTGCCAGGTGAAGAACCTGTGGTCTAGGATCAAAACCTAGATCACTTCATCTGAAAGAGTGATCTTTGGATCATCTGCATCAGAATCTTCTAGGGGTGTTTGTTAGAAGATTCTAGAGTCCCTTCTCCTTCTAAGACCTCCTCTGTGGGTAGATCCAGAATGCTGCATTTTCATCTTAATGCTCAGAGGATTTTTTTCACACAAAAGTGTAAGAATCACTGCATCTGATCCTCACGGATTAGCATCAACACTTTGGTTGGCTGCTTGGATGATGAAAGGAAGATCTCCTTGGAGAGCTGGGAGGTGGGTGGGAAAGCAGGGATTCTAGGCTTTTCTGTGGAGACTGCTTGGAGGTGGTGTACGTGACATTGGTGGGCACAGCAGGTGAGGCATGTGGGAATAGCAGAGATGGAAGTGGAGATGGGGCATCTTGGTGAAGGTTCCCAAAGTGCTGGCAAAGGTTCTGAAAAGACTTCAGGAATTAACTGAAATCAATCCTGTATTTAATCTGAATCCCCATTCCTACCTTGACCCTATATTTTACACACAAGAAGAGAAACTCGTTGAAGACCACATTGTTTGTGGAAGAGGTAGTCCACTAGACTTAAATGCCAAGTTTAATTCTTACGCTTGGTGGTGGTGAGTTCAGAGTGTAATCACATGGTCAGTGGCAAAGGCAGATATAACTTTTTCTTCTTGAAGCACTGGCTTCCATTTGCTTTCAGGTGTTCCTAGGTTCTATCATCCTTTACAGAGTCTTCCTGAGTTGGCATATTTGGAGCTTTCACTCAATGAGTAATTACTTGCCATGGACCAGGTGTTGACCTAGATGCAATGGAAGCTACAGAAATGAAAACAAGAAATGATCACTACTCTTCAGGAATTTTCACAGATACATTCTCCAGTCACTATCAGTTGTTTTGTTTTGTTTTGTCTTGTTTTGTTTTGTTTTGTTTTGTTTTGTTTGAGACAGGCTGAAGTGCAGTGGCATGATCATAACTCACTGCAGCTTCAACTCTTGGGTTCAAGTGGGAGCCTGGCTAATTATTATTTTTTTTCTGTAGAGATGGGAGTCTCATTATGTTGCCCAGGCTGGTCTCAAACTCCTGAGCTCAAGCAATCCTCCTGCCTCAGCCTCCCAAAGTGCTGGGATTATAGGTATGAGCCACCATGCCTGGCCTAATCACAATCAATCTTAAGTAACCTTGATAACCATTCATTCTTTTGATCCAAGCCTAATTTGATATTTGTGCAGTTGCCAAGGCCAAAGTCTTACTGGAAGGGAGGAGAAGAGCTTTTAGTATATTGATTAATTGGGGACCTGTCTTCTCTGTTGTAACAGGTAACTAGTTAGACCATGAGCTTTGATGAACACTGTTACAATGTTTAAGTGTTGAACAAAGTGGGGCTTGTTCCAAATGTTAAGAAATGGGTAAGATACACCCAATAGGACACTTGAATATAGCTATGAAATTGCTAGCCCCAGATCAAGCAAGGGATTATAATTGAAAGCACAGAGTAAACCCAGCTCTAACTAATAAATGTTCACCTGGCATGAGCTTCAACTCTAGCAGTCCTGTTTGCCTTGTTTATATTCTTCCATGTGCTTTCATCAGGGTCTTAGATCACACTCATGATAGCAGGTGGGTCTGTGTGAAGAATTCAGAGATTAATGAAACCATGGCAGAGTGGAAAGGGAATAGGGGCTAGAGACAAAAGATCTGGGTTCCAATTCTGTTTTTGTCACTGAAGAACTTTGTGACTTGGGTAGAAAATTTGAGTTTTCTGTTTGGTAAAATGGGTATAGTAATACCTATTTCATAACCTTTGTTGGAAGGAGTAAGATAATGTGTAATAAAAGTGGTTTGCAAACTGTAGGTTACTATGCAATGTCAATAGCTACTGTGTGCTTTTGGAGCCAGATAAACCTGAATTCTAAACCTGGCATGAACCATTTACTTGCTAAGTAACTTGTCTAAGTTATTTAACTTTCTGAACTTCAGTTTCCTCATCCATAAAGTGGGACTAATACCCACTTATCTGGTTACTGTTCTAATATTTAAATGAGATTGTTGTATGTAAAAGAGTGTCCACCACATTGTAAGGATGCCTACAACCATTCCTAGGTTGTTAATGCTAGGATGGCAGTGGCTGTGTCCTATATATCTTTGTGTTCTTAGAATGTGGCAGAGACTGCTACACATAGTAGACTCTTAATTTTGGTGGAATAAATAACTAAGGAAGCTTTGTATATATATCTCCATGCACAGCATAAGCTACGCTTACACAAAGTATTCATTGGCCAAGCAGAGCTACTCCTGGGTTTATTTCAACCCCAGCTCTACCCTAGTGGGTCATTTGCATTCATCTCTCTCCCTGGAGGAAGATGAGGTCGTGATGAGACTCAGAGTCTGCAGCAGCAAAGGGCTCCAGTACATGGCTTTGGTAAAAGATACAAATTTCTATATTACTATTCCTCAATCAAGCAGTCAATCAACAAATGTTCATTGAGTTACCACTACGTACTAGGCACTCTTCTAGGCGTTGGGGATTCAGCAGACAGACAAGGTTTCTGTCACTAGTCCCTTTAGACAGTAAAGAGAGTGACTTCTAGAGTTTCTGCTTCTTTTCTTGTTTTCTTTTTGAGATGAGTAGATTTGAAGATCTGGAAGTTGAAGCCTGGGAAACTTGTTGCAGTCACTGAGATGGTCTCCATTTGAGGATATTAAGGATCTATGAAGTACTGGAGAATTAAGCATACAGTAGTCACATACACTAGTCAGTAAAGACATAATACACACACACACACACACACACACACACACACACACACACACACACACAGAGAAATTAGTTTTCTATTGCTACTGTAACAAATTTCCACCATGACTTAAAAGGAAAATTCCTGCCCCCTCTCCCATTTTTTTTTTTGTGTATATGGGGAGAAAGTTTTGGATCTACTCTCTTTGCAAATTTCAAGTGTACAATACAGTACACACAGTACCTGACTTACGATGGTTCAACTCACACTTTTTCAACTTTATGACTTTTCGACTTAATGTGTACATTAATATTCATCCAGCCATTCTTTTTTTTTTTTTGCTTTCAGCACAGTATTCAATAAATTACACGAGATATTCAATACCTTATTATAAGATAGGCTTTGTGTTCAATGATTTTGCCCAACCTAGGCAGAAGTGTTCTGAGCACGTTTAAGGTAGGCTAAGCTAAAGCTATGATGTTTGGTAGGTTAGGTATATTAAATTCATTTCTGACATGATATTTTCAATTTGTGATGAGTTTATCAGGGTGTAACTGTATTGTAAGTTGAGGAACATCTGTATTATTAACTATATTCATCATGATGTACATTAAATCCCCAGAACTTATTTATCTTGTAACTAAAGTTCATACCCTTTGACCAGCGTCTCCTCATTTCCCCCAGTCCCCAGCTCCTGGCCACCACCATTCTTCTCTCTTTTTCTATGAGTTCAGCTCTTTTAGATTCCACATATAAGTGAGATCATACAGTATTTGTCTTTCTCTGTCTGACTTATTTCACTTAGCATAATGCCCTCAGAGTTCATCCATGTTGTTGCAAATGGCAGGATTTCCTTCTTTTTTATGGCTGAATAATATTCTATGTATCTATAAATCGCAATTAAAAATTTGTTTACAAAATTTGTATGGGTACATAGCAGGTGTGTATATTTATGGGGTACATGAGATATTCTGATACACACCTACAATGTGTAATAATCACATCTCACATCAGGGTAAATGGGGTATCCATCACCTCAAGCATTTATTCTTTTTTGTGTTATAAACATTCCAATTACCACTCTTAGTGATTTTTACAATGTACAATAAATTACTGTTGATTGTAGTCACCCTGTTGTGCTGTCAAATACTAGATCTTATTCATTCTAACTATATTTTTGTACCCATTAACCACCCCCACTCCTCACACCCACCCACCACTCTTCCCAGCCTCTGGTAACCATCATTCTACTGTCTGTCTCCATGAGTTCAATTGTTTTAATTTTTAGCTCCCACAAATGAGTGAAAACATGAAAAGTTTGTATTCCTGTGCCTGGTTTGTTTCGCTTACCGTAAGGACCTCCAGTTCCACCCACGTTGTTGTAAATGACAGGATCTCATTATTTTTTATGGCTGAATAGTACTCCATTGTGTATATGTATCACACTTTCTTTATCTACTGGTTGTTGATGAACATTTACATTGATTCCAAATCTTGGCTATTGATATGGTTTGGTTGTGTCCCCACCCAAATCTCACCTTGAATTGTAATAATCCCCACGTGTCAAGGGCAGGACCGGGTGGAGACAATTGAATCATGTGTGCAGTTTCCCCCATACTGTTCTTGTGGTAGTGAATGAATAAGTCTCAGAAGATCTGATGGTTTTATAAATAGAAGGGCCCCTGCACAAGCTCTTCTTGTCTGCCACCATGCAAGATGTGACTTTGCTCCTCCTTTGCCTTCCACCATGATTGTGAGGCCTTCCCACCCATGTGAAACTGTGAGTCAATTAAATCTCTTTCCTTTATAAATTATCCAGTCTGGGTATGTCTTTATTAGCAGAGTGAGAACTGCTAATACAACTATTGTGAATAGTGCTGCAATAAACATAGGAGTGCAGATATCTCTTTGATATACTGATTTCCTTTCTTTTGGGTATACATTAATACCTAGCAGTGGGGTTGCTGGATCATATACTAGTTCTGTTTTTGTTTTTCGAGGAACGTCCATACTGTTCTCCATAGTGGTTGTATTAATTTACATTCCTGCCAATAGTGTACAAGGGTTCCTTTTTCTCCTCATCCTTGCCAGCATTTGTTATTGCCTGTTTTCAGGATATAAGCCATTTTAACTGGGGTGAAATTATATCTCATTATAGTTTTGATTTGCATTTCTCTGATGATCAATGATGTTGAGCACCTTTTCATATGCCTGTTTGCTATTTATATGTCTTCTTTTAAGAATCCCAGCAGTTTGGGAGGCCAAGGTGGGTAGATCACCTGCGGTCAGGAGTTCGTGACCAGCCTGGCCAATATGGTGAAACCCTGTCTCTACTAAAAATAAAAAAATTAGCTGGGCGTGGTGGCAGAAGCCTGTAATCCTGGCTACTGGGGAGGCTGAGGCAGGAGAATCACTTGAACCTGGGAGGCGGAGTTTGCAGTGAGCCGAGATCATACCATTGCAGTCCAGCCTGGGCGACAAAAGCAAAACTCCATCTCAAAAAAAAAAAAAAAAGAAATGTCTCTTCAGACCTTTTGCTCATTTAAAAAATTGGTAATTAAATTTTTTCCCATTGAGTTGTTTGAGCTCCTTGTATCTTCTGATTATTAATCCATTGTCAGATAGATAGTTTGCAAATATTTTCTCCCATTGTGTGAGGTCTGTTCACTTTGTTAATGGTTCTTTTGCTGTACAGAACACAATTTCTTCTGTCTTTCATCTGTTGGAAATGCAAATTTTTAATTTTACAATTCTGTAGGTCAGAAATCTGACACAGATCTCACATGGCTAAAATCAAGGTATAAGCTTTTCTGGATGCTCTAGGGAAGAATCCATTTCTTTGAATTTTCCAGCTTCTGGAGGCTACCCACATTCCTTGGCTGGTAGCCCCCTGCCTCCATCTTCAAAGCCAGCCATGATAGGCCAAGTCCTCATGCTGCCATCTCTGTGGTTCTCTCTCTGACCTTATGTAGTCACATCTCTCTGTGACCACAGATTGGAAAAGTTCGTTGCTTTTAAGAATTGATGTGGTTGTGCATGGTGGCTCATGACCATAATCCCAGCACTTGAAGCTGAGGCGGGTGGATCACCTGAGGTCAGGAGTTTGAGACCAGCCTGGCCAACATGGTGAAACCCCCGTCTCTACTAAAAATACAAAAATTAGCCAGGTGTGGTGGCGGGTGCCTGTAATCTCAGCTACTTGGGAGGCTGAGGCAGGAGAATTGCTTGAACCCGGGAGGCAGAGGTTGCAGTGAGCCAAGACTGCACCACTGCACTCCAGCATGGGCAACAGAGTGAGACTCTATCTGAAAAAAAAAAAAAAAAGAAAAGAAAAAAAAGAAAAAAAAATTGATGTGATTGAATTGAGTTCGCCTGGGTAATCCAGGTTAATTTCCTCATATCAAGGTCAGTACTCCTAATCACAGTGCAAAATTTTGCTATGTAAGGTAAAATATTCACATCTTCCAGAGATTAGGGTGTGGCATCTTTGGAAACCACTCTTCTGCCTATCAGGGAGTGGGAGAAGGAGGAGGATGGGGCAAAAGGATTTCCCTGATGTCTTTACCAGAAAAATGGGCTTTCAATAACTGAAAAGTTAAGAATTAAGAATGCAGCTAAAGGTCAACTTTTTCTAGTAAGCTATATTACACTCTGCTGCTTAGTCAGCAGCTGAATACATAAGACATGACACTCAAGGCACGAGTCAGCTCTATTAACTTCTGCCCCCTTCTCATCCAGGAGCCCCTGCTACACACAAGCCATCTAGGTGCAGGCAATCAGATCTGTGTTAATTGCCCTTTAATCTTTGTTATGTTTTCATGTTTCTATCTGATGTCAGATGAGCCCCAGGTGGTAGAATAGCTGAAGTTTGTCTTCAGTGCTACCCTTGTCTTCACCCTACCACTAAGCAGACTCTTCTGCTTAAAAGCACACACACAACTATCTGAGGATATTTCTTTCTTTCTTTCTTTCTTTCTTTCTTTCTTTCTTTCTTTCTTTCTTTCTTTCTTTCTTTCGTTCTTTCGTTTTTTCTTTCTTTTCTTTCTTTCTGTCTTTCCTTCCTTCCTTCCCTCCCTCCCTCCCACTTTCTTCCTTCCTTCCTTTCTTTCTTCCTTCCTTTCTTTCTTTCTTTCTTTCTTTCTTTCTTTCTTTCTTTCTTTCTTTTTCTTTCTTTCTCTCCTTCTCTCTTTCTCTCTTTCTTTCTTTTACAGCGTTTCACTCTTGTTGCCCAGGCTGGAGTGCAATGATGCAATCTTGGCTCACTGCAACTTCCGTACCCCAGGTTCAAGCGATTCTCCTGCATCCGCCTCCTGAGTAGCTGGGATTACAGGCACCTGCCACCACGTTCGGCTAATTTTTTGTATTTTTAGTAGAGATGGGGTTTCACCATGTTGGCCAGGCTGGTCTCGAACTCCTGACCTCAGGTGATCTGCCCACCTTGGCCTCCCAAAGTGCTGGGATTACAGGCATGAGCCACCAGGCCTGGCCTATTTTTTTCTTTTTAAAGGTATACATATGGGGAAAGACTGGAAGAGAACACTCTAAAATAACAGTAATTGTTAGGTGGTGAAACTGTGGATTTCTTTCTTATTTCTCTTCTAAATATTATCTAACATTCTTTGTATTTATCAATAAAATATATATTCACAAGTGTCAGCCATTTGATGGAGAATGATTTTCAATATGGAACTGAGAGTTGGAAGCCAAATCCTAGATTTTATACTTTTATATCTGAGGAGGCAGCCTTGCTCAGAAGTGAGAAATATGAGAATCATGTGTAGCTGAGTTGGAGTTCTAATTCCTCCATGTACAACCTAGTTGACTCCCTGCAGATGACTTCATTTCCTCAGCTGTAAAATGAGAAAACTCAGTGGTTTACCTTATAGTGTTACTGTAGGAACTAAATTACAGATGCATGAAAACTTCTTGGGCTGGTATCTGGCATGTAATAGGCCCTCAAAAAACATAAATGTTATTTTTAGAACTCAACCATTGCTTAATCCAGCCCTCAAAGCAAATATAAAATCCATTATCAGAGAGAACAGGAGTGGTCATACTCCTAGTTTCTGAATGTGATAATTATGAACAAGCAGAATGTTTCCACTTGAGAACCTTCAATTTGAGTGAAATCTCATAAATGACCTAATCATATACACTATTTGCAATGCAGGATATTAAAGCAAATAAAAAAACAGCCTTCCAAATTTATTTACTTGTTAGTTATGGTGCACTTAGTATATTCCGGCCCCTCTAGAGACAGATTTCTGTTCCCAGGAACTTATAGTGTACCAGAGAGAAAAGAAATGAGCACATAAAAAGCTTTAAAAAGAGGCAGAGTAGCTGGCCTGGCATGGTGGCTGACACCTGTAATCCCAGCACTCTGGGAGACCTAGGTAGGTGAATCTCTTGAGCCCAGGAGTTTGAGACTAGCCTGGTCAACATAGTGAAACCCCATCCTTACAAAAAAACACAAAAATTAGTCAGGCATGGAAGCACACACCTGTAATCCCAGCTACTCTGGAGGCTGAAGTAGAAGGATCACCTGAGCCCAGAAGGTGGAGGTTGCAGTGAGCCATGATCACACCACTGCACTCCAGCCAGGGCAACAGAGTGAGACCCTGTCTTGGAAAAAAAAAAAAAAAGCCAGAGTAGACAAGAACTCTGGATTCTGGAAGGTTAGAGGAGAGGGCTTCTCTGCAGAGGTCAGGGAATGATTCATGGAGGAGGTGGGGTTTGAACTGGACCTTCAAGGAAGTGTGTGGTTTTGACAGGGTGATGAGGTGGTGAGAAGACATTCTGAATTTCCCTGCAAGCATTTTCACATACAAGCTGTTACCAACACAAAGATTCAGTCATGTCATTCCCCAGAGTCATACTCTTTGAAATAGGGAAGGGTTTCAATGCAATATTACATGGTTCCTAAAATGATAAGTATGCAAATAATTTAACGTAAGATGCTTATGTTAAACAGTTCTCACAAAAGAATATATCAGGCCGGGCGCGGTGGCTCATGCCTGTAATCCCAGTACTTTGG
Source organism: Homo sapiens (assembly GCF_000001405.40). Taxonomy (NCBI): domain Eukaryota; kingdom Metazoa; phylum Chordata; class Mammalia; order Primates; family Hominidae; genus Homo; species Homo sapiens. The sequence goes on along the minus strand of NC_000010.11, from coordinate 99,506,374 downwards.
GAAGCCGAGGCAGGCGGATCACGAGGTTAGGAGATCGAGACCATCCTGGCGAACACTGTGAAACTCCGCCTCTATTAAGAATACAAAAAAAATTAGCTGGGCGTGGTGGCAGGTACCTGTAGTCCCAGCTACTCGGGAGGCTGAGGCAGGAGAATGGCATGAACCCAGGGGGCGGAGCTTACAGTGAGCCGAGATTGCGCCACTGCACTCCAGCCTGGGCAACACAGCAAGACTCCGTCTCAAAAAAAAGAACATAGCAAAAATGTATGCACAGTATCATCTCAGTTATGTCAAGTACACAGAAAAAAGATGAAAGGAAATACTTGAAAATGTTAATACCTGTGACTAGGTATTAAGAGTATGGATTTTTTCTTCTATGTAGTTATTGTGCGTATGTGTGTACTAAATAGAAAGGAGTATATAAAACATATGCTCAGTTTTAATAACAACGAGAATATAAACACATAACTTACCACCCAGGTAGAGAAATAAACCATTGCTGGGACTTGGAAGTTCCCTTCTTTCATAGTGTGCCTTCCTTTACCCCCAGATATTATTGTGTTGTCTATTTCCTTAGAATTTTTCAATCTGTGTCTCTCTAAACACCCTATTGCCAAAGTTCTCGGGAAAAAACCTGAGTCTCAAACATAAATCTAGCTGCCTATGAAAAGAACAATATTGTCACTATTAGATGATGGAGCTATGGAGGAGATAAGGTGAACAGAGCCTCGGAGTCATAGTCCTGCTGTAGCTTTCCCGAGAGTTTACCTGCACCATCTTGGACGAGACAATGGGCAAGACCCCTCTTCATGGGAACAAAACTGTTCTTTTAGACTCTCCATCAGTCTCTTCGGGACTGCCTTTACCCCTCTCCGATGCTGGCTCACTGCTTTCCTGTGTCCCACATTCTTTTCATGATTACTGCCTTATTTCGTAGGAACACTGCTTCCAAGAGCTTTTTGAAAAAGGGAGGATACATGGGATATCAACAATCTAAGACCCTGAATAGCTTAGAATTACTTTTATTCTACCCTCATCTTTAGTAGATGGATTGTCTAGATCTAGAATTTTTGTTTGGAAAATGATTTTTCTTCATTATTTGGAAATCTGTCTGTCTCCCCTTTTTTTGAGACAGAGTCTTGCTCTGTCACCAGGCTGGAGTGTAGTGGCACGATCTCCACTCACTGCAACCTCCGCCTCCTGGGTTCAAGCAATTCTCGTGCCTCAGCCTCCCGAGTAGCTGGGACTACAGGTGCACACCACTATGCCTGGGTGATTTTTTATGTATGTATGTATGTATGTATGTATGTATGTATGTATGTATGTATGTATTATTTATTTATTTATTTATTTATTTTTAGACAGAGTCTCATTCTGTCACCAGGCTGGAGTGCAGTGTCACGATCTTGGCTCACTGCAACCTCCACCTCCCGGGTTCAAGCAATTCTCCTGCCTCAGCCTCCCGAGTAGCTGGGACTACAGGCGCGCCACCACGCCCAGCTAATTTTTGTATTTTTAGTAGAGACTGGGTTTCACCATGTTGGCCAGGATATTCTCAAACTCCTGACCTCATGATCCGCCCGCCTTGGCCTTCCAAAATGCCGGGATTACAGGCGTGAGCCACCGCGCCCAGCCTTTCCCCTTTTTAAATTCTTTTCTTTTTAGAGATAGGGTCTCACTATGTTAACCAGGCTGTTCTCAAACTTTTGGCCTCAAGAGATCCTCCTGCCTCAGCCTCCCAAAGTACTGGGATTACAGGCTGAAAACATTGTTCCATGGTCTTCTAGCTTCCCATGTTAAGTGTTGAGAAGTCCTAATCTTCCCTAAATCACCTTTGCTTTCTCTGGACTCTTGTAGAAGCTTTCTTTCCCCTCAATATTGTGAAATTCCACCATAATGTGCCATCCTGTGGGTCTATTTTCATCTGTTGTGTTAAGCACTTGGGGGATCCTTTCTGCTTATCAATTCATGTCCCTCGGTTTGCTAAATGTTTTCAGGTTATTTTATTGGTTTTTGTCCCCTCTATTTTTTTATTTTCCTCTTCAATTATTTGGATATTGGGTCTTTTGGGGTGGCCTTTCTTTTTTCTTATTTTGTCATTTTTTTTAACCTCTTTGACTTTTTGCTTAACTTTCCGGAAGACTTTCTATGTAGTATACTATTCAATAGCTGAGTTTTTCATTGTTGCTTTCATGTTTTTAATTTTATGAGCTCCTCTTTATTTTGTTCTCTGAATGCTACTTTGTTGAAACACAACATTCTGTTCCTGTTTCCTGGTTGCAATATCTTCTTTCTCTTAAGGTAATATTGATAGTTTTGTTTTCTTCTCTCTGCATAATTGCTGTATCTTTCAAGTTACATTTGACTTTTTTTAATCTTTGTATTTCATGATAATGGCTTTCCTTGGATGTCTCGTGCTACTTGGATGTATGTAGACTTCTGATTAAGATCTGATCTAAATGTGCTGATGGGAACCTCGAAGAAGAGTGGGACTTCTGACTCTGAGCCTCACTGTATTGTGATTTGGGTGAGCTGTTTGTTGCATAACGTTCAATGTCAGAATCTGTAGGTATTTCCTCTTGGTCTGGTCAAATTCTCAGGGAGGCATCTTCCATTTTTCATGCCTGATGCAGCTTGTTCTGAGACTTTGAGGATTCTATGGTACACATTGGACTGGCTCTCAGCTTTCCCCATTGCTAGCTTGGAATTCAGCTTCTTGATTCTATTACTTCTACCTTGTCTTATAATTGGGAGGTGAAAAAAACTAAATAGCAAACAAACAAACAAAGGTAGGGCTGTGGTGTGAGGTTAAATTCTGGATCCTAACATAAAATTTTTATTTCAGAAAAGAGCCAGACCTATGTAAGAAGCTGCAAAAATCAAGGACATTATGTATGTCTAGCTGTTCAGCTAACTTTTCAGTCACTTGGGGTAATAGAGGAAATCCTGGATTTCTAGAACAGCAGAATGTTAGAATTGGAAGGCACCTTGGGGCTAATCAAGATGACACATGTGCAGAAAAACCCCCAAGCCAATCAGCCTATATTTGCTCCAGATGGCATTCTCTGAGCTTTGTGTTTGCCTGGCCTAAGGACAGCTAGCTCCAGAGCCTTAAGTACACAACTCCCAAGAGGAGAGGGGGACCCCAGAAGTCTGGGATCTTGAAGGAAAGGAGACGTTAACAGGTGATCTGCCCAATGGATTATGTACTCACACAGGCACCAAAGCAAACTGTATACAAGTTGCCTCATCAGGTTTTGCCCCTTTCAGTAAAGTTCTGAGTATTTGGAAAAGGCTTGGTCCTGGAGGGGAGAGTCGAAGCATGATTATAAGGAAGAATGATGGAGAAACCCGTCATCTCCCATTGCGCTACCATGGGTAACGCAAGGCTAGAACCCTGATTTCCAAACCCATCATTAAAACCTGTGCCATGGGGCAAATAGTAAAACCTATTGTTATAATACTTCTAGCAGCCTCGATTGGTAGAATCATGGTAAAAAAAAAAAAAAAAAAAAAAAAAAAAAAAGGAACCAGAGGCTTTTAAGATGATCTTAGATGTCATTCTGGTTGTTCTTTCTCTTGTAATTGCACTCATTTGGAAATGTACTTACCTGATGCCATACCCTCCCTTTTTTGTTTTAGCATATTTTGTATTTTTTTTTTTTTACTGGAAAATCTGCTAGACAAATTCTAAAAGAGCTGTAACCCTATTTTTGTATTTTGTATTTAATTGTAATTATATTTATATGAATGGGCATTAAATTCATGTTTTTCTAATTTCAAAATGTGTAAGTATCCTAATTTTCCCACATACCCAGCCCCCCAGTTTCCTTCTCTAGAGTCCACCAATGTTATCAGTTTTTAAAATGTATCTTTCAGAAACATTTTATCCACATACAATAAGCACATATTCCTTTTTTCTTCCTTTTTACCTTTTGCACAAATGGTAGCATTTTATACAAGGTTTCTGCACCTACCTCCCCACCAAATACCACTTACTGTTGCCTCACATACTTCTGCATAATAGTCCACTGTATGGATGAACCATGATGGATTCAGCCAGTCCATTATCGATGACCCCCTGGGTTATTTCATCTCCACTTTTTCTTTTTGGGGCTTTATTTTCTTTCTTTCTTCTTTTATTTATTTCTGAAAAATAGGACATAAATATTTAGAATCTTTTTTGAGATGAAGTCTCGCCCTGTTGCCCAGGCTGGAGTGCAGTGGCATGATCTCGGCTCACTGCAACCTCTGCCTCCCTGGTTCAAGCGATTCTCCTGCCTCAGCCTCCCGAGTAGGTGGGATTACAGGTGCCCACCACCACGCCCAGCTAATTTTTTGCATTTTTAGTAGAGACGGGGTTTCGCTATGTTGGCCAGGCTGGTCTCGAACTCCTGACCTCGTGATCCACCTGCCTCGTCCTCCCAAAGTGTTGGGATTACAGGTGTGAGCCACCGTGCCCAGCAAACATTTAGAATTTTAATAGTTATTGCCAATTTACTCACTAAAAAGATTATAATAGTTTACATTCTCATCAAATAGGAATGGAAGTGCCTGTTTTTTTCATAGTTTCACCAAGACAGGTTATCCTCAGTCTCTGAAATATTCATCTAATAGGTGTTATTTATTGAATTTTAGATAGCATTTTCTGCAATTTAAACAAAAAGCAAATAATTATCTGATAAAAATTACAAAATAGGAAAAGCAAAATAAGATGATTTTTAAAAATCACAATCCCACCCAGCAATAACAAAGTGATAACTTGGTGGGTGTTTACTGCCAGTGCTACAATTTATATTCCTTTTCTTCCTTTTTTTTTTTTTTGGTACAAGTATGGTAACGTACTCTATTTATTGTTTCATAGCTTATTTTAAAAGTTAATAGCATATGATGAATATTTTAATATTTTTAATTACTTCTGTCTTTAATATATTCAGATTTTTATTATACAAATTTTGAAACATGTAAAAGTAGATAGAGCATCATAATGAGCATCCACATATCCACTACCTAGATTTAAAAATTATTAACATTTTTCCATTTCATTTCATCTTTGTCTTTGCTGAGTATTTTAACACACTTTCCAACTACCACATTTTACCTAAATATATTTACAGATATTTCTAGATTTTAGTAGACCACTATTCCTCAGTTCTCTTCATAATCTGATACCATTACAAGTGATTATATACATATATGTGATTATGTTATATAATATATAATTATGCATATATCTAATAGGTGTAATTTGTTTATTTTTAAAAATAATCTTAGATGTCATTCTAAGATGACATTACATATATAATATACATATTATATAATATATGTATTTTATATGTACATATACATATAATTATAGATATGTATTATACATACATGTAATTATGTGATAGAGTTACAGGGCTGCTCTGAGGCAAACCAGCAGAACCAGGCAGGTTCCTTATCCTTCAATACCAAGCACCCTTGTCCTTTCTCTTAGAGAACCAGCAAAACCATTTACACAAAGTTGCTGGGAACATAACCAAATAATACATATTGAAGAGCTCATAGGTCTTTTAAAATTTCTCTTCAAAGCAACATTAGCTGTGAGGTAGCTAGGGAAGAATTAATATCCTTGTTTTAAATACCAGAAAACAAAGGTTCCACGAAGCTCAGGACTTGCTGAAAGGCGACACACTAAAGAACAGAGTTGGGATTCAAACTTGTCTTCTTACTTTAAAACCACGTCCTTCCTCCTAAGAATTTTGCATCTTAAAAGAAGACTGCAGGAGATGGTGGTACTTTACACAATATGATGATTTGATGATGTGGAATTTTGGGCTTTGGAGGAAGGTATTTGGGTAAGGAACTACCTTTTCAAAGACTCCAGTCTCCCTGCCTACCCTACCAGGAGTTTGAGATGAGCTGATGAGGATCTGCCTTGGAGAAAGAACTGGTTGGGGAGATCTTGCAAAGAAAGAGCTATGGGATGTAGGGATTTACTGGACATTGGAAAAGAGGAAGAAGCATCAGGGAAGATGCCAAGGTTTGAGCTGGGATGAAAGGAAGAATTCAGGCTTGGAGCTGATTATGGGGAAGTGGCATGCTGCTTCCCATCCATTTCACATGCTGCTTTTGGAAAAACCTCTAGATAGAGGTGTTGAGTTGTCACTTGGAGAAGCAGGATTACAGTTCAGAAAAAATATCTATAATAATAGGATAATAGATAATATAATATATTATCTATAATGAGTCCTAACTGTAGAGTTAGGACTCATTGAGATAGAGGTGATGGTAGGTAAAGGCCATGGCAGGAGATGAATAGAGACAGAATTGAGAGTAAGATGTGGAGAGGCCAAGGATGAAGTCTTTTTTTCTTTTCTTTTCTTTTTGAGAAGCAGTCTCACTGGGTCACCCAGGCTGGAGTGCAATGGCGCAATCTCGGCTCACTGTAACCTCCACCTCCCAGGTTCATGCAATTCTCATGCCTCAGCCTCCCAAGTAGCTGGGATTACAGGCACTCACCACCACACCCAGCTATTTTTTTTGTATTTTTAGTAGAGACGGGGTTTCACCATGTTGGCCAGGTTGGTCTCGAACTTCTGACCTCAGGTGATCCACCTGCCTGGGCCTCCCAAAGTGCTGGGATTACAGGCGTGAGCCACCGCACCCGGTAAGGATGAAGTCTTAACGTAGAGTCATGTTTAGGGTCATCAGAAGAAGGAAGTGACAAATGAAGGAGACAGAGAAGAAGCACTGGAGAGAGAGAATGAGAGGATAGTGTAGTACCACCAAAGTCAGATGAAGAGTCCCACCAAAGAAGGCAGGGCTTGGTCAAAAGACCAAAGGTGGCCCGGCTGAGGCAGGCGGATCACAAGGTCAGGAGTTCCAGACCAGCCTAACCAATATGGTGAAACCCTGTCTCTACTAAAAATACAAAAATTAGCCGGGCGTGGTGGCACACGCCTGTAATCCCAGCTACTCAGGAGGCTGAGGCAGGAGAATCACTTGAACCCAGGAGGCAGAGGTTGCGGTGAGCCAAGATCACACCATTGCCCACTAGCCTGGGCAACAAGAGCAAAACTCCGCCTCAAAAAAAAAAAAAAAAAGGCCTATGGTTACAGGACATCAAGGAGGATGACAACTGAGAGAAAAGGCCATTAGATGTGATAAGAGCTGAAAGCATGTTTTGCACTGAGTGTTTTTGGGGAAAATCAGGTTGAAGGATTATGAAAGGGGTGCAGTATGGATAAAATAATATATCACTCCATCACCTTATGCGCCTCCACAGGGGTGATCAGCCCCTGACCATGGCAAGGCAGTGGGACATACACTCCTCTCTCTCTGCTGCTCCAAGCCCTAGCTTCCATTCTCTTGCAGGTACATATTGCACCAAATCTGTTGTAGTTCCTTCAAACTTCCTTCTTCCTAAATAAAAACATTGACAAAGGTTACAATACTCTTTGCCCTCTACCGCCCAATTACCTAAATAGCTGCGTGATTCAAAATTTCATAAGGAAGGCCCTGGCAATAATGCGAAGGGAATGGAGAGGAGAAGGGAGAATGAGGGAGACTGTGTGTTTGTATGTTTAATTAAGATATACTATGCACATACAGGAAAGTACACAAATCTTAAGTGCACAGCTTGATGAATTTTTACACAATATATACTGTATAACCAATATCCAGACCCTGATATAGAACATTTCTAGTATTCTGGAGGGCTTCCTCCATGTTCCTCTCTGTGATTATGGAGAACTTATCCAACTCCAGAGAGGAGAATTGGATAAGTTCTCTCCCCATGGGGGAGAGAAGGAAGGGGCAAGTGTTGGGAGCAGCAGAGGAAATAACTTTTTGATATTCACACTCCTAGATAATATCTGCATCAATTGTCCTGTTTTTAATGTTTTGGCTGCTCCTGAGAAGCAGGATAGCATGATGGTAAACAGTGTGGACACTGGGTTGCTGCAGGGTTTGAATCTCAGTTCTACCACTTACTGGCTTTGTGACCGTTCATAACTTATACAGCATACCTCAATTTCCTCATCTGTAAAATGAGGCAGTAATGATACCTACCTGATAGGATGAGGGAGAGGATTGAATGAGACACTGAGAAAAGTGCCTGGCACATGTTCAGCATTCAATACATGTTAGCTCTTTTTAAACCATTAATGGGAATTCCAGGTGCACTACCAGAGCCAATGGAGCATATATGTTGTGGGTGGGTCATGTTGACCCTTCAAATCTCATCCTTAGCTATATCTATAATACCGCTTATAAGGAACCAGGGTTTTTCACTATGTCTCCCTTCTCTTACATGGGTACACACTCTTTTCAGGATTCAGTCTCTCCCTGGCATCTTTGATCTAGCCTATCCCTGAGCTCTGCACATGCAGCTGAGGGAGTGGAAATGCCAAGCCTAGCTCTGGTGGTGACCTTATCAAGACCTTTCCAACATACTTGCTGGGTCATCGGAAAGGCTTGCTCACTGTGCAGTCCAGCCAGCTTCCAAGGAATTCATCAGTGGGCTGGAATTGGGGTGTGTGTGACCTCGGCTGCTCCCATGGCTTGCCCCTTCCTTCTCCCCACCCTGACTTCACTTCTGGAGTTGGACCAGTTCTTCACAATCGCGGCCAGGGTGACAGCAAGGTGTGATGGATGGACAAGGAGCCACAGAGTGGCAGGGTGCTTGGTCAGAAACTCAAGGCTGTGTTTATGAGAAGGAAGAGGCTGTTTCCTGGAGCAAGCATAATGCAGCTCTAAAAAAGGCAGGGGAAATACATCATGCAAGGGAGCATAACCCTGGGAGGGCCGCTGGGAATCAGAGTACCAGAGAAGCCCTGGCAGGTCAAGGTGCCTCTGACAAGGCCTTTTTTATAGGCCATTTGCGTGAGGGTTTGCTGCTGTTCCCTGCAGAGCTGACAGCCACTCAAGGTCTCAGTGGGAGCTTGGGAGCTAATCTTAGCTATTGCTTTCCAGACCTTCTCCACTGGTCCTGCTGATGCATTTGGAAAAGAAATAACAAACTCTATTGTTTTAAAAAACTGCAAAAAATGACCATTTTGGCTATTGACTCTTGCATTGCTGCAAATAGATTGGGATCACCAGCTCCTTCCTTTCCCTCCAAACCCAGGGCAAAAGAAAGTTTAACTGGATTCTCCCTGTGGTTAAGAGAGGTACCAAAATGTGTTTTCTCCAAAGAGTCTTAACAGCTGTTTATCCCTAAAGCATCCTTGCTCCCCTGATTTCCTTGAAGATCCTACTGTGCTATAAAGGAGCCTCTGGATAAAATGAGCACTCTGTGTTGGTTTCCTGTGGCTGCTGTAACAAATGGCCACAAACTTAGTGGTTTATACAACAGAAATTCATCCTCTTACAGTTCTGGAAATGCAAAGTCCAAATTGAGTCTTATGAGGTTAAAATCCAGGTGACAGTAGGACTGGTTCCTTCTGGAGGCTCCAGGGGAGAATCTGTTTCTTGCCTCTTTCAGCCTCTGGTGGCTGCTGTTATTTCTTGGCTTGCAGCCCCTTCCTCCATCTTCAAAGCCAGTGGCATAGCATTTTCTACCTCTGAGCCTGCCTCCCTCGTCTTCTGTCATGTGTCTCTTCTGTAGTCTAATCATCCTCTGCCTCCCTCTTATAGGACACTTGGGATTAATTTAGGGCCTACCTGGATGATCCAGAATAATTTCCTCATTTCAAGATCCTGCAAAGACCCCTTTGCCCATGCAAGGAAACATTCACAGGTTCCATAGGGTGAGAAATTGGATTTTTTGGGGGGCTGTGATGTTTTATGTTATGTGTCAACTTGACTGGGCTAAGGGATGCCCAGATAGCTGGGAAAACATTATTTCTGGATGTGTCTGTGAGGGTGTTTCTGGAATCAGTAGACTGAGGAAGGAAGACCCATCCTCACCCATGTGGGGGTGCATCTCCAACCTGTTGAGCGCCTGAGTAGAAGAAAAAGTGGAGGAAAGGGCAAATTTGCTCTTTCTGCTTAAACTGAAACATCCATCTTCTCCTGCCCTCAGACATCAGATAACGACGCTCTTGGTTCTCAGGCTTTAGGGCTCAGACCAGCACTTACTCCATCAGCCACTCAATTCTCAGGCCAGATGGCAGATTATGGGACTTAGCCTCCATAGCCGCATGGGCCAATTCCTGCAATAAATCTCCTCTCTCTCTCTCCTCTCATATATATATATAGCTTTTCCAAAAAAGCATCTTAAAAATTGAATCCGATTTGTTTTTTAGTTTAAGCATGTACTTTCAAGCTCACCACACTTCTCACACTCTATATTGGCATATTTCCAATTTATTCATTACTTATTCAGCCCCTGAAGGCATTTGAGTTTGCAACCTCTGGGGCAAGGCCTTTTGGGATGTGATAGAGGCTGCCACATTTTCAGGGTGAAAGCTGTTAAGATAAGGACAACTATGTTTACAGCCATATCCTATTATATAGGAGATATATCTGTATCTATATCTATGTCTACATCTATCTATCTCCTCTATTGGTTCTGTTTCTCTGGATAACCTTGACTAATACAGGGGCCATTATTTAGCCTGCCATACCCTCAAGTAACTATAGGAATTTATTGAACATTTACTGTGTGCTAAGTACCATGCTAAATGTCTTAATGCTGGTGCCCTTTTAACTCTCCAACCTTGTAAGTAGACAGTAGCCCTAATCTGCAAGCAATAACAGCTAACACTCACATGATTCTAATTATGTGCCAACCTCTCTTCTTGGGCTTTAGATATATTAACTCTTCTAACCCTCACAGCAACCCACAAGGTATGTATTATTGTCTCCATCTTAGAGGTAGGGAAACTAAAGCATGGACAGGTTAAGTAACCTGCCCAAGATCTTCTAGTAAGAGGCAAAATTGGAATGTAAACCAAAGCACATAATTACTAAACTTTCTGCCAGTCCAGCTTTGTTCTTCTTACTTTATAGCAGAAGAAAATGTACCTGGCTCTTGATTGTCCTTACTCCATTGACACAATGAAAGTGGTACTGTGATCTGAGGGTCACCTAGGAGGTGAGTGGGCCAAATATTAGGGTTTTTTTTTCACTGCCTGGATGTGTTCCTTTGCATTCAGTAGTGCCCTTATATCCCCTTTGAAACTAAGCATTCTTGGAGGAGTAACATATTGTCATTAATACAGTGGTGTGAATCGGTTTACTGATAATTTTTTTGAGATAGGGTCTTGCTCTGTCGTCCAGGCTGGAGTGCAGTGGTGCAATCACGGCTCACTGCAGCTTCAACCTCCTGAGCTCAAGTGATCCTTGCACCTCAGCCTGGATGTAGCTGGGACTGCAGGCACCTGCCACCACAACTGGCTAATCTTTTTGTTTTTTTGGAGAGACAGGGTCTCACTATGTCTCGAACTCCTGGGCTCAAGCTATCTTCCTACCTTGGCCTCCCAAACTGGCATGATTACAGATGTGAGCAACCACATCTGCCCCTGAGAAATTTTTATAATAGAAAGAGAAGCCCAAACTTGGAGAGTTAATAAAGAGAGAGCTGGTATGCAGCATGCCGGGGTCAAAAAGTGGGTGGAAGTTTGCAGAATAAAGTGAACCAACTTCTGTCCTGTGAGGAAGAGGACATGGGAAAATGAAGAAAGAAGAAAGAAGAGAGAAGAGAGAAGAAAGAAGAAAGAAGAAGGAGAAGAAGGAGGAGGAGGAGGAGAAGAAGAAGAAAGAGAGGGAGACAGAGAGACAGAGACAGAGACATAAAAGCAGGCTTGACTTGACAAATGAAAATTAGAGTGTCAAATTTGCTTCAAGGTGGGCAAGCTGAAAGTGTGGAACAACCAGAAATTGGAGCAGGCACTTTACTGGGAAGCAAGGTGGAGAGAAGAGATGATAAAAGGAACTCACTTCTTTAGACTTTTCATTCCAATAAAACCCCAGTCCATAAACACAATCCGTTAACTCAAGAAGTATTCATTAAATTCCTACTGTGTGCTCAGGGCTTTTCTAAGAGCTGCCACTGGAGAGACTCCCACCATCATGAATATAATCATGATGTAACAGAAAACTGGCAACCCAGGGGCCTAATTATAAAAGCAATCTTTTCACCAGCCAAGCATTTTTAAATTTTATTTTATTATTATTATACTTTAAGTTTTAGGGTACATGTGCACACCATGCAGGTTTGTTACATATGTATACATGTGCCATGTTGGTGTGCTGCACCCATTAACTTGTCATTTAGCATTAAGTATATATCCTAATGCTATCCCTCCCTCCTCCCCCAACCCCACAACAGTCCCCAGTGTGTGATGTTCCCCTTCCTGTGTCCATGTGTTCTCATTGTTCAGTTCCCACCTATGAGCGAGAACATGCGGTGTTTGGTTTTTTGTCCTTGCGATAGTTTGCTGAGAATAATGGTTTCCAGTTTCATCCATGTCCCTACAAAGGACATGAACTCATCCTTTTTTATGACTGCATAGTATTCCATGGTGTATATGTGCCATATTTTCTTAATCCAGTCTATCGTTGTTGGACATTTACGTTGGTTCCAAGTCTTTGCTATTGTGAATAGTGCCACTATAAACATACGTGTGCATATGTCTTTACAGCAGCATGATTTATAATCCTTTGGGTATATACCCAGTAATGGGATGGCTGGGTCAAATGGTATTTCTAGTTCTAGATCCCTGAGGAATTGCCACACTGACTTCCACAATGGTTGAACTAGTTTGCAGTCCCTCCAACAGTGTAAAAGTGTTCCTATTTCTCCACATCCTCCCCAGCACCTGTTGTTTCCTGACTTTTTAATGATTGCCATTCTAACTGCTGTGAGTTGGTGTCTCATTGTGGTTTTGATTTGCATTTCTCTGATGGCCAGTGATGATGAGCATTTTTTCATGTGTTTTTTGGCTGCATAAATGTCTTCTTTTGAGAAGTGTCTGTTCATATCCTTTGCCCACTTTTTGATGGGGTTGTTTGTTTTTTTCTTGTAAATTTGTTTGAGTTCATTGTAGATTCTAGATATTAGCCCTTTGTCAGATGAGTAGGTTGCAAAAATTTTCTCCCATTCTGTTGGTTGCCTGTTCACTCTGATGGTAGTTTCTTTTGCTGTGCAGAAGCTCTTGAGTTTAATTAGATCCCATTTGTCAATTTTGGCTTTTGTTGCCATTGCTTTTGGTGTTTTAGACATGAAGTCCTTGCCCATGCCTATGTCCTGAATGGTATTGCCTAGGTTTTCTTCTAGAGTTTTTATGGTCTAACATTTAAGTCTTTAATCCATCTTGAATTAATTTTTGTATAAGATGTAAGGAAGGGATCCAGTTTCAGCTTTCTACCTATGGCTAGCCAGTTTTCCCAGCACCATTTATTAAATAGGGAATCCTTTCCCCATTGCTTGTTTTTCTCAGGTTTGGCAAAGATCAGATAGTTGTAGATATGCGGCATTATTTCTTACGGCTCTGTTCTGTTCCATTGGTCTACATCTCTGTTTTGGTAACAGTACCATGCTGTTTTGGTTACTGTAGCCTTGTAGTACAGTTTGAAGTCAGGTAGCGTGATGCCTCCAGCTTTGTTCTTTTGGCTTAGGATTGACTTGGCAACGTGGGCTCTTTTTTGGTTCCATATGAACTTTAAAATAGTTTTTTCCAATTCTGTGAAGAAAGTCATTGGTAGCTTGATGGGCAAAGCATTTTAAAAATTGAATCAGATTTTTAAGTTTAAGCAAGTACTTTCAAGCTTACTACACTTCTCACATTCTATATCAGCATATTCCTATTTATTCATTATTATCCAGTCCCTGAAGGCATTTGAGTTTGCAACCTTTGGGGTAAGGTCTTTTGGCATGTGATAGAGGCTGCCAAACTTTCAGAGTGAAATGTGTTAGGCCAAGGAAAATGATGCTTACAACCATCTTAGTAACACTAGAAGGTCGCACACCTGACCTTTCAGTCTCATTTGTCCACTAAGTGTACCCCATTAGAAGACCCATGTGTCATAAATTTTCTTGCCACAAATTATAGGGTCAGATCATTTGCCACTTTGTTCTCCACCCTTGGCTGTCCTGGGAGGCTGAAGGTTGTTTCTCTTTCTGAGTACATTTGGAAGTGTTTGCCTCAATGACTTTTAATGGGTGGGCAAGATTCACCTTTAGTTTTCACATGTACATGGGTCGTGTGGCTACGAGGGCAGTTTGGGTCAAGACTCATTGGTGGCTGGCAAGGCCTGAGATACCAACAACATGTCAGATGATTCTGCCAAAAGTGATTGGATGTAGAGCTAGAAGAGAAAGCTTCTAACTACCTTCTGTAGTTATTATATTTCTACAAAGGGGTTAAATCCTTAAATCCTTGTTTAAGTGTGGGTTTATTATTTTTTTTTTCTTTGAGACAGAGTCTCACCCAGTCACCCAGGCTGGAGTGCAGTGGCGCGATCTTGGCTCACTGCAACCTCCACCTTCTGGGTTCAAGCGATTCTCCTGCCTCAGCCTCCTGAGTAGCTGGGACTACAGGTGTGCACCACAATATCCAGCTAATTTTTGTATTTTTAGTAGAAACAGGTTTCACCATGTTGGCTAGACTCATCTCGAACTCCTGACCTCAGGTGATCCACCCACCTTGGCCTCCCATAGTGCTGGGATTACAGGCGTGAGCCACCGCACCTGGTCTTAAATGGGTCATTTTTACAGAAGAATACATGCTACATGATTCCATTTACATGAAATTTTCGGAAAGGGAAATTCCAATTATACAAAATTCTAAACGTTCTAGAAAAGGGAAATGTATCAGTAGTTGCCTAGTGTCAGAGGTGGGAAATTACTGCAAAGAGCCACAGTGGAACTTTTTGGGGGGACAGAAATATCTTATTTGTTCAGTTTGGTGGTGATTACATGTGTATATACGTATGTGAAACTTGTCAAACTATATGCTTAAAATGGGTATGTTTTATTGTTGTAGATTATACTTCAATAAAGTTGACTTTTTGAAAAAGAAACCTTTTGAAATAGGCTTGCCTCTCTGAAAAGAAACAAATAGGATCTGCCAACTACAGAGTTCAGACTTAAAATGCAAAGACTTAACTTCAGAGAGTGAGACTGGAGAGGTGAATCTGCTCAGCTCATTTGGTCTCATTTGCCATGTGCCTGTCATGATGTAGGATTTTGCAGCAAGGAGTGTGATTCCGGAATCTCTATATATAATATAGATACATATTTTTCTGTGTCAGGGGAGGGGTTGGGGTGAGAGGTGAGGAGTGGAGAACAACATGGTCTTTAAATATGAGCCAAATTCTCCACCTAGTACTCAATTTATAGAGCACTGCTCTTATCCAGGAGAAAAAACTGGCTATGGAGATGTCTTTAGAGAGGCATGTAAGTATGGGCACATCTATTCTACTTTATGGCTGAATTATGGACTTTTCAAGCATAGTTTTTATTATACATATTTTTCACCATGTAAGCTGACTTTACAACTTAACTATCCCTCGTTTAAAAATCAACTCCACTCTGTTTTCAGCATGACTGGGGCTAAAGAATAGAACCAAATTCTAGGTCCATCACTGTCTAACTTCCCTCTGGGATATTTGAAGAAGACATCAAGTCTTCTCTGAGCCTCAGTTTCTTTATCAATGAAATGGGGATATCTGTCCAATATACTTCCCAGGCTGGTTAAAATGAGGATAATGTGAATAATGAGCCTCCACCCTCATTATTGATCTTCATCTTCAACTTTATTCTCAAGCTCAACCTCATTCTCCATTTTCATCTTCTCCGAATGATCAAAATCAGTCTCAATAAACAGTATTTGATGATAAGGAATTTCATGTTTCCTGAGTAACCGTACCTACTCTCCAACTTGCCAGCACAATTTCTGACACGCTATTTTTCTTTTGACAGTCGGTAGATAATTGTTTTTATGTATTTCCATTGAATAAGTTTGTGTGTTGTTTTCTCCAGCAATTGGTAAGTCCCCCAGGATAGGAACTGTGGCTGCATTTTAGGCTAAGAAGATAGCATAGCTGTATTTGCATTGTGGACAGTTAATATATGTTTTTTCCTGGTGATGACATGTGTACTCTCACATTAGGTACATAAGATTTCTTCACTGATCATTTTCATCTGCTGTCTGTGTTGGATCTAGTTTATCACCTTTTCTTATTTTTGTGATACATTATTTACTATTATCATTAGATTTTACTCAGTGTATATTTATCATGCTAGGTAACAGGAATACAAAAAGAACAGACACAAACTCAACTCAGACTTTAAGTCTAGTGGCACCAACTAAGTTTCTCTCTCTCTCTCTTTTTTTTTTTTTTTTTTTTTTTGACAAGGTCTCACTCTGTTGCAGGCTGGGGTGCAGTGGCTTGATCATGGCTCACTGCATCCTTGACCTCCTGGGTTCAGGTGATTCTCACACCTCAGCATCCTGAGTAGCTGGGAATACAGGTCCATGCCACCTTGCCTGGCTATTTTTTTCTTTTTTTTTGTAGAGACAGGGTCTCCCTATGTTGCCCAGGCTGGTCTCGAACTGCTGGGCTCAAGCAATCTCCCTGCCTCAGCCACCCAAAGTACTGGGATTACAGGCATGAGCTGCTGTGCCTGGCCTGTTTTTCTCATTTTTAAATACATTTTATTTACTTTGGTTTTGTACTTGTTTTCAAGAAGTAATTCAACTTGAAAGAATAGCCATAATTTTGTGAAAAACTGTTGGTTTCTTCTTGCAAGGACCAGGAGAGACAGCAGCTTTTGAGATGTGATTCTTTTCAATGGTTCTTTAACCACAATATAGCTGAATTTGCTGTTATATTTGGCATGCTTTGCATTTTTCTAGCATTCAACCAGACTCCTCTATTTCCTTTTAATGAGGAGGAAACTTAGGTTAAATAAAAGCACACCCGCCACCCCCGAAGTAGTAAGATGCTAAAGAAAGATTAGGAACACTTGTACAAAAAGCAAAAAGGAGAACTTTTCATGATTCATGATCTTTGCCTTGGAAGGAGATTGATTTGTTATGTTGGATTACCCCAGCCACAGATAATTGCAAGATGCCCATGCTTGGGGCATATGACAGGCTAGAGCTGTGGCGTTCTAGCCTGACTGAATCTTAGTGAAGGAGTGTGCAGAGATGCAAGCTGCCCTTTCCTTTCAGTATGCTGATTTAGAGCTGGAGTAGATCAGTGCGTGAATCAAAAGTACAAGGTTCCCTGTCCTAGAACCTTCTAGTTAGGAGAATACTTTGCCACATCTTTTAGAAGGCAGCCAACTAGATAAACATCATTTTGTTTCTCAGCATAAAGAATAAATTCTAAGCCAGATACAGTGGCACATGCCTGTAGTACCAGCTACTCGAGAGACTGAGGTGGGAGGATTGCTTGAGCCTGGGAGTTCAAATCTAGGCTGGGCAGCATAGAGAGACCCCTATCTCTAAACGAACAAATGAAAAAGCTAAAACAAAAACTGAAACAAAAAGAATAAAATTCAAAGTGTCCCCTCCCTATATATGGGATCTATCAATATAACTGATACCTTATTATTGCTGTTTCAATTTCCATTGTCCAGTGTAGTTTACTATGGTGGTTTCACAGTATAGACCAGAGTAGTAAACACTTTAGAAGAATGGGAGTTTGGGATATATTTTGTGGTACAGAGCAGGTAGGAAGGTGCACATCCTTTGCCCGGTATCTTTATCCTGTTATGTGTCTTTATTTTTTTCTAGATCCTTCATAATCAGGGGCTCCCTTATCTCCCTAAACTTGTTTTCCATATGGTTCCTCAATCAAAACCCCTCTCACAGGTTAGGTCAAGTTTCCTTACTTTCCTCCCTCCCCCACAGGATACAAATCCCTCCCTCAGTTCCCCTTGGGAGGAATGCCTTTTCTGCCTTTCCCAATCCTTTCCTTCCTCCAAGGTCCACTTTAGACCAGCGTCCTCCATCAAGTTCTCCCTGACAGCTCCTGCTCAGCGCCCTCTTCCTTCTCTGACCTCCTAACACACAATGCTGTGTGATAATAATAGCCTCCATTGGCCCAGTGGTTGACAAAGTCCTGCCCTCACTTTTGATTTTCACAAGCCCCAGGGGTTGGTAAGGAGAATTTTCTTGTCCCCTCAGAGAGAATGAAAGACCATCTCAAGGCCATATTGCTAGTAAATGGCAAAACTGGGATGTCAGTCCAGGCCCTTGAAGTCCGAAGCTTTTCTATGACAGTCCTTTGTCTCTAGCTCACACATCTATACCTCAACAGTGCCTAGCTCAGTGCTGTGAAAAATCAGATTCTCCAATAACTATTTGTGGATTGCTGTATTGATCTCAACAATGTCACCCTGTATGCCACCTACTCCCAACTCAAAGTGGCTGCCTCTATTTGTCATGAGCTATCAGCATGGATGAGTGAGAGTCTGCAATGCACAGGAGGTAGAAAGTCTACTCTTTCAGTCATCTTCTGTGATGGAAGCTGTAGTTGAGGACTGGGGTCTCCAGGGAGGCTATCTGGTAGGGGCGTGATCTCCCTGAAGAGACAGTGGGGTGGAATACCTCTAAAGCAAGGCAGAATGAGGACATGATTTCACTTGTTTATGAGGGGCTTTTTAAAACGAAAGAAAAGGAGTTTTTAAAAAACACAGGCAGAGAAAATCTCTGTCCTTTGGCTGAGTGACATTTCATGCCCGTTCATATCGTTTTGTCAGTCTTTGAAAAATGAAGAACTAAAGCAGTCTCTTTCTCACTAGACAAAAGGAAGAACTGGGTGTTTCCCCAGGAGGAGACCCAGATGTGATGAGTGAAGCATTAGGATTGAAGCTGAATCACCCTGTCACTGGGGTGTGGGGTGGGGTCAGAGCTTTCTCCTGAGCCTTCAAAGCCAGCAAAGTGCATAGGGCCATAGCCACACATACTTGCTGCCTGCAACCAGTGCTGGTATTGTCAGCATCTGGGGCATGGTTTAGGGAGAATCTCCAGCTGTCTTTATTTCTTTCAAAATGGATCTTCTCTAGATCAGGTGGGCTGGTGTTTTGCTAATGGCTTAGAAATAATTTAATATTCACAAGAAGGTACAAAATAGTACAGAGAATTCCTTTGTACCCTTCGCCCAGCTCCCCCCAGGGATAATATCTAACCATGATTCATTTGTTTTTAATGCAGTATTTAAGAACAAATAATTTATTATTATGTCGTGGTTCTGAATGTTGATGAGCTCCGCTGGGTGGTTCAGTTGCTATCACATGACAGCTGAGGCTGGAGTCATTTGAAAAGTTTCTTCTCCTGTGTGAAGCTGGTCTGGTCAGGCATCTCCTTTTCCATGCAGCCTCTCCAAGTGGGTAGCTCAGGCATTCTAACAGCAGAGTGGTGTCAGCATGAAGATTTCTTCTTCCTCAAGAGCAGTTGCTCCAGGAGGCCTGAGTGAAAGCTGAAAGGCTTCTTATGATCTAGTCTTGAAAGTCCCAGAACATTTTATTGGTCAAGCCAGTCACTAATGCCAGCCAGATTCAAAGGAAAGAGAAATTAGACTCCACATCACAACAGAAGAAGTGGCAAAAAAATTGGATGGCTATCTTCAATCCACTACAACTGCCCTGCAGTTTGGTGGTCACCAAATGAGTGGATGAGCACGCTAAGGAAGAGATCATTAGAACTGGTGTTACGGTCATTAGTAGGATAAGTCCTTATGTCTGATTTGTCCTATGACAACGGTCATTCAGTCACTGTGTCACAGCACCAGTGGGAAGTATTTGTTCAATAAATGTATGACAGAGGTTCATGCCTATAATCCCAGCACTTAGGGAGTCCAAGGCAGGAGGATTACTTAAGCCCAGGAATTCGAGACCAGCCTAGGCAACATAGTGAGACTCCCATCTCTACAAGAAATAAAAAAAAACTAGCTGGGCATGGTAGCATGCACCTATAGTCCCAGCTACTTCTCAGGAGGTTAAGGTGGGAGGATCACTTGAGCCTGAGAGTTTAAGGCTGCAGTGAGCTGTGTTCTTGCCACTGCAATGCAACCTAGATGACAAAGTAAGCGCCTGTCTCAAAAACAAAAAGAGTGTGACAGAGAAATTGAATCACCTTCTCAACCCACATGTAGTAAATGGAAATAAGTAGAAAAGTAGTGACTATCTCTGTGGACTTTAGGGTAAACCCTGGAACTGGCCTTGCACTGCTGTAGCTTCTGTTCTCCAAATAGGCTAGAATCCATAGAACTTTTTTATATATGCATCCATTACAAAGCAATCCGCCTGGAAGAGATGAGGCACCCTGCTAGGTGTTCTGCGAGATACCAAGATGGCTTCAGTATGGCCCGCACTCTTTGGAACATGGAGAACAATTCTTCCCTACCTTCTGCTGGGGTCTTATTTTCCAGCCTGGGTGTTAAGCATAACTGGAAAATGGAGAGGACCTAGGTGGTAAGGGGAAATGGCTAGGGGAAGCAAGTGGCACAATTGTTGTGATGGTTAAAACAGGTTTGCATGGTTGTCCGAAGGGAATCCGCAGCTTGCTTCTCAACAGCAGCCTCTCTCTGCCTCTTCTGCAGGAACTGCCCCTTCTGGCTCTCTCTTGGGCAGAAGCAGGGAGTGGAGATTGGCATGCTGGACTTTTTATCTAAAAAAAAAAAAAAAAAAAAAGTATCCTCTTCCCTGCCCAGATGTCCAGTTATACGGGGAAGAATTCTTTGAGCAGGTATTGTCCGAGTTTCCACTCGGAATCTTTCCTGAGGGGTAGGGAACATCCAACCTCTGGTGAGTGGAGTTGGGGAAGCCTTTCAGGCAGGAGCACAGGGAGCTTCCCAGGGGCTGAAGAAGCCAAAAGAGAGCTAAGAATGATCATGGGCTTCTTGAATTAAGGAAAAGGCTCAAAGTGAGCAACTCAACCGGCTTGTGTATTGAACACGCTTCCTGTGATTTTCCTCAAATTAAGGATGATGATAGTTCCAGTCCGGCGGCTTGTGGGGAAGGAAATTCAGTGGAGTGGAAATTAGGTAGGAAATGTAAAATGGGCGTGTAATAGCAAAAGAATGGAATGAAAGGGCTCCACCTGGAGGCCTTTTCTAGTGGCGGTAGCGGAAAAGTGGGGCCCAGGTGTGTCTGGACAGTGGTCTTGGAGTCGGAAGAAGAGAGGAAGAAGGTTCTCGGGCTAAGACCCCCTCATAAATGATGTCAGATTGTGGAGTTCTGGAATGATGGAATGGACTGGAAGAGAGCTGTGCATGTGTGGACTCTGGAGTGTGTGATGAAGCAGAGGGGGAAAAGCTGCCTTCACCGGGGAGAAGCGGTGAGCCAAACGCCGAGGACCAGGCTTACAGGGTGCGCTCTCTGAGTTGGCGTTGCCAGTTCTCTGGATGTGCCGTCTTCTTCCATACCTTCGTGCCTTTGCCTGTGCTGTGCTTTCTGCCTGGAGTGCTGTCCTCTCTTCTTGGGCCTGGATGATAGGAGGTTTTAAGGTTCGACGGAAGCACTGGGACCATAGGGGGACCCTTTCTGATCACTCCAATTTGGATTGGGGGCCCCTCTTCTGTGTCCCGTGTGACTTGGATCCCATCGGACATGAGCTCCATGAAAGCAGGGATTGTATCTGTCATGCTCACTGTAGCGCTCCTAGTGCCTGTAGCTTGTAAATTCTCAATAAATGCGAATTTACTGAATGAAATATCACTGTTATATCTCTGCCGGTATCCGTTATCGTAGGTATTACAGTTGTGAGAGGACTTGTCTGTCTTTCCCACTGGACTATGACCTTCCTGTGGGCAGGGACCATGGCTTATCCATCTCAGTATACCCGGCACATTAGCTCAGAGTCTGGAAAATAGTGGCTTAGCAATATTTGTTGAATGAATGTTAAACAGGAAGGGGGTAGTCTGGGGGCACAGGAAGGGTTAGTGATTATAAGCTCTGGCTCACAGTAGGATCACCAGGGGAGATTTAAAAATGCTGATGCCTAGGTTAGCCCTGGTGGCTCATGCCCTTAATCCCAGCAGTTTGGGAGGCCAAGATGGGAGGATTGCTTGAGGCCAGAGTTTCAGACCACCTTGGGCAACATAGTGAGACCCATCTTTACAAAAAAAAAAAAAAGTTAGCCAGGCATGGTGGTGTGCACCTGTTGTCCTAGATACTTGGGAGGCTGTGGCAGGAGGATCGTTTAAGACCAGGAATTCAAGGCTGCAGCGAGCTATAATTGCACCACTGCCCTCTAGCCTGAGCAACAGAGCAAGATTCTGTCTCTAAAAACAAACAAAACTGATGCCTAGGCCTCACACCAGACAAATAAAAACAGAGTCTCTGGGGTGGGGCCCAGGCATCTGTATTTTTAAAAGCTCCATGGGTAATTTTAATGTTGAGAATCACTGGGGCTTGGCTCCAAAGGAATGTCAGAATTTTAGAGCTGTCAAGAGAACATTCCAGGACAGAGTCCCTGTCTGCTGGAGAGGGGAGGGTTTTAGTTCTTTTCCCAAACTGCATAGGTACCAGAGCAGAAGAGAGTAAGAAAGGCTACATTCCATCCTAACACTCAATGGATTTTCTCTGGGAGAAGAACTGAGGTAGTCAAACGTGCTCTGCTTTTGAGAAATTAGGGCATTTCCAAGAACAACAGTCTTTGCCATCATTCCCAGAACCAGCAGAATCAGCATTACCTGGGAGCTTTTTAGAAATGCAGAATCTCTTGGCTGGGCTCGATGGCTCACACCTGTAATTTCGGCACTTTGGGAGGCTGAAGTGGGAGGATCGATTGAGCCCAGGAGTTTGAGATCAGTCTGGGCAACAAAACTGAAACCCATCTCAACACCACCAAAAACAAAATAGAAAAAAATTAGCCGGGCATGGTGTTGTATGTCTGTAGTCCCACCTACTTGGGAGGCTGAGGCTGATCACTTGAGCCCAGGAGTTGGAGGTAGCAGTGATGCATCCGTGATGGTGCCACTGCACTCCAGCCTGAGTGACAGAGGGAGACCCTGGCTCAAAAAAAAAAAAAAAAAAAAAAAGCAAAAAGTAGTAGCTCTAGCCCCTCCCAAACCTACTGAATCAGAATCCATTTACACAAGATCCCCAGGTCATTTCTGTGCACTTAGAAGTTGGAGAAGCATTGATTGAGGTAGTTGTTCTCAAAGTGTGATTGGGGAATTGTCGGGGTAGGGGTGAGGGTGAAAGGTGGGCTGTGGTTCTCACATTCTAGCCAGTTTCAGAATTATCTGAAGGGTTTATTAATCACTGATTACTGGGACAATTCCCACTCCAAAGGGAAATTGATTAACTCATAAACCATCTCATTCAGTAAGTCTGGGGTGGGGCATAAAAATTTGCATTTCTAACAACTTCCCAGGTGCTATTGATCCTGCTGATTCTGGACCATGCTTTTGGGCTATTACAAATCAGACTGTTGTGACCATTCATGTATAATTCTTTGTACAACTACATGCTTTCATATCTTTTGGGTAAATACCTAGGAGTGATGTTGCTGGATCATAGAAGAATTGTATTTAATTTTTAAAGAAACTCCCAAACTATTTTTCAAAGTAGTTGGACCATTTTATCCTCCCACCAACAATGTATGAGAGTTCTAGTTCCTTCATATCTTCAACTCTTGGAATGGTCTACTTTAATGTGTAACCCATTATAATAGGTATGTGTGTGCTTTTAATTTGCATTTCCATGATGACTAATGAAGTTATCTTTTCATGTGTTTTTTTGCCGTCTACATGTCCTCTTTGGTGAAGTGTCTGTTCAAGTCATTTGCCATTTTCTTATTGGGTGGGTTAATTGTTTATTATTGAATTTTTTTCTAATTAGGTTTTGAGAGTTCTTTATATATTCTAGCTACATCTTTTATCGTATATATGATTTGCAAATATTTTCTTCCAACTTGTGGCTTGTCTTTATTCTCTTAGCAGTGTCTTTCAAAGAGCAGAAGTTTTCAATTTTGATGAAATCCAGTTTATCAATTTCTTTTTTATTAAATGTGCTTCAGTTGTGTCTAATCTTTTTTTTTTTTTTTTTTTTTTTTTTGAGACAGGGTCTTGCTTTGTCACCCAGGCTACAGTGCAGTGGCATGATCAAGGCTCACTGCAACTTTGCCTACTGGGCTCAACTGATCCTCCCACCTCAGCGCCCCCCAAGTAGCTGTTACTGCAGGTGCTCACTGCCACGCCTGGCTAATTTTTTTTTTTTTTTTGAGACAGGGTCTTACTCTGTCACCCAGGCTGGAGTGCAGTGGCTCGATCTCAGCTTACTGCAACCTCTGCCTCTCAGGTTCAAGCTATTCTCCTGCCCCAGCCTCCCAAGTAGCTAGGATTACAGGTGCCCACCACCAAGCCTGGCTAATTTTTTGTATTTTTCGTAGAGATGGGGTTTAACCATGTTGGCCAGGCTGGTCTCAAACTCCTGACCTCAAATGATACACCTGCCTCGGCCTCCCAAAGTGCAGGGATTACAGGCATGAGCCACCGCACCCGGCTACGCCTGGCTAATTTTTTTTTTTTTTTTTTTTTTGTAGATATGAGGTTTTGCCATATTGCCCAGGCTGGTCTTGAACTCCTGAGCTCAAACAATCTACCCACCTTGGCCTTGCAAAGTGCTAGGATTACAGACGTGAGCCACCAAGCTGGGCTGGGTCTAAGAAATTTTTACCTAACCCAGGGTCATAAAAATTGTCTCCTTTGTTTACTTCTAGAAATGTTATCATTTTAGGTCTTACATATCATTATAGGTCTTATATATGGATATCTAATTTTTTCAGCATCATTTGTTGAAAAGACACTCTACTAAATTGCTTTCTACCTTTGTTGAAAATCAGTTTTTCATATATGTGTGCATCTATTTCTGTTGATCTAATTGTCTGTCTTTAATCTGATACATTGTCCTTTAAAAAATTATTAGTTTCTGGCGGAGCACGATGGTTCATGCCTGTAATCCCAGCGCTTTGGGAAGCCGAGGCAGGCGGATCATGAGGTCAAGAGATTGAGACCATCCTGGCCAACATGGTGAAACCTCGTCTCTACTAAAAATACAAAAATTAGCTGGGCATGGTGGCACGCACCTGTAGTCCCAGCTACTAAGGAGACTGAGGGAACCCGGGAGGCGGAGGTTGCAGTGAGCTGAGATTGGGCCTCTGCACTCTAGCCTGGTGACAGAGCGAGACTGCGTCTCAAAAAAAAAAAAATTAGTTTCTTTTTTAACAATTTTAACTGTTATTTTAGATACAACTTTTATGTGCAGATTTGTTACCTGAGTATATTGCACCCAGGTAGTGAGCGTAGCACCCAATAGGTAGTTTTTCAGCCCACACTCCCCCTCCCTTTTCCCTCCCCACTCCCCTCTCTAGTAGTCCGCAGTGTCTATTTTTCCCATGTTTATGTTCATGTGTGCTCAATGTTTAGCTTCCATTTATAAGTGAGAACATGCAGTATTTAGTTTTCTGTTCCTGTGTTAATTCATTTAGGATTATGGCCTCCAGCTCCATACACGTTGCTGCAAAGGAAATTATTTCATTCTTTTTTGTGGCTGCATAGTATTCCATGGTATATTCGTATTACATTGTCTTTATCCAATCCACCATTGATTGGCATCTAGGTTGATTCCATGTCTTTGCTCTTGTGAATAGCATGGCAATGAACGCACACATGCATATGTGTTTTTGGTAAAATGATCCATTTTCCTTTGGGTATATATCCAGAGATGGGATTGCTGGATCAAATGATAGCTCTGTCTTAAGTTCTTTGAGAAATCTCCAAATTGCCTTCCACAGTGGCTGAACTAATTTACATTCCCACCAACACTGTATAAGCATTCCGTTTTCTCTGACGCCTCATCAATATCTATTGTTTTTTGACTTTTTAATAATAGCCATTCTCACTGGTGTGAGGTGGTATCTCTTTGTGGTTTTGATTTGCATTTCTCTGATGATGAGTGATGAAGAGTATTTTTTCATTTGTTTGTTGGCTACTTGTATGTCTTCTTTTGAGGAGAGTCTGTTCATGTCCTTTGCCCATTTTTTAAGGGGGGTTGTTTCTTGCTTGTTGATTTAAGTTCCTTTTAAATTCTGGATGTTAGACCTTTGTTGGATGTGTAGTTTGCTAATATTTTCTCCCATTCTGTAGGTTGTCTGTTTACTCTGTTGATAATTTCTTTTGCTGTATAGAAGCTCTTTAGTTTAATTGATTCCCACCTGTCAATTTTCATTTTTGTTGCAATTGCTTTTGGGGACTTAGCCAAAAATTCTTTGCCAAGGTTGATGTCCAGACAGGTATTTCCTAGGTTTTCTTCTGGGATTTTTATAGCTTGAGGTCTTACATTTAAATCTTAATCCATCTTGAGTTAATTTTTACATACGGTGAAAGGGTCCAGTTTCATTCTTCTGTATATGCCTAGCCAGTTATCTCAGCAGCATCTATTGAATAGGGAGTCCTTTGCCCATTGTTTATGTTGGCCTTGTTGAAGATCAGGTGGTTGGAGATGTACAGCTTTATTTCTGAGTTTTCTCTTCTGTTCCATTGGTCGATGTATCTGTTTTTGTATCAGTACCATGCTGTTTTGGTTACTGTAGCCTTATATAGAATATTTTGAAGTTGGGTAGTGTGATGCCTCTGGTTTTGTTCTTTTTGCTTAGGATTGCTTTAGATATTCAGGCTCTGTTTTGGTTCCATATGAATTTTAGAATGGTTTTTCTAATTCTGTGAAGAATGGCATTAGTAGTTTGTTAGGAATAGCATTGAATTTGTAAGTTGCTTTGGGCAGTATGGCCATTTTAATGATATTGATTCTTCCTTTGCATGAGGATGGAATGTTTTCCCATTCATTTGCATCATCTGATTTTTTTGAGCAGTGTTTTGTAATTCTCATTGTAGTCATATTTTACCTCCCTCATTAGCTGTATTCCTAGGTATTTCATTTTCTTTATTCCTGTTATAAATAGGATTGTGTTCTTGATTTGACTCTCACCCTGGATGTTATTGGTGTATAGAAATGCTACTGGGCTGGGCGTGGTGGCTCACACCTGTAATCCCAGGACTTTGGGAGGCTGAGGTGGGTGGATCACAAGGTCAGGAGTTTGAGACCAGCCTGGCCAACATAGTGAAACCCCATCTCTACTAAAAATACAAAAAATTAGCTGGGCATGGTGGCGGATGCCTGTAATCCCAGCTACTCAGAAGGCTGAGACAGGAGGGTCGCTTGAACCCGGGAGGCGGAGGTTGCAGTGAGCTGAGATCGCGCCATTGCACTCCAGCCTGGGCAACAAGAGCGAGACTCCATCTCAAAAAAAAAAAAAAAGAAAAAAAAGAAATGCTACTGATTGTCGGACATTGATTTAGTGATACATTATCTTGATTACTGTGGCTTTATAATAGTGTTAGTCCTTCTACTTTTCCTTTTTCAAAGTTGTTTGGACAATGCTTCTTTTCAAAGTTCTTCGGACTTTGCATTTCCATATAAATTTTAGAAATAATTTTTCAAATTCTACTAAAAGTTTGCTGGGATTTTTATTGAAACTGCATTGAATCTACAGATCATTTTGGGGAGAATCAACATCTTAAAAATTTATGCTTTCAGAGTCATGAATATGGTGTATCTATTTAGGTTTTTAATTTCTCTCAATGTTGCTTTGAAGTTTTCTATGTACAATTCTTCCACATCTTTTGTCAGATTTATACATAAGCATTTACATCCTTCGTCAGATTTATACATAAGCATTTACATCTTTCAATGCTCTTGTAAACAGTATTTTAAAATTTCAGTTTCCAATTGTTCATTGCCGGTGTATAGAAATATCATTATTTTTTGCATATTGATCTTGTATCATGCAACCTTGCTGAACTCATTCTAGAAGTTTTTTTGTAAATTCTGTAAGACTTTCTGCATAGATGATCATGTCATCTGTGAATAGAGAACATTTTACTTCTTTCTTCCCCACTGGATGCTTTCATTTTCTTTTCTTTATTATTTCATTGTCTACATTCTCAGTACAGTGTTGAATAGGAGTATTAAGGGTAAATATTACTATCATGTTCCTGCTCACAGGGAGAAAGTATTCAGTCTTTCATCGTTAAGTATGTTAGCTGTAGATTTTTTAGAGATTTAAAAAAAAAATCAGGTTGAGGATGCTCCGAACTTTTCCTAGTTTGTTCATTAAAAAAAAAACAGAAATGGATGTTGGGTTTTGTTAATAATTTCTCTGCATTTGTTGAGATGACTATATGGTTTTTCTTTTTAATTTAATTAATACGGTGAATTACACTGATTTTTCAAATGTTAAACCAACCTTATATTCCTGGGATAAACCCCACTTGGTCATGAAGTATTATCCGTTTTATATATAGCTGGATTCATTTTGACAAATTTTGTTTAGCATTTTTGCACCTATGTTCATAAGGGATATTGGTCTGTAGTTTCCTTGTAATGCCTTTATCTGGTTTTAGTATTGGGGTAATGCTGGCCTCATCAAATGAGTTGAGGAGTATTCCTACTTTTTCAATTTTCTAGAAGAATTAATATAGATTTGGTATTATTTCTTCCTCAAATGTTTGGTAGAATTCACCAATGAGGTCATCTGGGCCTGAAGTTTTCTTTGTGGAAAGGTTTTTAATTACAAATTCAATTTCCTTAATAGATAAAGGGCTATTCAAGTCATCAATATCCTTTTGAAGAGCTTTGGTAGTTTGTGTTCTTCAAAGAATTTGTCAATTTCATGTAATTTGCTAAATTTATTGGCATTGATTTTTCATAATATTCCTTCATTATTTTTTAATATGTTTAGCATCTGTGTGGTCCCTGTCTTATTTATTATATTAGTAATTTTTTTTTTTTTCCTGATCAGTCTGGTTAGAGTTTTATCAATTTTATTGATATTTTCAAAGAATCAACTTTTGGTTTCATTGATTTTTTTTTTTCTATTTTTCACTTTTCTACTTCATCTCTTTCTACTTACTTTAGATTTAATTTGTTCAGTTTTTCCTAGTTTCTTGAGGTGGAAGCTGAGATCCACCAATGATTCAGTTCATTGACGTGAGATCCTTCTTCTTTTCTAATATAGACATTTAATGCTATTAGATTCTCCCAAGTAGTATCCCACAAATTTTGATATGTTGTATTTTCATTTTCTTTCAGTTAATATTTTCTTCTTCTCCCCCTCCCTCCCCCTCCCCCTCCCTCTCCCTCTCCTCCTCCTCCTCCTTCTTATTCCAGAGTCTCGCCCTGTTGCCTAGGCTGGAGTGCAATGGTGCGATCTTGGCTCACTGCAACCTCTACCTCTGGGGTTCAAGCAATTCTCCTGCCTCAGGCTCCTGAGTAGCTGGAATTACAGGCGTGCACCACCACACTCAGCTAGTTTTTGTATTTTTAGTAGAGGCAGGATTTCACCATGTTGCTCAGGCTGGTCTCGAACTCCTGACCTCAGGTGATCCACCTGCCTTGGCCTCCCACAGTGCTGGGATTACAGGCGTGAGCCACCTCGCCCAGCCCCCTTAAAAGGGGGATTAATATTTTCTAATCCCCCTTTTGATTTATTATTTGATTCATGAGTAAGTTAGAAGTTGTCATTTGATTTCCAAATACTTGGGGATTTTCCAAAGACCTTTGTTTTCTGTGTCTACCTTAATTCCATTGTGGTTAGAGAACACACCTTTTATGTCTTGAATTCTTTTAAATGTATTTGACTAGTTTGTGGCCGAGTATCTTATTTATATGTTGGTGAAAGTTCCATGTGCACATAACAAGAATGTGGGCTCTGCTTATGTTGCATAACATGTTCTATAAATGTCAATTAGGTCAAGTTGGTTGATTGTGTTGTTTAAATCTTCTCTACCCTAATTTTCTTTCTACTCGTTTTATGAATTGTTGAGAGAAGGGTATTTAAATGTCAAATTATAACTGGATTTGTCCATTTCTTTTTACAGTTCTACCAGTTTTTGCTTCCTGTATTTTGAAGTTCTGTTCTTAGGCGCGTAAATGTTCTAGATTGTTATGTTGTTTCTTTTTCTTTTCTTTTTTTGAGACAGGGTCTTAATCTGTTGCCCAGGGTGGAGTGCAGTGTCACGATCACGGCTCACTGCACCCTCCACCTCCCAGGCTCAGGGACTCTTCCTGCCTCAGCCTCCCAAGTAGCTGGAACTACAGGCACATAACACCACATCCAGCTGATTTTTAATTTTTTTTTTTTTCTATAGAGATGGGATCTCGCTTTGAGATCTCATCTAGTCTCAAACTTTTAGGCTCTAGTGTTCCTCCTGCCTTGGCCTCCCAAAGAACTGGGATCATAGGCATGAACCACCACACCTAAGTGTTATGTTCTTTTGATGAAATGGTTTGACATCTTTATCCCTGATAATACTCTGCTCTGAAATCTATACTGCCTTAACATAGCAACTCCAGGTTCCTTTTGCTAACTGTCGGCATGGAATATCTTTTCCTGTCCCTTTTCTTTTAACCCATATGTGTCTTTAGATTTGAAGTACATTTCTTATAGATAGCATACAGTTGCTTCTTGCTTTAAAAAAATCCAATCTAACTATCTCTGATTTTGAATTGGCTAGGTTTAAATCTATCATCCTTTGCTCTGAGGACTTGACTGGGGGGGGGAATGGGGGGAGGGAACCAATAAATCTATTATCTTGCTATTTATTCCATCTGTTCTTCTACCCCTTCCATCCTTTTCTGCCTTCTTTTGGGTTAATTTTTTTGTGATTCCATTTTATCTCCTTTGTTGCCTTATTATCTATAACAGCTTTTAGTGGTTGCTTTAGGGATTATAGATACATGTCTAGTATATCACAGTTTACTTTCAAATGATATTATTCCACTTTATATTTAGTATAACAACCTTACAATAGTATACTTTCCTTTCTCCCCTCCTGACCTTTGTGTGATTGGTGTCATACATTTTACTTTTACATATGTTATAAACTCCATGCTACGTTGTTATTTTGTTCAGACAATAAATGGGCTTTCAAAGAGACTTAAAGAAGTATAATAAGACATATATTTACCTGTTTCCAGCTTTCTTATTTCTTTGTGTAGATCCATATTTCCATTTGTTATAATCATCTCTCTGTTGGAAGGATTTATTTTAATAATTCTCTTAGTATGATCCTGCTGGTGATGAATTCTTTCAGCTTTCGCTTTAGAAAGATATTTTCACAGGGTATAGAATTCTTGCCTGATACTTTTTTGTCCTTTCAATATTTTAATGATGTTCCTACCTCACAAGGAAGCATTTGCATTGTTTCCAAAACCAAATCTGTCAACCTATCTTTGTTCCTCTGTAAGCAGTGTGTCTTTCTTTCTTTTTTCTGGCTACTTGTAATATTTTCTCTTTATCACTGATTTTGACTAATTTGTTTATGATGTGCCTTGGTGTTATTTTTCATTTGCCTTATACTGGAGGTTCACTGAGCTTCTTGGATCTATGGATTTTCATAATGTTTGGAAAAATATATTTTTGGCCCTCTTCCCTCTCCTTTTCTTGGAGGACTCCAATTATGTGTATATTAGGCTTCTTAAAGAAATTACTAGTGAGGTAAAGTGGCTCATGCCTATAATCCCAGCATTTTGGGAGGCTGAGTGAAGCAGGTGGATCACTTAAGCCTAGGAGTTCAAGACCAGCCTGGGCAACATGGCAAAACCCCATCTCTACAAAAAATGTAAAAATTAGCCAAGTGTGGTGTCATGTACCTGTTGTCTCAGCTACTTGGGGGGCTGAGGTGGGTGGATTACTTGAGCCCAGGAGATTGAGGCTGCAGTAAGCCAAAATCATCGTGCCACAGCACTCTTGCCTGGGTGACAGGGCAAGACTCTGTCTTTAAAAAAGAAAGAAAGAAAGAAATTACTGATTCTCTGTTTTTATTTTTATTTATTTATTTAATTTTGTCAGATCTAATGGTGGGATGTTTTTAAAATACTATATTTTCTTTGTTCCATTTTGGATAGTCCTATTGCTCTATCTTCAATGTCACTAATCTTTGCTTGCTGTGTTTAATTTGCCACTAATATCATCCAGATTATTTTTTATCTCACATATTGTTTTCATGTCTACAAATGTGATTTAGATTTTTAAAAAATATATATTCTTGCTACAGCTGAACAAAAAAGAATTTAAAAATGGGCAAAAAGTTGAATAGACATTTCTCCAAAGATGATATACAAATGGCCAATTAGCATATGAAAAGATCCTAAACATCACTAATCATTAGGGAGATGCAAATGAAAAATACGGTGAGGCCCGCATGGTGGCTTACACCTGTAATCCCAGCACTTTGGGAGGCCGAGGCGGGCGGATCACCTGACGTTGGGAGTTTGAGACCAGCCTGACTAACATGGAGAAACCCTGTCTCTACTAAAAAAAAATACAGATGTGTTGGTGCATGCCTGTAATTCCAGCTACTTGGGAGGCTGAGGCAGGAGAATCGCTTGAACCCGGGAGCCACCTCCCGGGCAACTAGAGCGAAAGTCCGTCTCAAAAACAAACAAACAAAAAGAAGAACACAGTGAGATATTACCTTATATTCATGAGGATGGGTACTATCAGAAAGACCTAAGTTTACCTACATAACAAAACTGCACATGTACCCTGAACCAAAATAAAAGTAAATTAAAAAAAAAAAGACCTAAATAAACAGAAAAAAAAAATTGCTGGTCAGGATGGGAGAAATTGAAATGCTTGTTTACTATTGATGAGAATGTAAAATGGTGTTGCCACTATAAAAAATAGCAGGGTGGTTTCTTAGAAATTAAAAATAGAATTACCATATGATAGTAATTCCTCCTCTGGACATATATCCAAAAGAATCTAGGCCAAGCAATATCAAAAAGAGATATTTACACTCCCCAGTTAACAGCAGCACTATTCACAATAGTCAAGAGGTAGAAGCAACCCAAGTGTCCATTGCTGGAGAGGTAAAATGTGGTGTATGCACACAATGGAAAATTGTTCAGCCTTAAAAAGGAAGGAAATTCCGACACATGCTACAACATGGATGAACCTTGAGGACATTATGCTAAGTGAAATAAGCCAGTCACAAAAAGACAAATTCCGTGTGAGTCTACTTATATAAGGTATATAGTGTAGTCAAATTCATAAAAACAGGCCGGGCATGGTGGCTTATGCCTGTAATCCCAGCACTTTGGGAGGTGGAGGCAGGCGAATCACCTAAGGTCGGGAGTTCGAGACCAGCCTGGCCAACATGGTGAAATCCCGTCTCTACTAAAAATACAAAAATTAGCTGGGAGTGGTGGCATGCTTCTGTAATCCCACCTACTGGGGAGGCTGAGGCAGGAGAATCACTTGAACCTGGGAGGTGGAGGTTGCAGTGAGCCGAGAACACGCCATTTCACTTCAGCCTGGGCAACATGAGCAAAACTGTCTCAAAAGAAAAAAAACCCAAAAAACAAAAAGCAAAACACATTTATAACAACAAAGTAGAATGGTGGTTTCCAGGGGCCAGGGGTAGGGGGAAATGGAGAGTTGTTATTTAATGAGTAGTTTCAGTTTTGCAAGATGAAAAAGATTTGGAGATGGGTTGTACAACAATGTGAATATATTTAACACTACTGAATTGTATACTTAGAAATGATTAAAATGGTACATTTTATGCATTTTTTACCACAATAAAAAATCCATAACAAATTATGAACAAGATAATAAGAAGTCAATTAACATAATGCCAAAATATTATAATAAACAAGAAGTCTATTAACATAATGCCAAAATATTTTTGGGAAAAGTAACATATTGGTTGTCCCTCAGTAAAGTCCATTTTTAAAACATGTCCTTTCTAACCACATAATTATAAATAAATGGTATTTGTTTTTAAGAAAATATATCTTCCAAGTCTCTACTTAACTTTTGGAGCATATGTAATAGTTATAATTATTTTTAATGTCCTTCTCGGCTAAATCTAAATCTGTATCTGTTCTGTTTCTGTTTCAGTTGTTAATCTCCTTGCTATAGATTATACTTTCTTGCTATTTTGATGTCTGGCAAATTTTTACTGGATTCCAGGCATTTAAATTTTTTGTTTGGTGCTGGTTATTTCTGTATTCCAATAATACTGTGGAGTTTTGTTCTAGAATTTGGATAAATCACTTGGAAACAGTTTGATCCTTTTGGCTCTTGTTTTTAAGGTTTGTTAGATAGGACTGGAGCTGTGTTTGGTCTAGAATTAACTAGGTCTTACCACTGAGGCAGTGCCCTTATATACAGTCTCACATACCCCACCATGAACCTTGAGGTCTTCAAGTCTGGCTGGTGAGAACAGATGCTATTCCCAGCCTTATGGGAGGGACTGCCACTGTTATCTTTCTTTTCTTTTTCTTTCTTTCTTTCTTTCTTTCTTTCTTTCTTTCTTTCTTTCTTTCTTTCTTTCTTTCTTCCTTCCTTCCTTCCTTCCTTCCTTCCTTCCTTCCTCTTTCTCTCTTTCTTTCCTTCCTTCTTTCCCTCTTTCTTTCTTTTCTTTCTTTCCTTCCTTCCTTCTTTCTTTCTTTCCTTTCTTGCTTCCTTCCTTCTTTCTCTTTCTCTTTCTTTCTTTCTTTCTTTCTTTCTTTCTTTCTTTCTTTCTTTCTTTCTTTCTTTCTTTTTTCTTTTTGAGACCAAGTCTCACTCTGTCACCCAGGCTGGGATGCAGTGGCACGATCTTGGCTCACTGCAACCTCCACCTCCTGGGTTCAAGTGATTCTCCTGCCTCAGCCTCCCAGTAGTTGGGATTACAGGCTTGCACCACCATGCCCAATTAATTTTTGTATGTTTAGTAGAAATGGGGTTTCACCATGTTGGCCAGGCTTGTCTCGAAATCCTGACCTCAGGTGATCTGCCTGCCTCGGCCTCCCAAAGTGTTTGGATTACAGGCGTGAGCCACTGTGCCTGGCTCCTTCCTTCCCTTCCTTCCTTCCTTCCTTCCTTCCTTCCTTCCTTCCTTCCTTCCTTCCTTCCTTCCTTCTTTCACTCTTTCTCTTTTGACAGGTTCACACTGTCACCCAGGCTGGAGTGCAGTGGTGTAATCATAGCTCACTGCAGCTTTAATCTCCCGGGCTCAGGCCATTCCCCCACCTCAGCCTTCTGAGTAGCTGGGACTACAGGTGCATCCACCACACCTGGCCAACTTTTAAATTTTTAGTAGAGACAGGGTCTTGCTATGTTGCCCAGGCTGGTCTCAAACTCCTGCCCCCAAGCAATCCTCCTGCCTTGGCCTCTCAAAGACGTGGGATTATAGGTGTGAGCTATTGTGCCCAGCCAGTTACCTCTAATTTTTTGGGTGTTTTTTTTTCTGGCCTCCGATAGTTTCCTCATGTGCATCTGCCGATCAGTCCTTAGCTGAACACTTGAGTGGGAACCCTCTGCAAACCTCAGGAATGTCCTAGCAGCCTTGGTCTCCCCAGATTCTCTGCTCTGTATTCTCAACTCATGGAGTTTGGTTCTACCCAGGTTCCCCTTTCTTTGTGGTGTGGCTTGCAAACTCTCTCAAGGCAGTAAACCATGGCAATTGTAGCACTTACTTCATTACATCTCTCGAGACCACTGTCCTTTTTTGCCTCATATCCAGTGTCTTTCAAACTGTTGTTTCACATATTTTGTCAATTTATTTGGTTGTTTCAGCCAGGAGAGTAAGCCAATCCTTGTTATTCAATGTTGGCCAGAAGTGGAAGTCTACATTTAAACTTTACAGCATGCTTTTATCCTAAAAGTTACTTATGTATTTTGCAGAATTAAAACTAATTGATTTATGTAGTTCTCAAATCAAACCATACTTTTGTTCACCTGAAAACGATTCCTGACCAAGTGGATTGCCCTTTAACAGGAACCCCACTGCTCTCTCCAAGAAGTTAGAACAGAGCTGCATCTGAACATAAACCAAGCTGCATTAAATCACTGTGTGTGTACTTCACAATGACTGGTAAAACACAACTGTAGTTCTAGGTATAGCCACTTGAACGAGAGCAGCAGCGTTAAATCTTTGCCTCACTCAAGTATGGCCATTCTGTGGTTTGCTTTACGGTTGACACGTCAAAGACATTATGAGGAAGAAGATGAAACTCAAAGGTAAGATTTATAAACATATGCTCCCTGCTCTCAGATTAAGTGT
The DNA here is from genome assembly GCF_000001405.40 of Homo sapiens. Lineage (NCBI taxonomy): Eukaryota > Metazoa > Chordata > Mammalia > Primates > Hominidae > Homo > Homo sapiens. The sequence continues at coordinate 99,470,368 of NC_000010.11, read as the reverse complement.
CCCTGAAGACTTCAGCCTAAAGTGGATCTCTCTAAGTCAAAATCCTGATCATGCACACGCTGATGTCTTCTATTTGGACGCCAGTGCAAACTCTTAAGTGACTATGTAAATCTGACGATAGTGAAACACAACCATTTATTTGTTGGTGTTGAATGGGGGAGCTGCAAAATGTGAAGCAGTAATAAATGGAAACTTCCTGCAGACCTAGAGGAATGACAAGGATATTTCAGGCATGTACTGAGGTATTAAAGTATAAGTGTACTATAGAAAGGATGAGGACTCTGCAACCTGGATGCAAATCCTGTCTGTGACAATTATAGCTGTGTAACCATGGGGAAGTCACTTAACCTTCCCGTCTTAGTTCCCACAATACAACCTCCCAGGGTTATTGCAAGAATTAAATAAGATAATATGTGCAAAGCACTTAAAACAGTGCCTGGACATAGTGCACTCCATATAAATGTGAGCTATTGGTATTATCATCATCATTATTGTTGTTATGGACAATTGCAAAGGCAGGAAGGGATGTAGAATGCACGGAGCATCAGCAGGGAAGGCCTCAACAAAGTGGACTCTAAGCTGCGCTTTGACGTATAGAGATTTTCAAGTGATGGAAATGGACAGTGATTCTGGGTGTAGGGAACAGAATAAGCCAAAGTCCAAAAGAAAAAAGTTTGAGATATGCTTAGAGAAAACGTAGGCAGTCTAGCTGAAGTTTATGATGTTGTTGGGAAGTAGAGAGTGATCAGGCTGAAAGGGGAAAAATTACAGGGTTTGGCAACATTTTGATATGACAACTGAAGAAGGAGGTGTTGTATATAATCCAAATATAAGCTGTACATCCACATAACTCAGTCTCAAAGCAACACTGAACTGAAAAAAAGTCTAACAATCAAAAGTATTTTAAAACTAATTCAAAATTTTACTTGCCGTTCTCTAAGAACTTTAAAAAGCATACAATTCATAGTTTAGGAACAATTTTTAAACTTCCCTTTTCTGTCTTTAGTACTTAGAACTCATCAGTTCTGGAGTTTCTCACTCTTCTAACCTCCTACTTTCCATCTATTTTTCCTGGAAACTCTCAAAAGCCTCAGCCCAGGAGGCCCTTGTCTTTTGTTCTTTTCTTTCCTTCCTTCTGCCTCTTCAGTCTTATCTTTGTTTATCCATTCTCTTGATTTTGAATCATGAAACTCAAGGGACCAGCCTGAAAAAGGCTAAGAGGGCAGGCTTAGCCAAGCTATCAAAGACAACATTCTCTTATGAGTAGGTGGTAGAGAGATTGGGGACATGCTCATATTAATACATTTTTTAATTCATCATACAAAGATAACGCTAAGATTTGGAGCCTTGGTGATAAGATAATGGGAGGTATACCATCAAGAAATGAAAGAGCTTTGGGGATAAGATGTTGAGTTGGGCACTGAACATGAATTGGAGCCTAGAACATCATCATTTAGATATAGATGGACAAAAGAAAGCAGGATACGTAAGTCATGGATCTACACAGATTTGAGCATCATCCTGAAATAAGTGATAGTTAATGATGTAGGAGTGAATGAGAAGAGAAATAGAGAAAAAAAACAGAAATATGAGGGTTACAGACAGAATTTTAGACAATATCTGCATTTCAGGGAGAGGACTCATGAAAGGAGAGAAAAATGAGAAATCCTGGTGTACAGGCCTCATCCAGACCAATTCCATCAGAATCTCTGGAGCTGAATTCATGCATTAACATTGGTTAAAACTCCCCGAGTGATTCCATATGCAGCCAATGTTGAAAACCATTGTTCTAGTGGCTCATGCAATGCTGAATGTTTTTAGAGTTTTACAGGAAAGCAGTGGTTAAGGAATGAAGTCCTAGTTCATTGGATTTAAAATCCAGAAACTTCAACACTCTGATTTTGCTGAGGAACTTGAGGCTCTAAGGGACTGATTAATTTTGGACCTTAAACAAGACACTTAATGAATTTCCAACCTACTGCTTACCTCCATTGCCACTGATGCAAACCCCTCTTTCTCCTCTTTTCTTGCTCCAGACTTCCTCACCCTAGTCCAGGTCCTCTACCACCCTTGCCCTGAAACTTCCTGCCCCTAGTTCCAAGGCTGTGCAGTCCTTCCAAAGGCTCTTGGTTCAGGTTTTAGAACACCAAAATCTGTCAGGTTAAAGGCTCATTTGAGGTACTTTCAGCAGCGGCAGACCTAGAGGAATGATCTGCATGGAAATGCTGCCAGAGGAAAACTGTTGAAGGGGTTTTCTCATAACTTTGTGAGCATGGAAGGAAAGTTTTACCTCTAGAAGAAAATGGGAGGGAGGGAGGCATCCAGTATTTTTAGGTGCTGGAGGTAAAGATGCCCTGACTTCTAGCACAGCCCCCTCCTCAGAGACTCCAGCAACGCCCTCCACACTGTTTATAAAGTGGTGGCGATGTCTGGGGCTGTGGTGGTGAGTCCTGCCAGAGCTGACGAGGACACAGCATTTGTGGGAATTCTGTGACTCAAGAGGCAAAGGGTCAGTTTCTTTTCATTGACTGTGTTCTTGCTGCCCAAGGGTTTATCTCTGAGAATCTTGACTGGTTTCCAGGGTCAGGCTTCACCTCCATTGTTATCTGGAAACACAGGAACAGCCCTTTTGTCGTGCCAGAATGGGTGAGACAACCCCATTCCCTGTGGCACTGTAATCACGCTCTTCCCCCATGAGTAAAGTTCCACACACTTTCAAAAGAGCTAGAAGAGGATTTAAAAAAATATGTACAAGCCAGCTCATGTTTTTCTCATGCGTAGACATTTGTGCTTGACTTACACCCTCCTCTATATTTTATTTTCACTGTGGTTCCACAAAATACCCATGAATGTGTTCTAACAATGGAATGCACCCTGGAGCTTGAGGATACGCCTGGAATCCCTTGCAAACATTGGTCTTTCACTTGTCCTCATACACATAAAAGATATGCACGTGTAACCCCTGAACTCGCATATGACTCCAGCCCACAGGCACGCTCAATGTGGGTTCGAGTTACACACATGCTACTTACACCTTGGTTCACAAAACCCCACCTGGAGGTTTGTGTCCATAGGGCCGTTCACTCCTAGCAGAGCCGGCGTCTGTGTTCACAGTCACATGAAAAATACACTGTTAGGTTTCTGAGAAACAAACGGCAACAGAGAAGAGAGCCAGGGCAGCTGAAAGAGTGGAGCTGCTCCTTCCGCCTCTGTCCTGAAGCAAAGCAACCAGGGTGTTTTGGGCGAGTTTAGTGTGCTGGGTTCCAGTGTAGACTCTCATAACAGACCCTGATTTAATTCCAAGGCCATGAGCAGCAATCTCCTCCCCAGCGATGTCTGTTGGGTTCCTCCAGCTGTCTCCAGGGCAGTTCTCCCTCAATGCAAACTATTAGCATTTCCTGTTAAAACATTTCTAATAAATAAATGAATACATCATCTTCCCAACCCAAAACAGGTCTCAAAGCAGCCTTAGGAACTGCTCTGAGCTAAGGACCGACATGGACCACCCAGCACCAACCCACTGGCCCAGAGCCAGTGCTGCTTTTGTTTGAATTCCTGTATGAGTAACTGCTCGGGCTGACGCCAGCCAAACTCAGTGAAATATTATTTTTAATATTAAATAAATAGATGGTGGGGTGTGTTGATCTTTTTTTTTTTCTCAGTAAATTGCAGCATCACAACCTAGAAGTTGGCGCTTGTATCCAGATTTCCTCAGATAGCAGAAGGAAGGTTGACATTCTCTTTGACCTTCCTCATGGAGCACTTACCCCCCAAGAGACAGAAAAGTCCCAGTTGGTGTTGACAGGACCCTATTTGGAGTAAACTGGGACTTTAAATGGTAACAAAGCATATAAACGATCACCAACCATTTTTGTTAATTTTTCTAATTTATTGTTTCCTTTCAATATACAAAAAACATATGCTCTTTTATATAAAAATCAGAAAGCACAGATAAACAAGAAGAAGCTGAAATGAACTACCCTGGAAGTGAAGATTACTGATAAATTTTGGTGACTGCTCTTCCCAGCTTCGAATATTTATATGCATATGTCACACTCAGTGTATGCTGATTTGACAGAAATGGGATCACAATGGGCGTATGTATGTTTGTTACAGAAAATTATTTTGGGGTATCTATTTTTAAATACTCTTCTAAAACTCCACTCTTCAGAGCTACCTGATTATATGAATACACCACAGTGTACTCAAACCATCTTCCATCATTGGATATTAAGGTTGTTCTCAAGTTTTTGTTATTACAGAAAACACTCCAGTAAAGAATCCTTTTAGCTAACTCTTTGCATCCATTCTTAATTGTTTTCTTAGGCTAAAGTCCCTTAAACAGAATGTGTTGCTTTTTTTTTTTCTAATATAGGGTCTTAATCTGTTGCCCAGGCTAGAGTGCAGTGGTGTGATCACAGCTCACTGCAACCTCTGCCTCCTGGGCTTAAGTGATTCTCCTACTTCAGCCTCCCAAGTAACTGGGACTACAGGCACGCGCCACCATACCTGGCTAATTTTTCTATTTTTTGTAGAGATGGGGTTTTGCTTTGTTGCCTAGTCTTGTCTCAAATTCCTGGGCTCAAGAGATCCTCCTGCCTCGGACCCCCAAAGTACTGGGATTACAGGCATGACCCACTGTGCCTGCCCCACCACTCAATAGAATTTTAAGGCTTTGGCTACATATTACCAAATCGCCCTCTGCAATGATGGGAGCATTACTACCAGCAGGGAACCAAAATATTCCTCTGCTTGTACCTCTGCCACACTGCAAGTATTCTTCAAAAATCATCTTTGACAATTTTTTAGAAAAAAAAAAAAAAAAAAAACAACAACCAAAGGGAGGTGAGCAATACAGGACTTTTGCAAGTCTGAGTGGTAGGTGGCTGCAGGGTGGGCAGTGAAGGCGGTCACCCAAAAGGGAGACCCTGACTGTGGTGGCCCTCAGCACGTGAGAAGACACCTTGACATCAGGCTTGGCTGGATGAAAGAAGTGCTCAGAAGCCCCAAAGTGAGGAAGACAAGAGGCTCTACCACAGAGATTCTCAGTGAGATTCATTTCTTTGGAAGGAAAATGATGCTGAGGTCAGGAAGTTTGGGGAGCTCTGGGATAAGGCAAGTTAGACAGTTTCTTCACAGCAGAATTTCTCAGAACCTGTGGAATGTGGATGCTCCAGGAAGCCGACACTGTTTCCTGAACTTATTGAATCACTGATGGCCCTGCTTCAGACCCATCTTTTTTATTTTCCACAAAGCAACCTGTGGATCCAGTGCTTGGTGGAACACACTTTGGGAAACAGTCTGATGCCATAAAGGGAAAACAGTTTTCGCAGAAAGGGCAGCGAAATAGGACAGAAAAGAAAGGATGAAGGAGAGAAGAAAAAAGGGGAGGAGAAAAAGCAAGAGAAGAAAAAGGGAAATTAGAAAAAAAGGACAGGAGAGACACCAAAGGAAATGAGATAAAGAGAGGGAGAAAACAATTTAAGAGAATAAGGAAAAGAAATTGGGAGCAGGAGAAGTATAATAGAGAAGTCCCTTATTACTAACCACCTCCCCATTGCTTTTAGGAGAGATGTAGGTGCCTGTCATCTCTTCCAGGCACAGGGCTCCTACAGGCCACCCCAAACCTCAGCCTGTCACTCTTCAAGGTGCTTTTCTCTGAAACGTTCTCATTTGACAGCTTTTTCCTCAATGGCTATTACTTAAAATGCAAGAGTTCACTGGCAAGGGAAACTCAGATAGAAATAAATGGTAGGCCCGGCTGGGCATGGTGGCTCACGCCTGTATTCCCAGCACTTGGGAGGTGGAGGTGTGTGGATCACCTAAGGTCAGGAGCAAGACAAGCCTGGCCAACGTGGTGAATCTCTGTCTCTACTAAAAATACAAAAATTAGCTGGACGAGGGTTGGCACTCCTGTAGTCCCAGATACTCAGGAGGCTGAGGCAAGATAATTGCTTGAACCCGAGAGGCAGAGGTTGCAGTGAGCCAAGATCATGCCACTACACTCCAGCCTGGGTGACAGAGTGAGATTCCATCTAAAAAAAAAAAAAAAAAAGAAATGGTAGGTCCTAAAGAAACCCTGGAAAAATAGAAAGAAATTCCAAAAATATGTAATCATTATGTCTTTTATGGTTGTTGTGTAGCTTTATGTTGAAGCACAGTAGGACATGACCAAAATGAAACAAACACCCTATGGGCCTACCCACTTAGAAAGCCTGGTTGCCTAAAGAGCCGACAAGGCAAATCGATGGCTTTTGGACACCAGCTGGGCCTTTCATCTATGAGGGCCTGCTTTCCGGCAAACTGAAAACACCAAAGTAGTCAAATAAATGAAAAGCTTAAATGCAGTGTATGTACACAGTCCATAAACCCTTTAGAATTCTGCAACAAAAAGACAATTATTTAATAGAAGCTGTTTGTTATTTTTTTCAAAAAAGTCTCAAGTAATTGCATACTGAAATAGAAATAGGCATTTTGAAATAAACTCATGGTGTGTTCATCCAAATCTGAAGCCCCTAAAAATTTCAGAATTACTGGGTAGGATTTGAAGCAGTTACATTAAGATTGATGTCATATTTCATTAGAACATTGATTCCCAGGCTCTTAATCACCAGGAGTCTCTTTATTACCATTGTTCTCTTCAAGCAGTCACTTATCTTAGGTCATCACTGTGTATTCAAGTCCACAATTGCTCATGGGTTCAATTGGCATCCTGGACTGTCAGGTGGACCAATAACATTCCGGAAATTTCTGTGACTTCAACAAATGTCAATCATAGCGACTAGCATGATACGCCATTAGTGAATGGAGTAGATACTGTTCTGCTCAAAAGGAAAGAACCTTGACAACCCTATCATAGGGAAGGAGTTGGGCCTTCATATTATCAAAAATAAGATATAAGTCATTATTACTAAGTTTGTAAATGCCTCACGAGTCAAGACCCCAAGGATGGAAACGCCTACATTTGAGATTTTTCTGAAAACCTTCCAGCTTTCAATAATTGTGACTTTTTTTTTTTTTTTTTTTTAATTTAAGACGGAGTCTCACTCTGTTCCCCAGGCTGGAATACTGCAGTGGCACGATCTTGGCTCACTGCGACCTCCACCTCCCAGGTTCATACGATTCTCCTGCCTCAGCCTCCCAAGTAGCTGGGATTATAGGTTGCCATCACGCGCAGCTAATTTTTGTATTTTTAGTAGAGATAGGATTTCACCATGTTGGCCAGGCTGGTCTCGAACTCCTGACCTCAAGTGATCTGCTCTCCTTGGCCTCCCAAAGTGCTGGGATTACAGGCCTGAGCCACCGTGCCCGTCCAACACTTTTCTGAGTTGACTCATCTTGAGCCTGTCAACCAAGGACAGCTAGTGATGCCACAAATGTGGCTGTTCTCACTTCCCTGTCTGTGCAGACATCTCCAACCCATCTATATTCTTTCCCATTGAGTGATTCTTCTCAATGTAATGTTCTAAGCAACCAATGAACCAGAGCTGTTACTGCAGATGGAAGTCACTTGCCTTCCTGTATCCCAGGTGATTTGTCCATAAGGCAAGTATGAGGGATACAGGCTCAGATTCTCTTAAGTAGGGAAACTTGAGATGCCATGATAAGGGTGGAAGATACAGACATGAAGGGAACGAAGGGATATAGAGGTCACCTCAAGAATAAGAATCTGGCCAAGCACGGTGGCTCATGCCTGTAATCCTAGCATTTTAGGAGGCCGAGGTAGGTGGATCATTTGAGGTCACGAGTTCGAGACCAGCTTGGTCAACATGGTGAAACCCCATCTCTACTAAAAATACAAAAATCAGCCGAGAGTGGTGGTACACACCTGTAATCTCAGCTACTAGGGAGGCTAAGGCAGGAGAATCACTTGAACCCAGGAGGTGGAAGTTGCAGTGAGCAGAAATCACACCACTGCACTCCATCCTGGCAACAGAGCTAGACTTTATCTCAAATAAATAAGAATCTGACTTCTCTTCCACGCCTATTGACAAGTGACTATAAATCCTTATTCTTTTTGCCTCCTGTGCTCTTCCATGCACAGATACAAGGGTTGAACAAAAAGGTATCAGAGTGAATAGGAAAGGTTAGTCCAAGAACAAATTAAAGGAAACTTCCAAAGTATTCTTGGGAAAATACCCTACACAACAAAAAGGCCAGAGCTTCCTGTTCTCCCAAGTCCTTTTTCTCACATTAACTACTTGGAGCTTGATGCTTCTATGAGAAAGGGAGAGAAGGTGTTGGTGTCATCCTTTCTTTCACTCATGACGAAAGAGAAGCTTAAAGATGATGAGTGATTTTTCAAGATCAAGACTAGGAAAGCATGGTATTGGAAAAGAACTTAGATTTAAAACTCTAAGTCCAGTCCTCTTTCTGATGTACATGTGCTTCTCATATTGGGGTGTGAACATCTCAGGGCAAGCATGGTGGGACTAGGAAATTATTTCAAAGATTTGAGATAAAATGGCCCTTCTCAAAGGTTTTTAGGGAGACATTTTGATATAAAAAATATAAAGGCACATGATGAAGTAGAATACAGAAACTGCATAACTTTTTATGACAAAATACAAGATTTCAAAGATATTGGCACAAATGGTAATGGCTTTTCTGGCTGTACCCTGAGACGTCCTGATGGTGTGCTTTCATTGTTCTCTGCTGTTCTGGTGGAGATGAGAAGTACTATTCTTCACCACAGCGCCTCACTTCTTTCCCTCTTCTCCTCCTCTTCCTCCTCTTTGTTGCTCTTCTTCTTCATGTTTTTAGTTGATATTGCCACTCTCTCAGCACTCCAATGACAGCTTGTTTGCAAGATCATTTCAGAGGCATGATGCTGCTGTCAGGACTGCAGTTGTGGGAGGAGCTGACTCTTCCAGGGGTGATGCGGACAGGGTTGGGAAGAGACTGAGTCACACTCTAGGCTGAGTCACCTTCACTGGGTAAGTGTGGACCTGCAGTTGAACCACTCTGCTGGTGGCATGTACCCTAATATGCCTGTATCAGCGTATTAGTCAGATTGGGCTGCTGTAACAAAATACCATAAACTAGGTAGCTTAAACAATGAAAATGTGTCTTTTTTGCAGTTCTGGAGGCTGCACATCTGAGATCAGGGTGTCAGCATGGTCAAGTTCTGGTAAGGGCTCTCTTCCTGGCTTGCAGATGGCTGCCTTCTTGCTGTGTTCTTACGTGGCAGAGAGAGAGAAAGAGAGGCTTTCTAGTACCACTTTTTATAAGGATACTATTCTCATCTTGAAGGTCCCATCCTCATGACCACATCTAAATCTAATTATCTCCCAAAGTTCCAGTCTCCAAATACTATCACGTTGGGGGTTAAGGCTTCAGCATATGGATTGGCAGAGAGTGGAGGAGAACAATTAAGTACATAGTAATCAGTGAGGGTGATTTAAATTGTAAGTAACGGAAGACCCAACTCAAAGAAACTTCAACAATGACAGGCATCTGTTGGCCCAGGAAACTGGAGGCACGTTAGGGTGGCTGTCAGGAACAGTTGATGCTGAACAGCCTGAACCATGGAGTTCTGGTGTCCATAGCACTGCCTTCATCCTAAGACTGCTTATTCTTTCAGTGTCGAATGTCTGAGACTTCATGCTTCCTAGTTCACTTCCAGTGAACATGTCTTCTAAGTTGAAATTATGTCAGGGCCTCATTCCCACATCAATTACTGTGGCCAGTTAAACCAATCAAAGTTTTTTTCTGGGAGCTGAAGAATCAACCCATTCAAATTCCATAGCTACTTCATAATCTGAGAAAGAAAGGAACAGAGATGGTAGGAGATGATTATGTTGCCCATTACAGTTTTCTCTTTAAAATTGTCCACTTTAAAAAGTTGACTGTGTCTGGTGCATGGTAAGTTCTCAGTAAATATAAGTAGTCTAACTTATATCCTGCCTGTGTATTAGGAGTTATTGTGAATGTCCAGGGAAGGGGTAATAATGATATGGACCCTACGGAAAGCATAAAGGGAAATGCTGTCAACACCTCTCTGAACTCTTACGTTGTGGCAACACAAAGAAATTCAAGAGAGAGGCAGAAGTCTGTGGCCCCAGAAGCTGCATTTGGGGTTTCACTGGGATCACATTGCATCTGTATGCACTTCCTCTTCTACATCTGGGGAGAGCCATTTTCATTATGGAAATTGGCATTGGTTCAAGCCAGCCTGGTAGGATCTGAATTTTCTCTTTACTTAAAACATTCGCCTGAGGTCAGGAGTTTAAGACCAGCCTGGGCAACATGGTGAAACCCCGTCTCTACTAAAAATGCAAAAATTTAGCTGGACGTGGTGGTGCATGCCTGTAGTCCCAGCTACTCGGGAGGCTGAAGCAGGAGCATTGCTTGAACCCGAGAAGTGGAAATTGCAATGAGCCAAGATGGCGCCACTGCACTCCAGCCCAGGCGACAGAGCGAGACTCCATCTCAAAAAAAAAAAAAAAAGAAAAAAGAAAAAACATTTACTATGACTTATATCCATACATCACATTGTAAATGACTTTGGAATATATCTAGTTAACAAGCTGGGAGTCCATTATGCTAAGTGAAATAAGTCAGTCACAAAAAGACAAATACTGTGTGCTTCCACTTATATGAGGTACATAGGGTAGTCAAATTCATAGAGACAGAAAGTAGAATGGTGGTTGTCAGGGAGTAGGGGAAGGTAGGAATGGGGAGTTAGTGTTTAATGGATACAGAGGTTTCAGTTTTGCAAGATGAAAGGCGTTCTGGAGATGGATGGTGGTGATGGTTGCACAGCATTGTGAATGTACTTAACGCCACTGAACCCTACATGTAAAAGTGGTTAAGACAGTAAACTTATGTGATAAATATTTTACTATAATTGTTTTAAAATTAGGAGTCACGTGTGGGATTTCCATTTTTACCTTTTACCATCATTTTTTTAAAAGCTCTTTTCTATTGCTACTTTAATCATCTTACTTGTACAGTCAGCAAAAAAGATGATTTGTTTTTCCACCCCAGGCACCAAGATTTCTTTTTTAAGGTTAAATTTAGACCTTCTAGTGAGGTACTCTAGATTATTTTCTAGATTTACTATGTATTACTTTTCTTCTAAAATTTTCCTTTCCATTTTTGCCCTCTCTGATAGTGGAATTGTTTTGCAGCTCATTTTTCTCCTTTTTCTTTTCCCAAAATTGACTAACTTTAGTGGCTATTAGAGTTACTGTCATTATACATTTTCTTGGGAGGATCAGAACAACCCAGCCAAGTTTTGGGTAAGATATAGCAAAAGCCAAATTCTCCCATGTATTGTGGCTGCAGCCTGAGTGTCACATCCTTCGCCAGGTGCTCAACTGTCACCTACTTTGCCAGGTCCCTTATAAACATGACTTCATTAGCTTGTCACAGCTTCCCTGTGAGGTGTGTGTCTCATTGTCATTATACACCAGGACACTCAGCAAGGTTGAGTAACTTGTTCAAATCTCACAGCTGGTATCCTTGGCCCTGAAGCTTGATAAGGTTGTTTTTTTTTTTTTGTTTTGTTTTGTCTGTTTGTTTTTGAGACAGAGTTTTGCTCTGTTGCCCAGACTGGAGTGCAGTGGCGAAATCTCAGCTCACTGCAACCTCTGCCTCCCGGGTTCAAGTGATTCTCCTGTCTCAGCCTCCCAAGTAGCTGGGACTACAGGCGCGTGCCACCATGCCCCGCTAATTTTTGTATTTTTTTAGTAGAGATGGGGTTTCACCATATTGGTCAGGCTGGTCTTGAACTCCTGACTTTGTAATCCGCCCGCCTTGGCCTCCCAAAGTGCTGGGATTACAGGTGTGAGCCACCGCACCCGGCCAGATCTTTCTTTTTATACTCCACTGCCTCCATCCAGTCTTTGCCTCCTATCAAGGCATTAGGATAGCTCCATCTCTGACCTCCTGGGGCACTGTCTGCCTTTGCAGGGGAGTGAAAAAGCCTGCTGGGAAGAGCTGGTAGTAGAATCCCCTGTAGTAAGAGATGGTTATCCTGGCTTTAGAATTGCCTCCCACCTTATCCTCCCTCCATCTGCCCAGTTCCTCCAGGTTCCCCTAGTTCTCCAGCTGCTGTCACCACATCTAAACCAAAGGACACTTTGATCCTCTCTTGGAGCCAACATGGGTGTAGACAAACCCCCTTATTCTCTGTGTTCAGCAGAAACAAGGATAGCACTTTTCACAAGTAAAGGAACATTTTCTAAGAAAGAAGACAAGACCAAGCTGCAACCAGAAAAGACAAAAGCATCCGAGTAGATGTACTGACAGTGGATGTACTGCTTCTCTTTGTAATTTAACTGCAGTCCTTCCAGAGTGGCTAAGAGTTTTTTTTTTTCCCATAAGTTATTGGAATACACGTGGTATTTGGTTACATGAGACATTCTTTAGTGGTGATTTGTGAGATCCTGGTGCACCCATCACCCAAGCAGTATATACTGCACCATATTTCTTGTCTTTTATCCCTCACTGCCTTCCCACTCTTCCCCACAAGTCCCCAAAGTCCACTGATTTAGCTGCAGTTTTACTTCTCAGTCCCCTCAAGGGGAAGCAGAATCCCAATTCTTTCTTCCTTCCTGGGGCAACAATAGGTCTGAGTGGCCGGTGGACCGCTGCCCCTCAGGAGATAACGTTCACATTTCTCCAGGGTTAAGGTTACATGACCAATTTCCACACGTGGAACTTAGTGTCCTCCTCTCCTGACAAGGGGATGAGGAAACTGACATACTGAGAGGAACTTGACAGGAGTTTAATTCTCAAGACCACTCCCACAAAGAAGATATTGTAAAGAAGAGTTAAGAGTGTGTTCAAATTCCAGCACTGCCCACTGCTAGCAGTGAGACTTCAAGGTAGGCAAACTGTTCAGCCCTTTAAAGTCCCACTTTCCCCATGTAGGGGCTCAGGGAGAATTGAAGAGGTTTGTACACACAGTGCTCAAAAAAACCCCAAAACATTCAATGTTATTAACGACCCTGGGAACTGGGTGTCAATACTCCACTTTTACAATTAAGGTAGGTCGGCTGAGGTCAAGGCCCACGTTCTTTCTATTTCCCCATTGCTGCGGCCCTCATCTGAGCACTTGTTCTCATACTGCCTTGCACCATTACCAGACTCTGCATTTGTGGAGGCCATAATAACCCTAAGTAAATAACTGCTTTTGAATTAAATGCATGAATGCCTGTGTTAGTAAAAGGAGAGGAAATGATTTGAATTTGAGAGACAGCAAAAGTACTTATACCAGAGGCGAATAGATTAATTCATTTAGACAGTTAATATTTACTGAGTATTCACAGGGTACCCAGCCCTATACATGCTGATTCCACAATTTTGGATGCCTGGAGGGCATGGGGAAGGTAGGGCGGGGTGACTGGAAGAATGGGGAAGTTGGTATAAAAAAGTCTGAATTATAATTAATATCCTTCTTTTCAGATAATTATAATCTTCAAGTTGGGTTGAAAAAGTATTGTTGGATTAAGTAAAAAAAGATAATATCATTTGCGATGGCTATATTAGTCATTATTATGGGAAAACATTTCTGCCTCTTCTATCCCCAAATCCTAGTTCATGAATACTTTGCATACTCTCACAAAGCTAGTAATTTTAATTGTAAATTAGTATAGAGTCCAAGTGAAGTTTTTTATTAGACTGTTCCTATGGGCAGAAAGTGACACCATGCCTAGGATCAGGGGACAAGATGCCGGAGAGCAGGACTTCCTGTCTTGAAGATGGCATATGATCCCTGACTTGGTCATTTATTTAATTTAAGAACAGGACAAGTAGCACAGGTGGGAATCCCAAAGGTCACAGGCATCTGCAGTCAGTTTGGGGTAACATTGCCATTGCTACAAAGGCTTGATGCAGTCAGGGTCCTGGATAGATTGGTGAAGTGAGGGGAAGACATGGAGGATTCCAGGGCTGAGAATCCCTCAGTGTGGGCATCTGCAGGTTCAGACAGGTAAGAGAACAGACAGGTTAAAGCAGGTTGGATCACAGATGACACGGTGAGAAAGGACCCATAGGAGCATGAGTTCTTGAAAGTAGTGTTAAAATCAGAGTGAGATGAATCTGGGGACCTCAGTTCTCTTGCAATCAATCTTGACTCATTAAATGGATTATGGCTGATGCAAAAAGGGGACTTGTGAAGGCAGCCTAGTAATGTGCCTCCAAGCATATAGTATTTGAATCCCAATCTGTCACAAGCTGCCTGATAGCAGTAAAGTATGTAATCTTTGGGCTTCCACTACCTCATTTGTAAAGTGGGGATGACAACAGTACTTGCTTCATTTGGATGTCATGAGGATTAAATAACTTGGCAAAGGTTACACGCTTAGCAGTACCCAGCACCTAGAAGGTGCTCAGTACCAGGCAGTGATGATTATTATGAATGCGTAGGACCTAGAGTTGCCACATTTGGTTTGTGCGTTCCTCAAGGGCAGGTTCTATGGTTTTGTCTTTAAGTACTCATCAAATTACTTAGTTCATCACCCTTATTGTCGTTAATAAAATAACTCTCAGCTACTTTGAAACATGGCCTCTGCTTCCAATGGCGACTACTGTCTGATACCGAGCAACCTCTCCGTGGACCTGGAACCAATTCTTCCAGATTATTTCCACCAGCAAAGAGATAGCTGAGCCATGGCAATGTGCACAAGCTATCACGTGAGTCATCCCTGTGCCCATCACATACCGCTACACTATTCCCTGGACCTCAGATCCCAGTAAAGGCGACAGTAGGGAGTACTTCTGAAAGCAGAAGTAGAGAATTGTGGACTCAGAGGGTTGGAAGGGATTTTGAAGGTCCTCCAGACCAACCACCACACAGTAACAGTAAAAGTAATTAGAGTAACGACAAGCAGGAAATGGAGAGTAGTGAAGGGAGGAAGGAAGGGAGTCCTCCGAGAAAAGGCAGTGTAAAGGCCCTACGGTGGCACAACAGAAGCCTTGCTTCTAATTATGAGGTTATCAACTGTTCTCCTTTAATTTGGGTGGCCTGGGATCCCTGGGGAATAGACAGGACATCTCTTCTTCAAATACTGAGGCCTCTGGCTGAGAATTACTTTTGAAAAGAGGCAGCTAGCATTTCTTGTGTATGTTCTCATCAGATAATCTTAGTTAAATTATAGAGATTTATAACTTTTTTTAACCTTACTCTCTTTTGTGTGGCTTTCTTAGTATGTAATGCATGTTACCATCTTTCTTTCTTTGCAGTTTTTAAATGTTAAGGCTCTCTACATCTCATACATTTAGAGTAGAATTTTTTTTTAAAAAAACTCCCTTCATTTTCTTGTTTTCTCTACTCTGCCTCTTCAATTCTTTATATTCTGCCCCTTTGCCATTGTCTTCTTTATTTATTTTCTTTTGTCTTATTCTCTGTTCATCTTGCTCTAATATTGCATATGAGTTTCTATTCAGTGAAGGTTTTCATTGGACTGTTGCTATGGGCAGAAAGTAGTTAGAAAGTATCTTCAGCCCATGACAACTCCATCTGTTTATAGAGAGGGAAAGCTGGAGGTTCAGCCCTGGACTGGAAACCAGGATTCTGGCCCTTCCCTTATTGTGTGGCTCTGACATTCCCTTAGTGCTTTCCATTCTTAGGTCTTAGAATTGAAAAGAGAGAATAAACTAGGGCATTGCTCAGTGATGCGTTCCATGAATCACCTTTTTACGAAAGTCTTAGAAGACACAGCTCCACCATTCAAGGTGCAAGATGTTCCAGGCTGATATTATGCTCTCAGAGAACTAGGTGTCCTAGCTGAAGCCCAGTCTCTGCCGCTCTATTGTCCACAGGCATTGTGACCTTTGTATTTCTGGGTAGGCTTTGCTTTAGAATCAGAGACTTTGTGGGAAAGGTTCTTCAAAGTCATGCAGTCCATCTAGCCATCTGATGTCTGAATCCCTGAATCCAGGGAAGGGAAACTCCTGCTTCCCAAGGCAGCCCAATTCATCCCATGGCCAAATAATAAAGCTGAATTTTCAGAGAAAACATCTCTATGTGGTTGTTTGCTTAGCAGACCCTCCTTCCATTAATTACAAGGTTATCAATTGTTTTCCTTTGATTTGAATGGTCTGAGACCCCTGGGGAATAGATAAGAGGTCTCTTCTCCAAATACTGAGGTCTCTGGCTGAGAATCACTTCTGCAAAGAGGCAGCGAGCACCTCTTGTGGATAATAGCTAGTCTTAATTTTCAGTAGTCATGGCTCATTTCCTTTCTATTAAGGTTTTTGCTGGGTGCAGTGGTGCACACCTATAGTACCAGCTACTTGGAGGCTGAGCATAGGGTGGGAGGATCACTTGAGCCCAGGAGTTTGAGTCCAGCCTGTGTAATAAAGAAAGACTCCATGTAAAAAAAAAAAAAAAAAAAAAAAAGAAAAGAGAGAGAGAGACAAAGGGCTTTAAAGTTATCAGAATACTCAATTAATATTGCATTATTTTTCTTAAATTTAGATATGGAGGTAAAAATGTGTCTCTAGTGCATGGATCCATGCTCATCATCCATAGCATGTCAATGATAATAGCTAACACTTCTATAATAGCTTCCACTTCTATAGACACTAACAATTCTAACACTGTTATGTGCTAGGCACCATTCTAAGCATTTTGCAAAATTAAATCAAGAAAATGTCATTTTTCTAAACAACTTTCCTTATTTGCTTCCCTCCAGGGGCCCAGAATATGATGCCACACCAACAAAAGAAATAATCTGATGTCGTCTAGTCCAATACCAACTTTCCAGATAAGTGTCAGGATATATGCCTCACTGAAGGCCACACAGCTATTAGGGGCAGTCAGATCTCCTGGCATCTGGGCCAGAAAATACCCTGAGCACTTCAAACATCTTAACAAGAACAAGCTGACTATTCGTAACCAGGATCAAGTAAGGTATTTTAAGAACCTGAAATTATTTTATCATAAGAACCAGTCTCATTTTGCTCAACATGTGTGCAATACTCTTCCACAAGATGGCAAAATCACCTTTCTATTTTTCTGAATTTTTTTCTTTAAAAATAAGCCCTTCTTTGAATTTCCCTTTAGGCACTTGTATCATCGCTCTTTCCATTTCCCAGGCTCTTTAAAAACCTTCCTTATGTAGCCAAGTGAATTTTTATTCAAGTTAGGACAGGGGTTTCTGGATTGGGGGCAAAATAGTCATTCGAATTTCTCTACAATTGACTCTCTTATCAGAACTGACAAACACAGTTTGGTTGACCTATTCAAGATCTGTTGGATCTTCCTCCTATGTGGCTTGTGGTGAGGGATCTAAGAGCAGTGGAGGGAGATGCCAGAGAGAGGGAAACCCTGAGTAGAACAGGGACAAGGATGGCATCTTAGCTGGCTGCATAATGAACAGAACACATCCTTAGAGGGAGAGAAGAGCTGGCTCCCTGGCTGTTTGCTTCCATGGAAATCCATCTGATACCTGCTTCTGGGGCTGACCAGAAGCACCATATGGAAACTCACTGACCAATTCTGCTTCTCAACATTTCCTCCCAAGAATCTCTGCCTGTGCCCTCTCCACATTTGGAACCAGGCCTGGCAACATCAATAAAGATGAAAGACTTTAGTGTTCTCAGAACATGGGGATATTCTAAGTCAATAGCAGTTTTTCAATAACAGTTTGATGAATCAGTATGTGGATTACATAGAATATTCTAAAAATCATGTTTGCCTGCAAGAAGTGACAGCTTTATAAACAGCATGGACATGGATGAATGAGTCAAATTCACTTTAAAACATATGCTAAGACAATATCAAAACAATTTTGTTGTATAAGATATTGTCCAGAATGTATTCATTGGGTTTGAGCTTCTTTTAATTTTACAAAGAAATTATTATAGCTATATTTGTTGGGGAAAAATACTGAAGATAGATTGGTTGATTTTTAGTTAGGTTTTGGGCAAAACATGTTTTCTCTAATTATCTGAACTTTTCTCCACTTTAGTAACTAACAAGATGGGATTTGTATGGGTTTTAGAGTCACACACACCTGGGACTTACAATTGTGGGAGCTTGTTTATGTTACTTAACTCTCTGAGTCTCTGCCTGCTTACATGTAATAGTACTTATCTCACAAGCCATGGTGAGCTTCAAATAAGATTTTGCACATAGAATATATTTGTACAGTACTAGGTATACAGATATTCTGTAAAGGTTTCTCTCTCTCTCTCTCTCTCTGTGTGTGTGTGTGTGTGTGTGTATGTGTGTGTGTGTTTGAAGAGAAGAGGAGGAATTGAGTTGAGTATGAATTGGAGGACCGTTCCAGAAATAAAGGATCTGTAAACATCATAAGTAACTAAAAACCAAATACAAACCCAGAAAGGAACAGAGATGAGAAATAGAAAAAAGAAGTTTGGAAAAATGCTGTCAACAAAAGATATTTATTAAATACCTGCATTTAGGGTCCTTTGCCAGGTAACCAATGTATGGGACTGAAGGATAGTTCTTGTCCTCGAGGAGTCTTTAGTCCATTTGAGGATAAAGACTTATTCATGTGTAAAAGACTTAATTAAAATGCAAAGGAATCATTACTGTTGCAGTTGAGAGGAGAGAGCAATCTCTGTATTTATCATGTCTTTGGAGACCATATAGAAGTTCAAGGGTGCTGTGGGCAGAAGGAAAGGGCAGATGTGAACATTTTGAAAGCACCAGCCTGATGAGTCTGATGACAAAGACTCACAAATGTCTACACATTTAGTTTTGTTAAAACAGCAGCGGTGAAAAATTATCTTAACAATCTCGGAAACAACAGAAAATCCCCAAACAATGCTAAGTGGGGCCTGGTAGCCTCGCTGCACTTATGCCAAGGGGGAGGGGATGGGTGGACTAGCTGAAGATGTTCAGTGCTTACTCCTGGCTTCCTTATTCAGTCTAAGAGACACCGACACCGTTTGTAGAGTTATTTATCCAGATCCTCTTTAAGCTCCATTTCTTTCTCTTCCCAGCAGATCCCTGGAGAGATGCCCTTTCAACCCTCCATCTCTGCTAAATGCCTGTTGGATCCCAGCAGTGGAGGCTGCTAGATGGTTGGATTTACTTAGAACAGACTATTATGAAGGTCTGTTAGGGTTGGTGAAAAGAATTCTAGACAAATCTTCCAGGTTAGAAGATAAATGACAGCTCTTCCCAAAGGTATTCCCATGAGAAAGCACAGCCACCATCCTACAGAGGGTTAATAGTCTCCCCCATCTCCAACCCCCAACTTGCTGTCAGAGATCAGCTAATCTGATAATTACGGCAACAAACACAGTTTAGACAAACAAGACCTGACCCTGAGGGTTTGGAATGAAAACATTTACTCTCTCCCTCCCCAGAGAGATGGTGCCTGGAGCATACACACAGAGAGACACTGGGAAAATACCCTTGTACTGGAGCAACAGGGTGAAAACATCTGTGTTCCTGAGCTGCTTAGGAAGATAAAGTTGCTGGGGAGGCGGCTCGGGCGGGGGAGGCAGGAGGAGCGGGGAATGGTGCAGTCCAGGGGTGTGCATTTTGGAGCAGATGGAAAATGTACCCCCATAACTGGAGATGTAAGCAAATTATAATTGATTTTACAACAGAGACAGAGTGAGAGGAAAGGTACAAAGGACACTGATGCAGGATTTGAGTGAAAATCTGGGGAGTGGCTAACAGAAGAGAAACAGCTTAAAACACCAAAGTAGGATTTATTCCCGAGAGCAAGAGAGGAAAGATCTTCACAGCAGTCTTGATTCTAAGCAAATCTAATATCTGCCTGCCAGTGAGGAAACCCAAGTTCTAACAGTCTAAGCTGGCCAGTCATCCTCTTCCTATCCCCTAGTTTAGCTTCTAAACTGAACAACGTGCCCTTTCCCCGTCGCTGCCTGTCCTCAAAAATTATCAAGCTATTTTTCCCCTTTTACTTATAAAAGCAGCTTCCTAGAAGAAATCTTTCTGGGTTGCTTAAACCAGAGATTGTGACTTGGATCTGCCTCAACCTGGAATTCCAACAGTTATTCCTTTCCCAACTCCAGCCTGAAGTTTCCCACATATCCCCGTCCTAGCAGCCACACATCATTTCGGTTTTGCCCATGACTGAGGGTGAGTCAGCCGGCAAACACTCCTTGCCCCTTAGGATTCTCCAAATTAGATCTAGGCATCCACATCCTTGGGGTATTTGCAGATCGCATGTATGGATGCACCAAGCTAAGAGGATAACTGCTGTGACTGATGATAGGATCAAGATTTTAAATGAATTTCATAAGCTGAAAGATGGTCTCAAATCAATAAGAATGCACCAGGAAAAAATGCAAAGCACTGCATTTAGGCCCAAAAATCAATTGCACAAATATAGGATGGAAAACAAAATATAGACCTACAAAACAACAGTTGAAAAAACAGACCAGTTTTTGTTCTACAATTGGCTCAGTATGAGACAGCAATTAATCTATCTGCTTAAATAGTGAATGCAATCATAGTAGGTATTAATAAAAGTATTGTGATCACATTAATAGTTCCCTATGTTCTTAACAAGGGAAAGGTAGGATAGGACTGAACAAATCTTTTTTTTTCTTTTTTCTTCCAACTTTAGCTGTTGGTTGACCAAGTACATGGAGTCCTGTAGGCTGTGCAGAGCAGTTTTGTCTTTTGTTTTGATTTCAG
Organism: Homo sapiens; assembly: GCF_000001405.40. NCBI lineage: Eukaryota > Metazoa > Chordata > Mammalia > Primates > Hominidae > Homo > Homo sapiens. The sequence continues at coordinate 99,449,769 of NC_000010.11, read as the reverse complement.
GTTCAAGTCCCCTATTGCAATCTATACAAGGTCCACCTTGGCAATTGTGAGTGGCTCCCACATCCTGTTTATCCTGTTTATCCCACTTGCTCCTGTGTTTTGAGGCTCAGTTGGCTGCTCCTCTGCTAGTCTGTTGGAGAGTCCTCTACTCCCAGAGACAGAGACACCTCTTTCCAGACAGAACAGTTCCTCACACACACCATGGTCATTTGTTCATTCATATATCCATGGAACATCCACTATGTGCCAGGCACTGTTCCAGGAACTGGGGATTCAGTGGTGAACAATAAAGACAGAGTCCTTGACCTCATCAAGCTTCCATTCTCATGAAGGTAGGCAGGCCCAAAACAAAAACTTTAAAATGTCAGAAAACGAGAAGGTATGAGAAGTTACCTGGTACTTGAAAAACCTTCCACCTTCTGCCTAGACTTTTCAGAATGTGACTTCCTGCTTCCTAACCCAGCTCAAGTTCCACTTTCCCCTGGGAGGCAGAGAACTCCTCTGAGCCGTCATCATCCCCAAACTGTTGCCCAGGGGCTTGTACCACATAATTTAGCACTTAACTGTGCTCTAATTGTTTCCCTAATGCCAATTTTGCTTCCCCAACAGACTGTAGGAGACTGTTAGCTCTTTGAGGTTATAAGATATGCCTTCAATTTAAATATATTTAGTCAAGCTCTAGCTAGGATGCTCTTTAGAGGGAAATGAAAAGCACAGTTCAAACATGACTTTAGGTTTTTAAGCCGATTCCCAGTTAACAGAAGAACTTCTTCCTGTGCTCCTGAAATCCTCTAAAATAAGAATGTAAAGTTAGGACAATAGTTTGTTTATTTGCTGAACTTACATCCCCCAAAGAGTCCTAGACTCTATAAGGAAATCTTTAAAACAACAAACATACCTTAAATCAGGCAACAGCAAGATTAGGAGGGACCAGCAGGAGAGAAACATCCAACAAGCTCAAAGAGGGAGAAAAGGTAAGTACAAAAAATGTCAAATTCCAAAAAATGCTTAGTTTAGAGTTTAGCCCAAAATAATGTTCTTCTGGGCCCCCTCACACTCTGTGGAATCAAAGCAGGCCAAGAAAACCCAGAAACAATACAAATGGTCATCAGTAAAAGACTGGTTAAAGAAGTAATGGTGCCTTCATACCGTGGGCTGGTATGTGGAAAAAATTAAGTTGGTAAAGCTATATACACAGATATAAAAAGTTTGATCATTATATAGTTTAAGAAGCAAGTCTCAGAGCAATATAGATAATAGAATCCTTTCAATTTAAAAAGTATTTGTATATATGTATGTGTATATGTGAGTGTGTGTGTATATATGTATATATATATATATATGTGTGTGTATATATATATATACCAAATTGTTTGCCATGGATATTTCTGGTAATGGGGTTACAGGTAATAGGTTGGGGGAGACAGGGGAATTTAATAACTTATTTTTGCTTTATATACTTGTGAAATGTTATATATCCTACACTTGTTTTATTTAGAATGAGCATTTATTGTTTTGATAAAACAATAAACAATAGAAACAACCAGAGCATTCATTGATCTTTCTTTTGGAGAAGACACACATGTTGTAAGGAACATGTTCATTACTACTGTTTGGTTTGCTCCTTGGAGAATTGTGGGTGCCTTTTGCACCTGTGGGAGCACTTCTGGAGATAAATCCTAAGCATTTGTCAAGGGACTGTACGTGGTTATCCCCTAGGGGACACTCCTAGGGGGAACGAAAGCATATCCAAACTGAAGACATGGCAAGGCACACCAGGGGAGAGATGTGGAGGCAGCTAGAGGCAGGTTTCACAAGTTTGCTTCCTAATGCAACTCAAGGATGCACTCAACAAATGCCTTGACGATTTTTTTGTTGTATAAATGAATTCCTAGAAAAATATGTATAAGTAAAATTTTATATCAACTGTAATTTTAAGCAGCAAGGGAAAACAGTATTTAAGAGGTGTTGAGGTCCAGAGCATGGCTCTGGAATGTTAGAGATGTTTTGAATTCTAAGTTTGCCACTTACTAGCTTTGTGATTTGGGGCACATTGTCACCTCTCATGTTTTCTTACTACCTCTCTGAGTCTCTTTTGGGGACTCTTCCTTCTCTTTCCATTCCTGAAATGCTGGCACATCCCAGGCTGCTGGCCGAGGCCCTCTTTGGTCTTTCCTTGGTAATGTCATCTTCCCATAGCTTCAGTTCCCACTGCATGCGCATGGCACACATTGGCTCAGGCCAAATCTCCTCAGCTACATGCTTTGACTAATACCTAATGAATCTCCATAGACACATAGTAAAACCCTTTAAGGTGTTTTATAGGGTGCTTCTAAATCTGGGTCCAGTGTATCTTGATACAAAATATTTTACATATTTATGGGGTACATGTGATATTTTGTTACATGCATGGAATGCATAAGAAGTCAGGAGTATTTATCATTTGTAAGTGTTGGGAACATTTCAAGTCCTGGCTTTCAGCTATTTTGAAATATACAATACATTGTTGCTAACTATAGTCACCCTACTCTGCAACTGAATATTAGGACTTAATTCTTCTAACTGTAAGTCTATATCCATTGACCAACTTCCCTTCATCCCCCTGCCATCCCACACACCCTTCCCATCCAGTGTACCTTTTCAGTCTTGTTGCTGAAACCTCTCTTTCCTCTCCACTCTAATCATACCAAATCACTTTTCAGTTCTTTGACCATGTTATATGCTCTCTTAACTCTGGGGCTTTGCAACTGCTGTATCCTCAGCTGTGAGCCCCCTTTCTCCTGCTTTTGTGTTGGCTAATTTGTGCCCATATTTAGATCTCAGCTTAGACCTCACTTTTTCTGAGAAACCCCTCTTGATCCTCCTTGTCTAGGCTAGTGTGTTAGCACCTAACCTAGCAATTTCCTAGAACTGCTCTCCTCACACTGCACTGAATGGTTCATTTATACATTTGGATTGCTCTCAAGATTGTTATCACCATGAAAGCCAGACAGTTGTGAGTCCCTTGGTATCTGGGGGGAACTGGTTCCAGGACCCCTGCAGATACCAAAATATGGAGATGTTCAAGGCCCTTATATAAAATGGCATAGTATTTACATGTGGCCCATGCACATTCTCTCATCTACTTTAAATCATCTTTAATTACTTATAATGCTTAATACAATATAAATTCTATATAGATGGTTGCTATACTGTATTGCTATATTTTAATTGTAATTTTTAATTTTTTTTGTCTCAGATATTTTCAATCAGCAGTTGATTGAATTCATGGATGGGGAACCTGTAGATTGGGAAGACCAATTGTATTTGTCTTGTTTGTCACTGTATGCTTAGAGCATAACCCCTAATACTAGCACTTAATAGTCCCATAATAATTGTTGTATCAATTACTGTTATTATGAATATGAGCAAGGTGATATAATGGTTAAGAGTTGAACTCTGGTTTCAAATTTTAGTTCTTAACAGCTAATAAAAAGCAATTGGCTAAAATCAGCAGCTACTATGACAAAGTCATGTGGCAGCATCGGGCTCAGCAGGGACTTTATTGGGAGTTACCTTCCAGATGGGCATCTGAGAAGTTGGCACTGGGTGGTCTCTGGGAGGTGCTTCTGCTTCAGGGAGTGGTCTCTGGGGACTGTTGTTATCTTCAGAAGAACCCTGAAGATGAACTGGCTCTACCTTTAACAGGAACAGCTGCTGAGAACCAAGTCTGGGCTTGGCAGCCAGTGGGGAGGGGAGCTGCCCCAAGAGGTGCTTCTTGAGGGTGCTCTTAGGAACCCTGGCTAGAGGTGCTGCCCTGGGCAGCTGCAGATAGTAGCATTGCTTCTCAAAGGGGCCCCAGGATTACCTGCAGCCAGACTCACCTAGAGAGTTTGTTAAAAATGCCTATTCCTTGGCCCTGCTCCAGATCTTCTGAATCAGGATCTGTATTTTAAACATCTTTTTAGGCTGGGCACGGTGGCTCACGCCTGTAATCCCAGCACTTTGGAAGGCCAAGGTGAGCGGATCACGAGGTCAGGAGATCAAGACCATCCTGGCTAACATGGTGAAACCCCGTCTCCACTAAAAAATACAAAAAATCAGCCAGGCATGGTGGCAGGCACCTGTAGTCCCAGCTACTCGGGAGGCTGAGGCAAGAGAATGGCGTGAACCTGGGAGGCGGAGCTTGCAGTGAGCTGAGATCGTGCCACTGCACTCCAGCCTAGGCAACAGAGCGAGACTCCACCTCAAAAACAAACAAACAAACAAACCAAAAAAAAAACATGTTTTTAAACATCATTTTAAAAGTCTGCTTCACAGATTTTTCTGAGGTATGTTAAGATTATAAGATTGGAGAACCACTGACAGAGGCTGAGTTGAAGAGACCTTGAGATACCAATGCATCTCAGCCTCTGCTTTCTGGAGTGGAGAGGCATTTTTGTTTCATTACACTCCCCTTCCTGAAAATCCAGCAAAATCAGAGTCCCAGGCCCTCTGCGTGGAACCTCAGACTGACTTCTCAGATCTTAAATGGTTGCCAGCCCTCAAAGACCAGCTGGAGGATGTAGCCGGGAAGAGATGTTTGTAAATCAAAGTATAACTTTCTTTGAATTATTAGGCATTATATGTACTTTTCTGAGGAGAACATGAATGAGCATTTGGTTTGCAGGAACTGTCTTGTTAAAAATGATTTTCTTTTGCGAGAAATCTCAATTATGGTAGATGAGCCTTGGTCTGGATTCTTCCTGTTGGGTCCTTTGAGGGCGACAGGGCCATCCCGGCACATTTGGTTGAGGTGAGTGAAATGTTTTGTAGGTGACATCTACTCTCTGTATCTGTCAAACAAAGACGGATGAGCAGGGCCTCGGCTGCCGCGGGGGACATTACCGCCTTGGTTTTCCCATCAAACTTTGTCAGGCTTTGTAACTTGAAGAAATGAAACAGGAGCTGGAGAGGGACAGTTCCTAACGAGCTGTCAGCAGGGCCGCCACGGGCTGGAAGCCTCCCTCTCTGTCGGCCTGCCTCAGCCCTGACTTTGTTCCAATGCCATTAGGGCAAAATCCTTGATTTTCTCCTACAGAAAAAGAAGTGGCCTGGAGCTGAGAGGCACAGATTTATAAGTAGTTTCTCTCATTATGCACTTCCAATGCTTAATCACCATTTCAAAGAGGAAGAGCTATCACAGCAGACTTCGAGGATTTCTCCCTAGACAGGATGCAGATCCCTTCTCCTGCAGCTTAGTCAGTGTACTTTTCTCACTTGCCTGAAATGGAGGCGACCTAACCCTCAGCGAGGCTGAGTTGTAGATGGCTGTCTGTACCCGGTGATTTTTAGGGCTGGGCCGAGGAAGGATTTACAAAGTACTGACATCAAGATTCTTCTAGAAGTACAGTGCTTGCCTGGGTGAGTTTTCCAAGGGAGCAGAGAGGCTGTTAGAGTCAATGCCAAGCATAACGTTGGATAGGGAGGGTATCCAGAGAAGTCAGGGAAACACAGTTCCAGCCATCTTAGGGTCAAGAAGTGACAGGCTCCATAACAAAAGCCCTGCGTGTCCTAGGAGCTTTTGTTTTGAGTTTATATTTAGATTTGCTTTGTTTTTTTGTCAACCACTATATTATTTATTATATAATTATTCACTCAAAATTGTAATATTAAAATAATAGTTTAAATAGTCTATTATCCAGGATTATAGATGGTATGACAGCTGACAGCCCTGGAATATGTTTTGAATAGTTATGCAAGCAGTGCATGAATATGTTTTTGTTGTAAAATGTTTAGAGGTTTACACAGCAAAATGTCCCTTTCCCTTCCATTCCTATTCCCAGATGTAACCACTGTCAACAATTTGGTACATGTCCTTCAATAATCTTTCTAGACGTTTATGTATATGTGCATGTATATATGCACATAGCTTTTACATAAATGAGTTCATATATCACGTATTGTGCGTTTTGTTTTACTTAATAGTATATATCTTGGAGATGTTTCCACAGCAGTACATATAGGTCTGCCTCATTAATTTTAACAGTGCAGTATTGCATCATATGGATGTGCCCTACTTATGTAATCACTCACTAATTGGTGGACGTTAAAACTGTTTCCATTATGTTTGTTATTACAAACAATGTTGCCATGAGCCTTCAGGCATATACCTCCTTGTACACATATTTTGGCAGGACAGATTCCTGGAGGTAGCCTTGCAGGGTCAGTGGCAAAGCTCAAGCCATATTTTTCAAGCAATTTTTAGTCCCTTAGCATTTCTATGTTTGCTTATTACACAATGGATCTAACTCTCCTCATCTCAGGACTCATCTCTATCAATGGTTTTCAACTCTGACAGTATGTTAAGATTCACTTCCACTGAATCAGAATCTTTTGGGAATAGGGCTCAGGCTCTGGATTTTCAGAAAAATTTAGAAAATTCTGAAGTGCAGCAAGGATTAAGAATCATTGATCTAAACAAAATAAAACAGAACTCTAGAACATTTCAAGATAATATTTAATATAACCAATTATGGAAACAAATAGTCATTGATTAATCTTTAATTTACTCTTAAAAAGTTTGAATAAGTCAAGTTGTCCAGGTGCAAATAAATTTTATATTTAATAATTCTATTGCACTTTTATCTTTTGAAAATGCTTTCTTTTTTTAATTTTTTTTTTTTTTTGAGATGGAGTCTCACTCTGTCACCAAGCTGGAGTGCAGTGGCGCAATCTCGGCTCACTGCAACCTCTGCCTCCCAGGTTCAAGTGATTCTCCTGCCTCAGCCCCCCAAGTAGCTGGGACTACAGGTGTGTGCCACCATGCCCAGCTAATTTTTGTATTTTTAGTAGAGATGGGGTTTCACCATGTTGGCCAGGATGGTCTCGATCTCTTGACCTTGTGATCCGCCCATCTCAGCCTCCCAAAATGCTGGGATTACAGGCATGAGCCACCTCACCCAGCCAAAAACTAATAATAATAATAATAATAATTTTTTTTTAAATCTCAGAGCATCTTCCCTTCAAAGCTGTAAGCAGGGTGGGTCAGGAACGGCCTTGTCCATTTTACAGTCCAGGAAGCTCATGGGAGTAAAATGATGCTTCTTTATTTATTGTGCTTGGGAAAAATCTGAGGATCATCTTAAAATGCAGATCCTGATTTAGTAGGCCCAGGGTGGGGCCTGAGATTTTGCATTTCTAACAAGCGCCTGGGTGGCGCTATACTGCTGGTCTGAGGACCGATCTTTGATTAGAGCACCTAGATAAAAGTCAGCTCAATACAAGGGAGAAGGAAATTCCCTGGAAGAAACTATGTGTCATCGAAATGATAAATACTTGCCATAACAAAGAGGTGAAAGGAGAAGGAAATACAGGGTGGGGAAGGGTGGGAGACAAAGAGGCCCTTCCTCTACATCAGTTAAGCAAGGGTGTCCTTCATCTTAGGGTCCATTGCCTTAAACAGGGGCATGTCCTGAATATGACATTAAAGGCATTCTAAGCTATTGGTTGTCACACCATCTATAATTCTGAAACTTTTCCAATATTGTTTCTTGCCTCTGACTATATATAACCTTCCCTTCTGGGGGATCCTGATGGGGTTCATGGACCCTTTAGTTCTCATCGCACTGCTTTCCATGCCTCACTCACAGCCCAATCCTCCCTTGGGGGAACCAGAGGCCCCAGCTCTGAGCTTGACCTGTCTATGCCCATCACCTGCTCTTTTGACACAACGGTCTTCCAGAGGAGACTTTGCAGCCTAGCTCTGGCCCCCATGCCCATCACACATGAAGGAGATGCTGCGTGTCACTTGGGGATGTCCACGTACCACCAATGACAGAGCTGTCCTCTTTGGGCAGTGCCAGTATGTTTTCCTTTTAACCTTTAGAGATTCTTGTCCTATGTAGTATAAGAATAACAAACACAAATAGATGTTTCTGGTTCTACCTTCTCTTGATATTTGTGTCTTCCTTTAACTTGATAAAGATCTATGTTATTCTTACAGGAAATGTCTTATTCTTCACATTTCCCAACAGAAACACAAAGATAAAAGTACTTATATCTTATGAATGCAAATTAGATTTTTAAAGTGATGTTTTTGCCTTTTGGGAAAAAAGCTAGAAGCAATAATAAAATGACAAGACGATAAATTAAAAATATTATTTTTAATGGGCCATTTTCTCTTAAAAACATTGGCTGCCAACATGGACTCCAGAACTTTGTCGTATGTGCAAACTGTAAGGTCTAAGAGGTATAGCTGGGGTAGGAATTAGAAGTGGAATGCTATCCATGCTGGATGGAAGATTCTGAGGGGGAAAGAACTGGCCTCAACTAGATTAATTCCCTCTATTTTATGCTTTCATGGACTTTTTCCATGAAGATATGTGGCACTTACCATGGCTGTAATTTAGTAATCTCAGATTATTAAGATATGTAGCACTCAGATATGGCTACAGTTTAGTAATCTTAGTATTTCATTTGTGCAATACTGTTATTATCTGTTTCCCCATTAGATTTCAATCCGTGAAGAAAGGGATTTTGTCTTTTTGTTCATCATGTTATTCTTAGCACCTAGTGCAATGCTGGCGCATAGTAGGTGGTCAATAAATATTTATGGAATGAATGAATGAATGAATGAATGAATCATGAAAAAAAGAAACACTGGTATTGTTATGGAATGGAGTTAAACTAAGGTTAAAATAAAAACTGGCTGGGCGCGGTGGCTCAGGCCTGTAATCCCAGCACTTTGGGAGGCTGAGGTGGGCAGATCACCTGAGGTTGGGAGTTCGAGACCAGCCTGACCAACATGGAGAAACCCTGTCTACTAAAAATACAAAATTAGCCGGGTGTGGTGGCGCATGCCTGTGATCCCAGCTACTTGGGAGGCTGAGGCAGGAGAATCACCTGAACCCAGGAGGTGGAGATTGAGGTGAGCCGAGATCATGCCATTGCACTCTAGCCGGGGCAACAAGAGCAAAACTCCATCTCAAAAACAAAAACAAACAAAAAACAAAAACTAGCCAGCAGGGTGGGTTGTGCTTATAATTCCAGCTACTTGGGAGGCTGAGGTGGAAGGATTGCTTTTGCCCAGGAATTTGAGGCTGTGATAAGCTATGATCATGCCACTGCACTCCAGCCTGGCAACAGAGACTCCATCTTAAAACAAAAAAGCCTACAAAGCTTAGATACAAAAAAAAGATTCCTGATTGAAAAAGTTGGAGACTCATTGCTTTAGTTATGCAAAAGATTAAAATACACACAAACAACCTTACCCCTTTAAACAATTTTGACATTGTTATGTAATTCTCTGTAGGCCCTATGCCTCTTCCATTTCTAGAGCAAGATGTTTCTGTGTTTGGAACTTGGAAGTGTTGTCATGGAAATGAATATGATGTCAAAAAACAAATACAGTGATTTTATCATAGGAACAATGACCTCCCATGTTCTTTTTAAACACAACTATTAAACCAGTAATACACTAAAACATGATTTTAGAAATATGCTCTACCTCAAAGGGAAGTTGTGGGAATGATTTTTAGACATGATTTGATATCAAATATTCTGACTTTCTGGGGCAAAAGCATAATATAATTTCAAAAACAGTAACACTTTATGCATTCTTACATTTAGTAAGTTTTTACCGTGTGGGATGCAATATGGCACCATGGAGAAGTGACCCTGGAGGCAGACTGTGTTCATATCCCCACCATTGTCTAGCTGTGCCATCGTGGGCAAGTTACTTAATTGCTCTTTGCCTCAATTGCCTCATCTGTTAAATGGAATAATTAGACCACCTGCTTCACTTATACAACTTGAATGAGTTAGTGTTTGTGAAGAACTTAGAACAGTACCCAACATATAATAAGCACTATATAAATTCTTTTAAATAAACCTTTGTGATGTGTTAGACACGTATAAGTAGTGAACTAGTATCTATTAAACACTTGTTGCAGAACAAGTAATAATCATTAGGCAATTTTACATCTATTCTAATTAAAACTCGGATGCAAATATCCTCATTCATTCCTTCAGCCAATATTTATTGTCTGTTCGATGTCAGGAGCTGTTCTCGGTCTTTGGATACAGAATTGTGGGATTCATTTTTTTTCTTCAATTCTCAAGTTCAGGAGTACATGTGCAGGATGTGCAGGTTTGTTACATAGGTAAATGTGTGCCGTGGTGGTTTGCTGCATAGATCATCCTGTCACCTAGCTATTCAGCCAAGCATCCATTAGCTGTTCTTTCTGATGCCCTCCTTCCTCCTACTCCCACCCCTGACAGGCCCCAGTGTGTGTTATTCCCCTTCATGTATCCATGTGTTCTTCATCATTCAGCCCCACTTATGAGAACATGCAGTATTTGGCAGTATTTGGTTTTCTGTTCCTGCGTTAGTTTGCTACGGATAATGGGGATTCATATTTTTAAAAATCACTAATTTATTAACTAAGGAGCATCAATAGCTCCCCAGATTTCCAGATCAACTCTAAACTGTAGCACACCACATTGTTCTTTATTTAAAAATAGTTTCTCATAGTATCTGAAGTTTTAAGTTACTACACACATACATACTTTGCTTTGGAGAATTACTTTTTCCTGTCCTACTTCATTGTCATTGTTAGAAACTATCTAAATTTTCTATTCCTGTGAAGTGTCTCTCAAGCCTGTTTTTAAAAAATTTTTATTTATTTTTGTTGACTCAGCAGGTGACTTGTTACACACGCCTTAGTGGATTCGACTTCCATGGCCACTGTCCTGCTTCAAACCTGTCATTTTTATTTTCAATGAAAACTTGATTTTTTTTTAGGCTACAAAAATAATACATGTGTTTACTCTTTTTCTGTTAAAGCAAAGCTACAATGCATAACTGTATGCCTACATACCTATCTTTGAAAACTTGTATAAATTTCTTTAGGATAGATTCCTAGAGGAGAAATTGCTTGGTCAAATGGTATTATGTGCATTTTGACTGTTATTACCAAAATACAAGAAAAGGCTTTATTCATTGACAGTCTCCCCAATAGTGCATGTCATTGCTCTTTTCCCTCAACACTATTTTTTGAACATTTAAAATGTTTGTCAGTCTAATGGGTAAACATTGATAAATCAGCGTGGTTTCAATTTTATAATGAGGATGATTTTGGACATGTTTACTGGTTATTTGTATTTATTCTTTTCTGAATTTCTTTATATCCTAATTTTTCCACCAATACAATGAAGCTCTGACTATATAACAGATGTGACTAATAAGCATGTTGCAAATATTCTTCCATGTTATCACATATTTATTTATGGTGTCTATAGCCATGCAAAGTCAATTATTTTCTTTATAGCTTCTGAGATTGTGCCATGATTAGGAAAGTCTATTCTACCCTAATACTATGTTTCAAATATATTATTTTCCCTATATTGTTTAAAATATTTAAATCTTATATCCATCTATAATTTATTTTGTGCAAAGGAGAAACCAATTTTTTAATATATCAAACAAATCTGACATAATTGACGGTCACAACATCAGATGAAAATCTGTGCTTGAAAAGGTGCATTGTTTTTAAAAGAGTTAAATACAATCTTGCCATCTTGAGAGTTCCAGAACTCTCTACAGCCAATGCAAGGGCCTTTTCTAGGACAGTTTCCCGTCATACTCCAGGCCTCACACATACCGGCCAAATAAAAATGCTATTGTGATACCAATAGTGATTAGAAATAATACTTTATTTTCAGTAATTAACAAAAGTCAGATATCCTGAAAATCAAATAATTGGCAAGTGAGTTTATATTTTAACCTGATAATTTCCTTCTCATAAATGTTTAATTGTATGTTAGACATAAATCACTCAAGAAAGCATTTTATAGCGGCACCTTCTTTTCTGGCATCTATTTTCAGGTTTATAGAAAATGGCTAGGCCAGGCACAGTTGCTCATGCCTGTAATCCCACCACTTTGGGCTGCTGAGGCGGGTGGATCACTTGAGGTCTGGAGTTCTAGGCCAGTCTTGGCCAACATGGTAAAACACCATTTCTACTAAAAATACAAAAACTTGCCAGGCGTGGTGGCAGGCACATGTAATCCCAGCTACTCGGGAGGCTGAGGCAGGAGAATCACTTGAACCTGGGAGGCAGCAGTTGCAGTGAGCCAGGATGGTGCCACTGAACTCCAGCTTGGGCGACACAGCAAGACTCTGTCTCAAAAAAAAAGAATTCTGGATGAAAAAGTCCTAGAGATGTGTTGCACAACAATGTGCATATAGTAAACACTAATATACAGTATACTTAAAAATGATTAAGATGGTAAATACATGTTTTTTTACCACAATTTTAAAAAGAGTTAATTATGTCTTGTGGTTTATGTTTTTAATCAACCAACAAATATTTGAGTACCTAGATACCTTATTGTGGAGGATACCAAGAAGTGCAATTGATGGTTTCAGTTCTCAAGGAACTAGCAACCAAGTTGGGAGAAAATATTGAGTATACATAAAAGTTAATTAACAATCTCAGGCAATAGAATGATACCAAATGAGGAGAAGAGACATAAAGTCTTCTAGGCAGGAATCTTTTTGGGCTACAGTGATAGAAATATTCATTAGGTACTTAAATGGCTTTCAAACCATTTTAATACATATTTTCTAAATTGACCCTTTTAATAAATCTAGGAGGTATTATCTCCATTTAACAGATGAAATAAAAGCTCAGAGACTGTAATTTGCCCAACTTCACATGGCAGAGCTGGGAACTAGACTCAACGTCTTTCAGTGCTTATTCCTAGTGGGATTTATCTAAATTGGCATTGAAGATTTGCTGCCAAAAGAGTTTTCAGGGTTAAACAGAATCCAAATGTGCTAGGATTACCATGGTTTTGTATTTGCTAAAATTAGAATTATTCTGTCAGCTTGCTAAAGAGCATCAAGTAACTTTAGTAAAAAATAACAGATCATTTTTTCTTGCTGTTTACCGGTTAGGGAAACTCAAATCATACTGTGATAGAATGACGACGAGCATACAAGGCTTCAATTTCACTACTTATACACAGCCATTTAGCCAACTGCAGTCCCATGAAAGACATTCTTTACCCATCTTGTCTGACACCACTCCTTAAAGTCATAATACACATACTGTATTTGAGCTAGTTCTGACCTGACCCACGTATGACAGAGAGCAACACTAACACAGCAGAATAAAGGCAGTGAATAAGAATTTAGAAGCACTTATCAGGGCTAAGACTATATGAGTTACACACATTTTTTAAAACTACATCCTGCTATTTCAGTAGATTGACTTCTATCCAGAACGTGCAGGAGCATTAGGTCTGTTCATACAATAACCCTATCTGATTACCCAGGGTCAAGCTACTGTTTATCTTTACTAGACAGAACCCATATCCTGAGTGGGGGACCTCAAACCTTCCGTGTTTTTTGCATTACCTGGTGCACCACTTCCAGGTAATGCAGGCTCTGACATTCTTTATACATAATCACCTAAACCATAATAAAAATACTCCAATTTTTTGTTTTTTTTTAATGGTAAAAGTAAACACAGACACAGGGGTCAGGAGCTTTGCCTTTATTTTCCTTCTCAAGAGTGCTCAACATTTTGCAAAAGAAGGATAGTGCTGCCCTCTACTGCTCAATGTTGAAATATTATTAATAAACGAGGTTCCTACTAGCTTTGTGTACTAGATTACCACAATTTATTACACTGTTTTAAACGAACCCTTTAAGAGTTATTTAAAAGACTGTGTTCTTGGCAAACACATTGAATTTGTTTCCTTCATTATCTCTTCATATACCTTCATCTTGTACCAAAGAGTAGGATTTTAGGACACGACACAACCAAAAGAAGGACATTACAACTTTGGGGAAGAAAGCTTAACATGGCTCTAGAAGTAAGAGACTGTACTGGTGATCCATTTAAGGAGAAACGGGGCAAGGAGAGGAAATTTTCTTCTGACTTCAAGGTCTGTAGCCTTCCCATTCTTCTGTTATTTGGAGTGTCTTCATTTGTTTTTTTGCTAAGGCAATCCATTTCCTTCTTTCTGTTTCTTTGGAGAAGGCTGCTGCCCCAGGATGTGGAGAGAATAGTGTTTCTAAAACATTTTTCTATTCTTCAGAAAAAGATAATATAGCTATACAAAGGGCTATCATTAACATTTACATTTTAATTAATTATTAATAAAGTTGTCTTATTACCTTTAAATTGCCTTGAGATTTTATAGATCTCTACAAAGACTTCTTGGAGGGCTCTAGATATTTTGAAAATTGTGTTCTCTGTTTTCTTTTCCATTTGAAAAATATTTCGGAGTACATGCCTGCAAGGGGCCAGATCAGGCAGACTTCAAAGAGAGTTTGCCTAACCATTAGCACCCTACAGCAACCCAGGGACGAATTTCCTCATATGACAATAGTAAAAACAATAATTTCTATAACTGTGTTAAATGTGTGTATATCAACACTAAGCAAAATTCTTTTTAAAAGTAAATTACATATAAGAATATTAAAACTCAGACACATCAAGTAATTTACTCAAAGTTTCAAAACTATAAGAGGCAAAGCTAGAATTTGACTCCAGGCCCCAGCCTACGTACTGTTCTAGTATACCGCTAGTAATTTAATAAAAAAGCTAAACAAATCTCAAAGGCAAGTGCTTGTAAACAACATCTGTGATGATAATAACGGTCCCAGTTAATACCTGAGTACTAAGTGTCAAGTACAATTCAGTTTTGTATGAAATCATTTAATTAAATTAAATCATTTAATCCTCATAGCAATCCCATGAGGTAGAACTATTATTATTCCCAGATGAGGAAACTGAGGCATACAGAGGCAATCTAGTTCCAGAGGCCATGCTTTTAACCATTATGCTAAACTGTTTCTTAAGCAACATACGAAAACTATACAACACAATTTCTAAATGGTGCCATGGAACTTAGTCACGTTCAACAAGTAAGTAAAACCATCAGTAGTTTTCAGTCCTATTGATCTATCTGTTATACAAAGATTTCAGCAGCTTTAAATAAAGTTCTGCATATGTGGGTACTCAGTTCAGGAACTAACCTTAGACCGTGTCCACTCTATGCCCTTCTATGAGGTAGGAAACAGAAAAATACCCTCACTTGGTTCAATCCATGTGTGCGGATTATGGGAGGAGTCATACGTAAGGGAGGGAAGGAGAGAACTGAGGGAAGAGAAGGAGACATGATTCCATGAAGGCACACTCACGAAACAAGCCAGTGAATTTGAGAGGAGAGGTGATAAAGGATCACTTTCCTTAGGAAGAAGAGTAAACTCATTACAGTGGGAGAACAGCAACACCTCAGGAGCCCTATGCTTATCTTATCGCACACTATTTAGCCACACTGTGCCTCTATAACAGATCTCATACGGCTTTGGTTTTTAAAGAAACATTTGCTCAGCACACAACTCAGCTTCTAAATAATATCCTACCCATAGTGCCAGCACTCACCCAAATATAACGACTCCAAAGAATGACAAACTCATCCCTCCCCTGACTTTTTCCTAAGTTTAGACCTTCGGGTATTCAGGGGCAAGACTGAGTAAAATAAGCATGTGTGGCCTGGTGCAGTAGCTCACGCCTGTAATCTCAACACTTTGGGAGGCCGATTGCTTGGCCCAGGAGTTCGAGACCAGCTTGGCCAACACGGCGAAACCCCATCTCTACAAAAATTAGCTGCGCATGTTGGTGCACACCTGTGGTCCCAGCTACTTGAGAGGTTGAGGTGGGACAATCACCTGAGCCCAGGAGGCAGAGGTTGCAGTGAGCCAAGATCGTGCCACTGCACTCCAGCCTATGCAACAGAGTAAGGCTCTGTCTGAAAAAAACCCAAAACACCATCCACATGCAGATTTACTTACAGGTTCATGCAGTGCTCACTGCTCTTCTTGCCTGTCCAGCCCTGCAGGCTTCAGATTTCCAAGACAGTATGTTCTAAAGGAATTCATTCCAGGTGATGCTGTTGCTATATGGGTTCCCAGTTCCTCTTTTCCACTTCTTTTGAAGAAAAGGTTTCAGGGACAGGAGCAGGGGAAGGCAGAAGAAAGATGCTAGGAGGACTTCTGAACAGACAGTCATAAGGAAGGCAGGAGGCAGTGAGAACACCAGGCTCTTTCTCTTCTGACCCTTACTGCTCTTTCCCTGGACACTCACTTTATCTGGCTGCCTACCTGTCTGGGCAGCATCCAGCTCTTGAGTTGTTTGCTTGAATTATCCATTCAGCAAGGAGGCAGTGTTGAGTCAATTCTAAGCAATTCTAAATTTAAAGTGTTAAAATTAGCGATGACTTGGAAAGCATTCTGTTTATTTCAAGACTGGCATTAAATTAGAGGGGCAGCCTACAAGGCTCAAGACAGAAAGGTACTGCACTTAATCTCCAAGAACCTCACACTCCCTAGGAAAGCAGTTTGAGACTTGGATCCTACATAATATATAGGCTTCCTTCTCCCCCAGTAATTGCCTTTTAAAATTCAGAGCAGATATTGTGGGGACATGGAGAAAAACTGCACATGGCACCTTCTTTGTCCCTATCAGCATTGGCTTGATTATGGGGCGGCTTAGGATGTTAATAAATATTTGGTCTTCGCCAACATTGTTTAGGTAACCTAGGGTTGTTTTTCTCCCAGGGAATGACGTAGGGAGTGACCATGATATTGCTGGCCAACGCTGTGAAGATCATACTTTTAAATCAAATTCTGGGAAGGTTAGGCTATACAATGCCCCCCTCAGCAGTTGCCCTCTGCCCCTGCTTTTGGAAGCACTGAAAGTTCGTTGTCATTTGACCTTCAGTGTTGAACTTGTAATGCTTAAAATGTTATTAGTGAAACACTGTGGGCAGTTACCTTTAAAACCAGAGGCAATGTTTTGGAAAAGAAATAGATAACACAAAAAGTTGACGGATGTTATACAAAGTTCTTTGGCTTGTGTTTATTACTCTGAATGAAAATTCATTTTAAGATTTATAGTATTATCCAGTGGAGAGGGGCTGTGATATTGTTTTCTTCTGAAACACCAAGAGAATTGACTCTTCTACCATTTGTTGAAGGCTTAGTAAGTGCAAGAAACCTAGGGAGACTCACAGGTCCCTAGCCAAAAGAAGCTACATGGCCAACAAGCATATAAAATACTCAACATCACTAATCACTAGAGAAACCCAAATCAAAACTACAATGAGATATCATCTCACACCAGTCAGAATGGCTATTAATAAAAGTCAAGAAATAACAGATGCTGGTTTCTGGTGAGGTTGTGGAGAAAAGGGAATGCTTATACAATGCTGGTGGGAATGTAAATTAGTTCAGTAACCGCGGAAAGCAGTGTGGCGATTTCTCAAAGAACTTAAAACAGAATTACCATTCGACCCAACAATCCCAGTATTGGGTCTATACCCAAAAGAATATAAATCATTCTACCATAAAGATATATGTACATGTATGTTCACTGCAGCACTATTCACAATCGTAAAGACATGGCATCAACCTAAATGCCCATCACCAGTAGACTGAAGAAAATACGGTACATATACACCATGGACTACTATGCAGCCATAAAAAAGAAAGAGATCATGTCCTTTGTAGCAACATGGATGGAGCTGGAGGCCTTTATCCTAAGTGAACTAATGCGGAAGAGAAAACCAAATACTGCATGTTCTGACTTGTAAGTGGGAGCTAAACATTGAGAACACATGGACACAAAGAAGAGAACAACAGACACTGGGACCTACTTGAGGCTAGAGGGTGGGAGGAGGGAGAGGATCAGAAAAAATACCTGTCAAGTACTATGCTTACTATCTGGGTGACAAAATAATTTGTACAACAAACCCACATGACAAGCAATTTATCTATAAAACAAACCTGTGCATGTATCCCGAACCTAAAATAAAAGTAAAAAAAAAAAAAAAAGCAGTTTACCATCTATGAAGGGTGTGGCAGATATGCAATGTTAATAATAGCTGACATTTAGAGAGTCCTTCTTACATGCAACTAACCACTTCGTAAATGTATTAACTCACAAACTCCCCACACCAACTCTGAGGAAAATACTATTATTTCCACAGAGCAGGAACTTCCACAGAGAGGTTAAAATAACTTGACTAAACCTGCCCAAATTCGTAAGCGGCAGCCAGAATCTAAACCTAGATAGTCCGGTCCCGGAGATAGGTTTTTAACCACAAAGGCATTTTCTAAAATTGTGAAAGTACAGAAGCACAGGAAAGAGACATTTTGGCCAGATAAGGGTTAAGGGAAGGCTTCATGGATGAAGTGGCATTCGCTCTGGGTCTTGAAGGTCAGCAGATGGAGAGGGCTCCTGGGGAGGAAGGACTCTAACGGGGAAGGAACAGCCTGACGAAGAGGAACTTTGGGTACCAGCCAGCTGACGACAGCAAGATCTGGTCCGGTGCGCGCGGGAGGAAGCTGGGAAGGGACGTCGCGCCCAGATCCCGAGGTCCTTGAGGACCAGGCCCTCTCTGCAAGGAATCGGGGAGGAAAATCTCAAACTATTAATAGAAGAGCGGCAAAAAGGAATTCGTGCGCACCCCTCTCTGTTGGAAGGACCTTCCCTGCCAGAGACCAAGGCTGGCAGGACAGGTATACTTCCCTCAGGGGGAAACAGCCGACAAAGGTGGTCAAGGTCGCCCGCGCAGGCTCCGGAGCTGCACGTCCTGGACGAACACTCCCGTCCCGAGCACAGACGCTGGGTATTTGGCTGCCAGCCCGGGCCCGCCAGGCCGGGCCTGGCACCGCCAACACCTGCTCGGCGGGAACAGGAAGACCTGTGTTCGGGAACTCCCTCCGGCCACCTCCCCGTATCCTCCTGGCCCTCGAAGGTCGAAAGGTGGCCTCTCAGGGACACCCGCCGCTCGCTCGGCTCCTCCCCTCAGCCGGGAGACCCAAGGAATAACAGCCTCTGCGATAGGAGCACGCTCTACCAATCAACCGTAGTCTTCGCCCACGCCTCAGCCGGAGGAAATTGCATTGGTTGCATC
Organism: Homo sapiens; assembly: GCF_000001405.40. Taxonomy (NCBI): domain Eukaryota; kingdom Metazoa; phylum Chordata; class Mammalia; order Primates; family Hominidae; genus Homo; species Homo sapiens. The sequence goes on along the minus strand of NC_000010.11, from coordinate 99,430,815 downwards.
ATTCTCGGCAGCCGATAAATTGTTTTCTTGGATTGGCTAATAGCGTTCCTTCTCCCCTGTGCCTTCGTCGTCAGAAGCTGGCGATTGGTTAATCGCGTTGCCAAGCTTTGGACGCGGCTCGACCATTGGAGGCCGCGGGCCCGCCCCCGCCGGCTAGGTGAAGGTGAGTGTCTCCTCCAGTCGCAACGGCCAGACCTGACCTGCCAGCTCCGGGCGTGGGGTGAAATCTCTTGATTCCTAGTCTCTCGATATGGCACCTCCGTCAGTCTTTGCCGAGGTTCCGCAGGCCCAGCCTGTCCTGGTCTTCAAGCTCACTGCCGACTTCAGGGAGGATCCGGACCCCCGCAAGGTCAACCTGGGAGTGGGAGGTAAGGATGTAGTGCTCTGGAGTGTGAGCAGCTCGGGGAGTGGAGCGGACCCAACCCAGGTCGTGGAGACTGTGGGAGAAGCCGAGGCCCAGTGTGGCGCTGCCTGAAGAGGGCGGCGCCGGAGAGGAGGCTGGATCCACGAAGGCTTCCTAAAACCTGCCCATTTTACAGATGCAGGTGTGGAGTCCCTGGAAAGGGGCGATGTGTCCGAGGCCGCACAAACCAGGTGTAGCAGCCAAGACACAAACTCAGTCTTTCCGATTCCCCATTCTGCCTTCTTTATACTGCATCCTCCTAAGAAATGAGGCTGCCGGAGCTTGTAGAGAGAGGTAGAAAAATAGGAAGCCTGATAGGCTTAGGGTTCTGGTTGCTAGGAAATGGGTAAAGGAGAACTTTTAACGCTAGAAAGCTCTGTTCTGAGTCGGTAAATATTTGAGTGACCACCGAGTATCAATCAGCCACCTTATTAAGCTTTGTAGGGGGAGACTGAGGCTTGATTTTGCCCTTAAGGATTTAAAAATCTGCTGGTGTTACACAATGCTTTGAGACAGGTTAATGCTGCCCCCGGGGGGTCTGGGGAGATGGTTCTGGCCGTCACAGATGTGGTAGGAATGGGTAGAGATGGTGGAAAGGAGTGGAGAGAAGTATGGATGGTAGAAGCTTACTTTCCACACATCCTATCTTCATTTCTTGATTCAAGTGATTCTCTTCTGTACCTTGGACAGCTCAGAGCATGGGCCTCAGTTTCCCCATCTGCCAAGAAGATTTATATTGGAGTGCCTCTCAAATTTTTTACCCCTAACCCTCTCTGATGAATTTGTTATTCTTCTCACTATCATTTGGATGTTTGAAGCCCCACAGACACTTATTTTCTCCATTTGGATTTTGCCACGTGCAAAGACCAGCCAGAGAGATGAAAATGGGTAGGATAAAGTCTTATGCTAGGTAATAGACTTAGAATAAAAGGACTAGAAATTGTGGAAAGAGAAGGTGGAATCATTTTGTAGCAGAGTGTGACATGAAGGACGCTCAGAATCAGGTTTCTCATAGATAACGTTTTGTCTGTGCATAGCATTTGTTAAAAAAAAAAAAAAAAAGTCGGCCGGGCGCGGTGGCTCAGGCCTGTAATCCCAGCACTTTGGGAGGCTGAGACGGGCGGATCACGAGGTCAGGAGATGAGACCATCGTGGCTAACACGGTGAAACCCCATCTCTACTAAAAATACAAAAAAGTATCCGGGCGTGGTGTTGGCCGCCTATAGTCCCAGGTACTCGGGAGGCTGAGGCAGAAGAATTGCTTAAACCCGGGAGACGGAGGTTGCAGTGAGCCGAGATCGTGCCATTGCACTCCAGGCTGGGCGACAGAGCGAGACTCTTTCTCAAAAAAAAAAAAAAGTCTTCACTAAGGAGTATGGGGAGGGGTAAGGAAAAATCCATTGAAAAGTGATGGTTTGTTGAAGCGGGTAATTTGTTGAAGCTGGATGATGGGTACATGGGCATACGTTATATTATTCTCTCAGCTTTTGTATAGGTTTGAAATTTTTCATCATAAAGCTTTTAAGATAAGTCAGTACTACATAGTTTGGCCCATTGAGGGAAAATGATGTTTTTAGCAGGCAACTGAGTGGGAGAAATGTTGAAAGATTGCCTCAAATTGAATTTGAATGGACACCATTTGGTCTCTTAATTTAAAACCAGTCCAAAACCTCCAAGCGTTTCTTTGCAGCGGGATGTATACAAAGAACTAGTATTACTGTCAATCTAAATACATCTTTTTAAAACGTCAGATTTTGCCTGCCACGGTGGCTCACGCCTGTAATCCCAGCACTTTGGGAGGCCAAGGCAGGTGGATCACCTGAGGTCAGGAGTTCGAGACCAGCCTGGCTAACATGGTGAAACCCCATCTTTACTAAAAATACAAAAATTAGCCAGACGTGGTGGTGCACACTGGTAGTCACAGCTACTTGGGAGGCTGAAGCAGGAGAATCGCTTGAACCTGGGAGGTGGCGGTTGCAGTGAGCCAAGATCACGCCATTGTACTCCAGCCTGGGTAACAGAGTGAGACTCCGTCTCAAGAAAGAAAGAAAAAAAAAAACAAAAAACCACGTCAGATTTATTTTATTAATTCAATTTACCTTTGAACTATCTTACAGGGTTTCTGTGAGGATTAAGTACATTTAAAGTGTTTATAGCTGTATTTGGCACATAAGTAGGATTTATATAAGTGTTAGGTATTACTGTTATTGTTGTTTTGGCATTTCTTTGAGTGATTCTCATAAAAGATATTGAATAAAAATTTTCAGTTCAAGAACTGCAAAATGAACTAATTTATGACCTTGGTTCAGAAATAAACTGCTCCTGCAGAGAAAAAGCACCCCGACAGCACAGGCCAGAAGCAATGGACTCAGAATTGGAGTCATTGACTCAGACGGCCACCTCAGCTGTGAAGGTGCCTTTGTCATGTTTTCCAGGAACTCCAACTCCTTACCATGAGCAAATTATTTATGCATGTAATCTCACTGAATGCTCACAACTCTGGAGGGTGGTTTATTACTATTACTGTTTAGAGGCAAGGAAGCCGAAGACTGGAGAGGTGAAGCAATTTGCCCCAGGTCATTTGACCACTGGGTGGTAGAGCTGGGAATCCAGGCCAGGTCTCTCAGGCCTCAGAGTCTCTGCCCACACCTGTATTTCAGGTACCTCCAGGTGGTAGCCAGTACACTGTAGTGGGAAGAGCCAGGAGACCTAGGTACAGGCCCAGCACCGTGGTCCAGCCATGTGACTTGGAAGGGTTGTTTAACATCCCTGGGGCTCATCTGTTAAATGAGGAGCCAAGATTGAATGACCTCTCTCCCAAATTCTACTCTTAAGATTCTACTGGGCCAGGCATGGTGGCTCACGCCTGTAATCCCAACGCTTTGGGAGGCCGAGGCGGGCGGATCACGAGGTCAGGAGATTGAGACCATCCTGGCTAACACGGTGAAACCCCGTCTCTACTAAAAATACAAAAAAATTAGCAGGGCGTGGTGGCGGGCGCCTGCAGTCCCAGCTACACGGGAGGCTGAGGCAGGAGAATGGCGTGAACCCAGGAGGCGGAGCTTGCAGTGAGCTGAGATCGCGCCACTGCACTCCAGCCTGGGCAACAGAGTGAGACTCCGTCTCAAAAATAAATAAATAAATAAATAAATAAAAAAGATTCTACTGTACTAAAAGTCAACTCCACAATTCACTAGCACATTCTATGACTGTAGCGTAGGATAATAATTTTACTGGCCTCATCAGTTGTCTGAGGATTAAATGAATAATTATATGTGAAATGTGATATATAAATGAAAAGTGTCATATATAAGTGTTATTTTTGATCATCACTGTGACCCGTCTTTTTGTGGATAGCAGGTGTTTGGATAAGGATCTAATTAGAGTAGAATAAAAGGTCTCCTTCCAGCCGTTATATGTCCTAGTCTTATTTATACACATCCCCAAGTATACCCCTTGTGAAGAAAATGTAATTAATCATTGACCTTAGGGAAGATACTTTTTTTCCCCCAAGTTAATATAAAACCTAATGGAGGTTATCTAGTTAATGTTCCAGTGATTTTGGACACGTTTAGAATAAACTGCACCTGTAATCTCAGACAGTTCCTACTTGCAGCTAGTTTCCTCAGTTTTTCTTCTTGCTGTGATGATTTAAATAATTTCCTTATAGGTAAACAGAGGAGAGTATCACATTTTCCACTGCTAAGCACAATGCTTTCTAAGTTGATCATTTTAGTGCTTCTCAAAGCTTCAGACTGAAGTGGTTTTAAGGACATGGGAAATGGATCCAACCTGGTGCAACCTGTAGCAAGAAGTTTCTTCAAAGACTCCAGTCCATTTTTTCATGTGAGCCTAGCTTTCTTTTGGCCCAGATAAACTCTGCTAGCTTTAATATTTCTTATTTTCAACATGGTTTCCTAGCATCTTCAAATAAAATAGTTGGGAAAATATGCTTTATCAGATGTTTCTGAGTACCCCTAGCCTTCTCCCCAGTATCCTAATAGGCTCTTGAGTGGGGATAGGTGAGGGAAGTGGCGATCTTAGGAGGAAGATGAGGGTGATGGTTTGACCATTTAAATCTGTGTTCTTTCTTCCTTTCCTTCTGCAAAGCAAGACTGCTGGGCCCACCTGTAGACTGTGTGACTCCCCTAAAAGGGTTTATGTCCAGGAAGAAGAGCAGTGGGGCATGGAGCTGGGGAGCATGCTGATAAAAAGGCCCCTGACATGGTCCCAGGGGCCTGCTTGCTTCAGGCTTTCTCTAGACATCTCTTGCTTTTAAAAAAGCACATGGATCCATGAACTTAATAGTATGACAGCCTAGCTCTTGTTATCTCTGTGATCCTGGGCAAATGGTTTGACTTTTCTGGCTGCAGCAGCCAGATCCTTAAAATAGACATCACAATATCTATTTTGTGGGTTGCTATCCAAATTAAATGAGAGTAAAGAAATGTATTTAGTGCAGTACCTTGTATGTACAAAGTATTTAGTAAATCCGTGTTGTTATTTCTCTGCCCTCAGGTTCCGTCAATGTCTTTCTCCATGCCCCAGACCTCATCTCTGAATGTCAGGCCTACAGTGGACACATCCTACAACTCCCTCAAATTCAGCATGTTCAAAGCACAGCTCATCATTTCCACCTTCCCCTTGATCTTTTCTTCTATCTTCCCCTTGTGTTCTAGGTCTTGGTCGACCCCACTACCACCATCCACTCATTATCCAGACTTGAGGGAGACCTTGGAGTCAACAGCAGCCCTTTCCCCAATCCCCTGTCTTTTTATTTGGTCAATAGGTTCTGTCTTTTCTACCTCGAATCTATTTCCAATGGCACCCCTTTTCTTCATCCCTGCTGCCATTGTGTGAATTCAAGGCCTCATTATTTCGCTTCTGGAATATTGCAGTAGCTTTCTACTCCTTCTACTTCTAGTAACTCACCCTTCTTAACTACTGTCTCTGTCCTTCTCTCTGGTTTATTTTCTGTGGTGTCACTCAAATGATCCCATTAAAATGTGCAGCTGCTCATGTTACTCTCTTGCTTAAATGCTTTCAGTGGTTACCCATTGAAACTGAAGTTCCCTAAAAGAGACTCCAGGATTCTTTTAGCCACTCCCAGCTAATCCTTAGTGGATTCCACATCAGAGTCATGAAAATGCAGATCCTCAAAGACCTCATGCTCCCCAGGCCTCTGGGGCCTTGCACAGGTGTGCCCTCTCGCATGCCCTTCTTCCCTTGTTTACCTTTTAAACTCTTATTCATCTTTCATTCTTCATTCTCTGTAAAATCTTCTCTGATTCCTCAAATTAGAATTAAAGGCTCTATCTATGCTCTGTGTTTCTTGGAGGGCAGATGGGATCTTATTTTATCAATCTCTATAGCTTCTACTAGCCAGTGCCTGGCTCATGGTGAGACTTAGTAAGTACTTGTTATGTGAGCGAGTGAATGAAAGAGTGAATGAGAAACTCAAGGGTCCAACAAATAGGAATAAAAATTCTTGGGGACAGCAGGAATAGTGGTTGTTGTTAATGCCTGACCCCACTGCTCCAGTCACCCAAGAGGAATCTGGTTCTGCTTCACTAGGGCAGTTAGGAGAGGCATCAGGAACAAATCTAGAACTCAACCTGGGAAAAACTGGGCAATGGAGAAGGAAGGGGAGTTGTAAATTGGCCAGTTTTTTTTTAGTCACAGTATAGACACAATGCCTCTCCAACCATCCCCAACCCAAGTAGTAGTATTGGAATTTTAGAGTTTCACAGAGTATTCAGTAGTGGTAAGAACAGCAGTATTCCAGTCTTTTCTTTCTCTTTCATATTTTATTTATTCATAGCACATTATTTGTGAATGACATATTATCATAAATATAAACACATAGCCTAATAATGTTATAGAATAGATATAACACCCAGACACAGAACTGAAACATAACAGAACTGGTTTTTCTATAAACATCCCAAATTTTTTTGCATCTACCTAGTATCCTTTGTAGGTAGTTCAAATATGCTTTTCTTGTTCCAAGATTTCTAGAAACCCCTTTTAGACTAGCTATCAAGGCATGTAGGACCCACACAAGGGATCATTTTTTAAAATAATTGTTCTCCGTAAGTTTTACCCAGCTTATTCACTCACTCTTTTCAATGGAGATGATGCAAATGCTATTCCCGAAAAATAATTGACTTTCAAAGGACAAAGATTTGGCACTATTGAGGCTATTCAAAATAATGAGATGTTGCCTCTAGAAACAATTCCAAAAGAAGTTTCAAGAATATTTTGAACAATGGTAACGTTGTGATCATAGATATGTTGATGTGCTTTAGGGACAACTCTTACTTGGAAGTAGCTATTTTGGTACATCTTTAGAGAAGCCAGACCAAATCCCAGCTGGCGAAGGAGGCTTTTTGAACTTGTTGAGAAGTTTGGTGGACTAAGGGGTATATCATGAATGGTATGAGAGTATTGTGAGTTGGGCCAGGCATGGTGGCTCACTCCTGTAATCCCAGCACTTTGGAAGTCCGAGGCGGGAGGTTTGCTTGAGCCCAGGAGTTTGAGACCAGCCTGGGCAACAAAGTGAGGCCCTGTTTCTATGAAAAATTTAAAAAAAAAAAATTAGCTGGTCCTGGTGGTGAATGACTTTGGTCTCAGCTACATGGGAAGCTGAGGCAAGAGAATTGCTTGAGCCCAGGGGGTTGAAGCTGCAGTGAGCTGTGTTCGTGCCACTGCACTCTCACCTGGGCAACAGAGTGAGACCCTGTCTCAAAAAAAGAAAAAAATATTGTGAGTTAGATTCACCAGAGCCGGAGGGTAGACTATGAGTGGTATGAGAGTATTGTTTGATTCACCTACCCAGAGGCATTTGGTCAGTGGCTCTGTCAGTCTGTAGCCCTGTCCACATTTCTATTACTAACTTGAAATGTTTCTCAGATTTGCAGATGACATATTCCTGGAGGGTAGAGTTAGCTGATCATTCAAAATGATCTTATAAAGTCTTTTTACTGTATATCCTGTGACCTAATAAATTAACATTTAGATATTTTTCCTAAGAAAACACTCATGAATATGTGTAAATATATGAACATTTATCACAATGTTTATAATAGCAAATAATTTAAAGCAACACAGTTAATAAATTATATATAAAACAAATATTATTTATCCACTAAACTGATGTTGTAAATGGCTCATATTTATGAAAAATACCCAATTGCATTCATAATAAGATAAATGCAAATTAAAACTACTTGACATATTATATTGGCAAAAATACACTCAGTGCGTAAGGCTGTGTGGAAGCAAACGCTCTTAAACAGTGCTGGTGGGAATGTAAATTGATATAATTCCTGTATCAATTGGGACAATTTGGAAATATTTGTCAAAATTACAAAAACACATACTTCTTAGCCCACTCTTTTGTTTTCCACCCAGCATCTTACAGATATATTTGCATACATGTGAGATGACGTATGTACAGGGTCGTTCACTGAAGTATTGTTTTAATAGCCAAAGATTGTAAACAACTCAAATGTCCAACAAGAGACTGGCAAAGTAAAATATGGTACATTCATCAGCTAAGCAGCTGTAAAAAAGAACAAGGACGCTCTCTATGCGCAAATGTAAAATGATTTTCAAGTGGAAAAAGCAAGGAACACAAAACAGTGTATAGTATGCCGTATGCTACCTTTTGTTTAAAAGGGCATATGTAAGAAGCTGTGTTTGCTTGTGTAGGCATAGGGAAATGCAGGAAGGATATGTAAGAAACTAACAGTTGTTATTTATGGAGGGAGGGATTTGAGAACTAGGTAGATAGAGGATAAGAATGGGATGGAGACATGCAAACATGTCACCTATTAGAAGAATAGTTAATGAGGAGGAAAAATGCATAGTATATATTTAAATGGAAAAAAGCATGTTGAAATTCTATGTACAGTTTGATCCATATTTTATAAAAGAATATGCCCATCAAAAATAAAGCTTAGAAGGTTGTACACCAAAATTTTCATACTCCTTGTCTCTGAGTACTGGGATTATATGTTATGTTAGTTCTCACACTGCTATAAAGAACTACCTGAGACTGGGTAATTTATAAAGAAAAGAGGTTTAATGGACTCATAGTTCCACCGGCCATATAAGAAACATGGTTGGGAGGCCTCAGGAAACTTACAATCATGGAGGAAGAGTGAAGCGCAAGCAAGCACCTTCACATGGCCCAGCAGGAGAGAGAGCAAAGCGGGAGGTGCTATACACTTTTAAAAAACCAGATGTAGTGAGAACTCACTCACTGTCACAAGAACAGCAAGGCAGAAATCTGCCCCCATGGTCCATCAACACTGGAGATTACAATTCAACATGAGATTTGGGTGGGGACACACAGCCAAACTATATCAGTCTACTCCTGACCCCTATCAAATCTCATCGCCTTCTCACATTTCAAAACACAATCACATGTTAATTATAATGTTTATTTTTTACCTTCTGGGCTTTTCCCAATTTTCTACAATCAACACGTGTTGTTCAGTAAATGGTAACAACAACCCTAAAATGTAATTTTTTTTTTAAGTCAGGGATTAATTTTGGGCAGAAATCAAGAAAATAAAAATCAGTATCACTCTAAAATTTTGTTTCCATTTCAAAATCACTTGCGTAAGTGTAGGATTATTGAGGACCTAAACATTCAAACAGAGAGGCAAATGACCCCTGCCAGGAATCCTACTTGGACAGATTATTGGCGTGGGTGCAAAGCTAAGGTAACTGCCCTGTAAAGCTCTAATCCTAACATAATCATAGAATAGTGTAGGGAAAAAAATTGGTGCTGGATAACTCAGAGTGACTTAAAAATACTTTCAGAGGAAGAGGAAATGCTTAGAGGTTTACTGTAGAGCAGGATCAAATATTGTGAAATAGATCAATTTAGATCAATGAAAGGGTGAGGCAGATGAAGTGGGATGAAGTCAGAAGGGTAAACACTGGCTGAGGTCAAAATACAGAGAGAGGATAGAGATGTGTTTAAGTGGGTCCTTGGGTGATTGTGTCACCTGTCATTGAAATCGTCAGGGCATTTGCTTATCATTCGTCTTATTTCTGTTCCTCTGGGACAAGAGGAGTGGTGGGCCTTCTTCCACTCCTTCTCCATGTTTGTGTTAAAGGTGCCAGGTTCATGTGGAAGTAGCACCTAGGCTTTTTCTGGAAGTCTCTTGGGGAGATGCAGAAGGAAGAAGACTGCTGGGCCAATGGCCTAGAGACCTCAGTGCACTAGTGATATTGACATGACATTTGCAAGATGCTTTTTACTTTGCAGAGTGCTTTTCTATGTACTTTCTCATGTGACCAGGCTCTGTGATGTCCCAGTTTTATTTCAGCATTCTACTTTTTGGAGGTCACATAGTTAAGAGCTGTAAGTTCCACAAGGATGGGGACCACATCTGCCCTTATGTTTGCCCAGCACCTAGCCCAATGCTTGGCTCAAATTAGGTACTCAGTAAGTGAACAAACTTTTCTCCAATTTCCTTCACTGTTCTGTTTTGACCGGAAGGTGGTGGGATTCTCCTGGTTCACAGTTACAAACTCTTAACTTGGACACAGCATGAGCCTCCACTATGTATAACTCTTTTCCATTCTCCAGCATATCGCACGGATGACTGCCATCCCTGGGTTTTGCCAGTAGTGAAGAAAGTGGAGCAGAAGATTGCTAATGACAATAGCCTAAATCACGAGTATCTGCCAATCCTGGGCCTGGCTGAGTTCCGGAGCTGTGCTTCTCGTCTTGCCCTTGGGGATGACAGCCCAGCACTCAAGGAGAAGCGGGTAAGTTTTGGGTAAGGATGTATTTTCTCTTTAGAAACTGAAAGTAAAAAGATGTTGAGAATACAGTTTGTTTAAAATATTAGGCGTTATGTCTATTGAACTGCCAATGAATAAGTGTTTCTGTAGCGCGAGTTCAGGAACCTGATAGCGCAAATAATGTGGCCATGTACAAAGCACGGCTTTTTCACTTGTTCAGTTTTGCCCAGTAGATCATCAGATTTTAGCTACTGCATTTGAAGCAGTCAGTGGAGATGCCAAGTAGAAAGAATTTAATGGAGTGATAAAGACACCAGGGTTCTAGATCCAACTCTGCCACTACTTTTGATCATAGGCAAGTCATTTAGCCCTCTGGGCTCACATACACATGTTAGAAAAAGACCACATAGTGCGAGTCTGTGATCCCATGAGGAGCACTTGCGTAGGGAATTGTTTAAGGGGCCTCTGAGTCCCCTGAAATTATATGCAGAATTTTGTGTGTACTTATTTCTTGGGAGAAGGTGCATAGCTTTTAGCAGATTTTCAAAAGGTGTCTGTGGCCCTTCAAGGGTTCAGGAGCTACTAGTAGATGCTGTCTAAAGTCCCTGCCAGTTCTAATATTCTTTAATACTTCTACTGTTGATCTCAGCACCTATCATTTAAGTGCTTCCTGGTATATAGTCTGTGTGTAACTGGAGATACATGGAGGAAGAACACATTTGGAAGTAGACACAGTGAGATAGGCTGTGTGTTCCAGGAAGTGGAACAGATTCTCAGTGTTGTAGGAATTCAGAGGGGAGGGAGACCTATGAGTGCTGGAGATGGCACTTGAGCTGAATCTTAGAGAATGTGTGAGCGAGGCCGGGACACTGGTTCTCAGCTCCAGCTGGATGTTAGTATTACCTGGGGAGTTTTTAAAAACATACTGTGGCTGGGCCCTGTGGACCCCATGCCAGGCCAGGTAAATCAGAATCTTGGAGGCACCACCCTTCTCCCCTCTCTTTCACTCCCTTTTCTTCTCCCCCATGGGCATATTTTTTAAATACTCCCCAGGTGTTTTCAAAGTATAGCCAGTTTTGAGAACCATAAAATATGGAAGAGGGGCAAGAGGAAGGATATTCATCTTGCATGGTAGGAGTCCAGGGACAGAGGCAAGAGCTAAGCAGGTCTAGCTTGTAAAGAGACCTACCTGATGAGAGCTGGGAACATGTTGGATAGGTTAGGCAGGCTGATTCTGGCAGCCAGGGCAGGAGAAGCCAACTGAAGGTTGGAGCAGAGGAGTTACCCAATAAAAGTGTTGTTTGAAGAAGATAAGTCTGATTGGGTGGGTGGGAAAAAGAAGAGCTCAGATTTTTGCACTAGTCCAGTTGGGAATTGCACAGTTTAAACCAGTGGCCATTATCATTCCCCTGGGTCAGTGTTGTGATGTAGCCTGTAATTCATGCATTGAGGAAACCACATCTTGGAGTCATCTGATTTATTCCCCACATGCTGTGTACAGTAGGTTTTCCTTTTATATATCATGTTACCCAGATGCCCTGATAAGCAGAATGGCAGAGGACAATAAAGGTTGCACACCCATACATTTGTACATGTACCAGGAAGCAGGGAAGGCCCTGGTGAAGGTCTTGGGACTCAGGTCCATGATTAGGCAAGTAATGAACTTCATTAAGGTTTTGTATGGATTGGAATGAGAGACTATGATTTGCCTCAATGAACTGAAGTCATATGGTTAGAATAGTTAAGAGTATAGAGATTATTAATCATATTGGGAAGTTTTTCTGAAAATCCAGTGTTTCTGCAGAGGTAGAGGAGAATCCTAATGAAGTTTGAAAGTGGGGAACTGGCCAGGCGTGGTGATGCACGCCTGTAATCCCAGCACTTCGGGAGGCCAAGGTGGGCAGATTACTTGAGCTCAGGAGTTCAAGACCAGCCTGGGTAACATGGCAAAAACCCGTTTCTACAAGGAAATACAAAAATTAGCCGGGCATGGTGGCATGCATCTGTAGTCCCAGGTACTTGGGAGACTGAGGTGGGAGGATTGCTTGACCCCAAGAAGTGGAGGCTGCAGTGAGCCATGATTGCACCACTGCATTCCAGCCTGGGCAACAGAATGGGACCCTGTCTCAAAAGAAAAGAAAAAAAAAAAAAAAGAAAGTGGGGAACATAGGCCACTGGGGCCTCTCTTCTGAAACTAAATAAATTAGTTGGAATTCTGTTGCTGACAAATGAAAACAGAGATTCCATGTTGGGGAGTTTCTTCCTCTAATACTGCATTTCTTATATAGTTGTTAACTATGTTGGGCAGATGCTGTTCCTCTGCCCATTGATCTCCATTTGATGACTTACACTGTAAGACTTAAGGCTATTTTTTGTAGCCTTGACCCTGGGAACATAGCCCTCCCTCTTAATCTAGTTTCTCCTGTTTTATATTTTTGACCATAAAACAATTTTAAAAGGCCATCTTCATGGCAGCAAATATTTGAAGATATACTTTTTGGATACTCTCTTGGCATCTATTAATACATCACTGTGGGTACCAGTGGTTATTGAGCTCTGAGCCCTTCTTTTTATATATATATATATTTTTTTTTTTAATTATACTTTAAGTTCTAGGGTACGTGTGCATAACATGCAGGTTTGTTACATATGTATACATGTGCCATGTTGGTGTGCTGCACCCATTAACTCATCATTTACATTAGGTATATCTCCTAATGCTATCCTTCCCCCCTCTCCGCACCCCACAACAGGACCCGTGTGTGATGTTCTCCTTCCTGTGTCCAAGTGTTCTCATTGTTCAATTCCCACCTATGAGTGAGAACATGCAGCATTTGGTTTTTTGTCCTTGCGATAGTTTGCTGAGAATGATGGTTTCCAGCTTCATCCATGTCCCTACAAAGGACATGAACTCATCCTTTTATATGTGCCACATTTTCTTAATCCAGTCTATCATTGATGGACATTTGGGTTGGTTCCAAGTCTTTGCTATTGTGAATAGTGCTGCAATAAACATATGTATGCATGTGTCTTTATAGCAGCATGATTTATAATCCTTTGGGTATATACCCAGTAATGGGATGGCTGGGAAAATGGTATTTCTAGTTCTAGATCCCTGAGGAATCACCACACTATCTTCCACAACGGTTGAACTAGTTTACAGTCCCACCAACAGTGTAAAAGTGTTCCTATTTCTCCACATCCTCTCCAGCACCTGTTGTTTCCTGACTTTTTAATGATCACCATTCTAACTGGTGTGAGATGGTATCTCATTGTGGTTTTGATTTGCATTTCTCTGATGGCCAGTGATGATGAGCATTTTTTCATGTGTCTGTTGGCTGCATAAATGTCTTCTTTTGAGAAGTGTCTGTTCATATCCTTCGCCCACTTGTTGATGGGGTTGTTTGTTTTTTTCTTGTAAATTTGTTTGAGTTCTTTGTAGATTCTGGATATTAGTCCTTTGTCAGATGAGTAGATTGCAAAAATGTTCTCCCATTCTGTAGGTTGCCTGTTCACTCTGATGGTAGTTTCTTTTGCTGTGCAGAAGCTCTTGAGTTTAATTAGATCCCATTTGTCAATTTTGGCTTTTGTTGACATTGCTTTTGGTGTTTAAGACATGAAGTCCTTGCCCATGCCTATGTCCTGAATAGTATTGCCTAGGTTTTCTTCTAGGGTTTTTATGGTTTTAGGTCTAACATTTAAGTCTTTAATCCATCTTGAATTAATTTTTGTATAAGGTGTAAGGAAGGGATCCAGTTTCAGCTTTCTACATATGTCTAGCCAGTTTTCCCAGCACCATTTGTTAAATAGGGAATCCTTTCCCCATTTCTTGTTTTTGTCAGGTTTGTCAAAGATCAGATAATTGTAGATGTGTGGTATTATTTCTGAGGGCTCTGTTCTGTTCCATTGGTCTATATCTCTGTTTTGGTACCAGTACCATGCTGTTTTGGTTACTGTAGCCTTGTAGTGTAGTTTGAAGTCAAGTAGCATGATGCCTCCAGCTTAGGATTGACTTGGCAATGGGGGCTGTTTTTTGGTTCCATATGAACTTTAAAGTAGTTTTTCCCAATTCCGTGAAGAAAGTCATTGGTAGGTTGATGGGGATGGCATTGAATCTATAAATTACCTTGTACAGTATGGCCATTTTCATGATATTGATTCTTCCTATCCGTGAGCATGGAATGTTCTTCCATTTGTTTGTATCCTCTTTTATTTCGTTGAGCAGTGGTTTGTAGTTCTCCTTGAAGAGGTCCTTCACATCCCTTGTAAGTTGGATTCCTAGGTATTCTATTCTCTTTGAAGCAATTGTGAATGGTAGTTCATTCATGATTTGGCTCTCTATTTGTCTGTTATTGGTGTATAAGAATGCTTGTGATTTTTGCACATTGATTTTGTATCCTGAGACTTTGCTGAAGTGGCTCATCAGCTTAAGGAGATTTTGTGGTGAGACGATGGGGTTTTCTAGATACACAATCATGTCATCTGCAAACAGGGACAATTTGACTTCCTCTTTTCCTAGTTGAATACCTTGTATTTCTTTCTCCTGCCTGATTGCCCTGGCCAGAACTTTCAACACTATGTTGAATAGGAGTGGTGAGAGAGGACATCCCTGTCTTGTGCCCGTTTTCAAAGGGAATGCTTCCAGTTTTTGCCCATTCAGTATGATATTGGCTGTGGGTTTGTCATAGATAGCTCTTATTATTTTGAGATACGTCCCATCAATACCTAATTTATTGAGAGTTTTTAGCATGAACGGCTGTTGAATTTTGTCAAAGGCCTTTTCTGCATCTATTGAGATAATCATGTGGTTTTTGGCTTTGGTTCTGTTTATATGCTGGATTACGTTTATTGATTTGTGTATGTTGAAATAGCCTTGCATCCCAGGGATGAAGCCCATTGATCATGGTGGATAAGCTTTTTGATGTGCTGCTGGATTTGGTTTGCCAGCATTTTATTGAGGATTTTTGCGTCGATGTTCATCAGGGATATTGGTCTAAAATTCTCTTTTTTGGTTGTGTCTCTGCCAGGCTTTGGTATCAGGATGATGCTGGCCTCATAAAATGAGTTAGGGAGGATTTCCTCTTTTTCTATTGATTGGAATAGTTTCAGAAGGAATGGTACCAGCTCCTCCTTGTATCTCTGGTAGAATTCGGCTGTGAATCCGTCTGGTCCTGGACTTTTTTTGGTTGGTAAGCTATTAATTACTGCCTCAATTTCAGCTCCTGTTATTGGTCTATTCAGAGATTCAACTTCTTTCTGGTTTAGTCTTGGGAGGGTGTATGTGTCGAGGAATTTATCCATTTCTTCTAGATTTTCTAGTTTATTTCCATAGAGGTGTTTATAGTATTCTCTGATGGTAGTTTGTATTTCTGTGGGATCGGTGGTGATATCCCCTTTATCATTTTTTATTGCGTCTATTTGGTTCTTCTCTTTTTTCTTCTTTATTAGTCTTGCTAGCGGTCTATCAATTTTGTTGATCTTTTCAAAAAACCAGCTCCTGGATTCATTGATTTTTTGAAGGGTTTTTTGTGTCTCTGTCTCCTTCAGTTCTGCTCTGATCTTAGTTATTTCTTGCCTTCTGCTAGCTTTTGAATGTGTTTGCTCTTGCTTCTCTAGTTCTTTTAATTGTGATGTTAGGGTGTGAATTTTAGATCTTTCCTGCTTTCTCTTGTGGGCATTTAGTGCTATAAATTTCCCTCTACACACTGTTTTAAATGTGTCCCAGAGATTCTGGTATGTTGTGTCTTTGTTCTCGGTGGTTTCAAAGAACACCTTTATGTCTGCCTTCATTTCGTTATGTACCCAGTAGTCATTCAGGAGCAGGTTGTTCAGTTTTCATGTAGTTGAGCGGTTTTGAGTGAGTTTCTTAATCCTGAGTTCTAGTTTGATTGCACTGTGGTCTGAGAGACAGTTTGTTATAATTTCTGTTCTTTTACATTTGCTGAGGAGTGCTTTACTTCCAACTATGTGGTCAATTTTGAAATAAGTGTGGTGTGGTGCTGAGAAGAATGTATATTCTGTTGATTTGGGGTGGAGAGTTCTGTAGATGTCTATTAGGTCCTCTTGATGCAGAGCTGAGTTCAATTCCTGGATATCCTTGTTAACTTTCTGTCTTCATTGATCTGTCTAATGTTGACAGTGGGGTGTTAAAGTCTCCTATTATTATTGTATGGGAGTCTCAGTCCCTTTGTAGGTCCCTAAGGACTTGCTTTATGAATCTGGGTGCTCCTGTATTGGGTGCATATATATTTAGGATAGGTAGCTCTTCTTGTTGAATTGATCCCTTTACAATTATGTAATGGCCTTCTTTATCTCTTTTGATCTTTGTTGGTTTAAAGTCTGTTTTATGAGAGACTAGGATTGCAACCCCTGCCTTTTTTGTTTTCCATTTGCTTGGTAGATCTTCCTCCATCCCTTTATTTTGAGCCCATGTATGTCTCTGCACGTGAGATGGGTTTCCTGAATACAGCACACTGATGGGTCTTGACTCTTTATCCAATTTGCCAGTCTGTGTCTTTTAATTGGAGCATTTAGCCCATTTACATTTAAGGTTAATATTGTTATGTGTGAATTTGATCCTGTTATTATGATGTTAGCTGCTTATTTTGCTTGTTAGTTGATGCAGTTTCTTCCTAGCCTCGATGGTCTTTACAATTTGGCATGTTTTTGCAGTGGCTGGTACCGGTTGTTCCTTTCCATATTTAGTGCTTCCTTCAGGAGCTCTTGTAGGGCAGGCCTCGTGGTGACAAAATCTCTCAGCATTTGCTTGTCTGTAAAGGATTTTATTTCTCCTTCACTTATGAAGCTTAGTTTGGCTGGATATGAAATTCTGGGTTGAAAATTCTTTTCTTTAAGAATGTTGAATATTGGCCCCCACTCTCTTCTGGCTTGTAGAGTTTCTGCTGAGAGATCAGCTGTTAGTGTGACGGGCTTCCCTTTGTGGGTAACCCGACCTTTCTTTCTGGCTGCCTTTAACATTTTTTCCTTCATTTCAACTTTGGTGAATCTGACAATTATGTGTCTTGGAGTTGCTGTTTTTGAGGAGTATCTTCATGGCATTCTCTGTATTTCCTGAATTTGAATGTTGGCCTGCCTTGCTAGGTTGGGGAACTTCTCCTGGATAATATCCTGCAGAGTGTTTTCCAACTTGGTTCCATTCTCCCCGTCACTTTCAGGTACACCAATCAGATGTAGATTTGGTCTTTTCACATAGTCGCATATTTCTTGGAGGCTTTGTTCGTTTCTTTTTATTCTTTTTTCTCTAAACTTCTCTTCTCACTTCATTTCATTCATTTGATCTTCCATCACTGATACCCTTTCTTCCAGTTGATCGAATCGGCTACTGAAGCTTGTGCATTCGTCATGTAGTTCTCGTGCCATGGTTTTCAGCTCCATCAGGTCCTTTAAGTACTTCTCTGCATTGGTTATTCTAGTTAGCCATTCGTCTAATCTTTTTTCAAGGTTTTTAACTTCTTTGCGATGGGTTCGAACTTCCTCCTTTAGCTCAGAGAAGTTTGATCTTCTGAAGCCTTCTTCTCTCAACTCGTCAAAGTCATTCTCCATCCAGCTTTGTTCCGTTGCTGGTGAGGAGCTGCATTCCTTTGTAGGAGGAGAGGCACTCTGATTTTTAGAATTTTCAGTTTTTCTGCTCTGTTTTTTCCCCATCTTTGTGGTTTTATCTACCTTTGGTCTCTGATGATGTACAGATGGGTTTTTGGTGTGGATGTCCTTTCTGTTTGTTAGTTATCCTTTTAACAGTCAGGACCCTCAGCTGCAGATCTGTTGGAGTTTGCTGGCGGTCCACTCCAGACCTTGTTTGCCTGGGTATCAGCAGCGGAGGCTGCAGAACGGGGAATATTGGTGAACAGCAAATGTTGCTGCCTGATCGTTCCTCTGGAAGTTTCGTCTCAGAGGGGTACCCGGCCATGTGAGGTATCAGTCTGCCCCTACTGGGGGGTGCCTCCCAGTTAGGCTACTCAGGGGTCAGGGACCCACTTGAGGAGGCAGGCTGTCCGTTCTTAGATCTGAAACTCCGTGCTGAGAGAACCACTACTCTCTTCAAAGCTGTCAGACAGGGACATTTAAGTCTGCAGAGGTTTCTGCTGCCTTTTGTTCGAGCTCTGAGCCTTTCTTCTGCTTGGAAGGCCTCACCATTCCCAGGCTGCTGTCTTAGTTCACTAATAGCCTCTTAATTTACCTTCCTGCCTCTAGTCTCTTCCCTGTTTTAGTACATTCTGCATGCTGCAGCTAGGATGACCTTCCTTGGCAAAACAAGCTACTCATGTCACCTGTTCCCACTCCCCACCCCCACCGCCCATAGCTCCCCCATTGCCTGTAGGGTAAAATCCAGACTTTGAGCTTGGCATGCAGTGAAAGTAGGTGACAGGTGACAGTCTTCATCCTGTTCTTACAGTTGCTGATTTCCCCTCACTCCACTAGAGGTCCTGACATTCTAAGAGTCTTGCTGTTCTCTAGACCTACTGGGCCCTGTCAAGACTAAGAACCTTTGCCTGGCCCTTCTCTCCATTTGGAATGCCCTCCCTTATTGCTCTAGCTGTCCAGTCCCCACCTCTAAGTCCTTCAAGAGCTGATCAAGGGTCACTTCCACACTGAATCCTTAGGTATTTTAGGCAGAGCTTGTTGTTTAAGCTCTCTGAGTTATCACAGGACTTTGTTCACAGCTTGGGAATAACAGTACTTAACTGTTCTTACTATAATGGATAATTTTATAAGTCTTCATCTCCCACAAGGCCCTAACTTTCCCCAGGAGAGTGATCATTGCTTATTTACCTTGCAGATTTTCAGCATTTGGCTCCTATCCGGGTACCTCAGGTTCCAAAGGTTTGGATTCATTCATTCCTTTAGTCATCAGATGCCCACTACTAGAGCCAGGCACTGTTCTAGATGCTGGAGCACAGCAGTGACTCAAACACACAGAATCCCCTGCCCTTGCATTCAGTTTCGGGGAGAGGAACAGACTCTAAATGTAATCTTTTTGACTATATCAGTAAGAAAATGATGTAGTATACTAAAGATGATAAATGCTATAAAAATGGAGCAGGAGGTGGCATGTTAGGAATTCTAGGAGTGGATACAGTTTTAACTAGGGTGGTTATGATAGAAATAGAAATGACATTTGAGCCAAAACTTAAAGACGAGACATAAATGAAAGAATGAGTGAACAAGTAAACCAACAGTAATTGTTTCTTCCCTTAGATTTTTCTTCTCCAGATTCAACATTTCCAGATCCTTTACCCATTTTGAGGAGACCTATTTTCTAGACTCCTCACTGCCTTGTATTACTTTTCCACTTTCAGATCTTAGGATCCAGACAGAAATGTCGATTTTTCATCTCTGGCATAGTGCTGTTTCAGCTTTGAGATTACTGAGCATTGTAGGAAGGAGGGCTCATGGGTCATAACTCATTGTCACATCATGACATCCCACTCTCGCTTTGATTGCCTCTAGGCGACTTGGGGCTTCTGCTGTGGCTCAGATCTTTTCACCACTGTCTTCTTTCTTCATCTAGTTCAGCACATGCTTATGTAGTACCATGTGCCAGATGCCGTGAGAGATGCTGGGGGCACCCAGATGAATGCAGCATGGCTCTGGCCACAGGCAGCTCCTGGTTGCTCTCCTATTCCTCATGGTGAAGTCATAGTATCGGCAAATTGTTATCTCAGACAAGGGTTCTAGAATCCAGCAATCTTATGCTGACATGTCCAACAGAGGCCTGCTCTATCTAGCTTCATACCAAGTCTTCCTGGATTTCCCTTGTTCTGGATACTCTTGTTTACCCAGGTCCAGTTGCCTGGCTCCTTGAGAAGTCTGTACTTACTTCCTTTGATGTTATGATTTTCCTTTATAACAAGTACAGGACATTCTTAGGCTGTAGGACAATTTGCCAAAAATCAGTTCACAGAATGACCACATTGCTATATTATTGATTCACCAAAAACTTGTTTCTGTTAGTTGCTGATGTTTAGAGCAACTTGTGTTTCACTGAAGCCATCCAGTATTTAATAGATTTTTAGGGAGTGATAACTTCTTGAGAATTTGATATTTCAAGTGTCATATATGTCATGAATGTCAAGGATTAGTTAATGTGGAGTGGGTTTATCTCTTCTAAGCACATTTTTAATGTATTCTACTGATTTTTAAAAAAATGAATTTGCTTTCTGTAGTGGGAGAGAAAGGGTGGAGTGAAAAGTTGAGAACAGGAAATGAAAAATTATGCCTGGGAATGTTTCCACTGGTATCTATGCATCTATCGTGTTTCCAGAAGTTAAAACCATGTTCAAGGGAGGTCTTGCTCATTTGCTTAGGAAGTATTAGCACTCTAGAGTGGCTTAGGTATCTGCAATGTGAAGTCATGTATGAAACTGACATTCAACTTAGCTGGATGACAAATCCATAAAAAATAAATGCACATTTGTGTTATATCATCTTGGTAGCAATTTGCATAAAGAATTCAGGTAAACCACAATGTGGGGGCAAAACTTTTAAAGTAATAGCAAGGGATGAGTGCTCAGTAAGGATCACTGTAAATAACAGAGTAGTTAGCACACCAAATCTGACACACACTGAGCATTTTCACCCCAGTGCACTGCCTTTGCCCCTCTCTGTAATGTACAGCTATGTTTAGTTCTGCATCCCCTTGAATGTCAACTTTGCTTATGTTTCACATTTCAGATAGTATTCTTTCACAGATGCTCACACCTATAAATACAAACAGAACATTGGTGCATAATAGTGCCGATAATTGGTAACATTACCTTGTTGTTGGCTTAAATGGGATTTCTACTAAACGATTCACTGTTTTTAAGCTGACTTATGGGTTAAATGAATTTTTTTCAGTCATTTTCAGGAAGTATCCACTGTTTCCTGTTTTACTAAGCATTTATCTCAGGAATAGCCAAGCTTTTCTTACCTGTTGTGATGATCATTTGGGTTTTCTCTATCTAGCAGCATGATTGGTTTTATATCTCTTATAATCCATTCATGGGATGACTCTCAATCAAGGGGGTAATTTTAATGTACTGCTGGATTAATATTGTTCATTAATGTTTACTTGGGAAGTTAGTATCAAGGTACGATCTAGGTCTCTCATTCTACTTTTTTCCCTTTTGTTGTCTTTTAGCAGCAATGTTATGTTAGGTTCTTGAAAAGATTTAGGAAGCTTTTCTTCTCTAAGAAGAGTTTTAAAACTTTTTTATTGGCCAGGCGTGGTGGCTCATGCCTGTAATCCCAGTACTTTGGGAAGCCGAGGCAGGCGGATCACGAGGTCAGGAGTTGGAGAGCAGCCTGACCAACATGGTGAAACCCCATCTGTACTAAAAACACAAAAATTAGCTGGGTGTGGTGGTACGTGCCTGTAGTCCCAGCTCCTCAGGAGTCTGAGGCAGGAGAATCACTTGAACCCAGGAGGCGGAGGTTGCAGTAAGCCAAGATCGTGCCACTGCACTCCAGCCTGGGCAACAGAGCGAGACTCTGTCTCAAAAAACAAACAAAAAAAAAACACAAAAAAAACCTTTTTATTATGGAACATTTCAAATCTATATGAAAGTAGAGAAAACAGTATAAAGAATGAATCCCTGTGTATCCATCACCTAGCTTCAACAATTATCTGTATAGGGTCAATCCTGTGTATTTCCATCTACCCACTCCCTGCCTCCCTGCCTCCCTGCCCTCCACGAAAGCTGGATTATTATTTAATAGTAAATCCCAGACATCTAAATAGGTGTTTGAAATTGTAAAATTTTATGACTAATACATGAATACATTCATCTTATTTTTAAAAAAACGACTTATAGATTAGGCCAAAGTCCCTTTCAACCACTATTCCTACATCCTTGGACCCCTCCCCAGAGGTTGCCACTGTTAGAAGATTGGCGTGTGTCCCTCCTTGTATTTACTTATTTATTTATTTGAGACAGAGTCTCACTGTGTTGCCCAGGCTGGAGGGCAGTGGTGCGATCTTGGCTCACTGCAACCTCTGCCTCCCAGGTTCAAATGATTCTCACGTCTCAGCCTCCCGAGTAGCTGAGATTACAGGTGTGTGCCACCATGCCCAGCTAATTTTCTTGTATTTTTAGGAGAGACAGGGTTTCACCATGTTGGCCAGGCTGGTCTCAAACTCCTGGGCTCAAGTGATCCACCCACCTTGGCCTCCCAAAGTGCTGGGATTACAGGCGTGAGCCACTGCG
The DNA here is from genome assembly GCF_000001405.40 of Homo sapiens. Lineage (NCBI taxonomy): Eukaryota > Metazoa > Chordata > Mammalia > Primates > Hominidae > Homo > Homo sapiens. The sequence goes on along the minus strand of NC_000010.11, from coordinate 99,408,441 downwards.
CCCGGCTAGATAGACTTTTTCATGTGATCTTTTTCTTCCTTTCTCTTCAATCCTTTAGACAAATTGGGCAACATGGGGTTTATGACATTTTTCTGCTGAGAGACTTATGCTGAAACCTAATTAGAATTTTGAAGAGGCAAAATCAAAGATCTATAGGCAGAGAACTACATCATTAGAATGTAGTGACTCCATCTAGAATGGAAAACCTGGATTTGTGCTGAGCTGTGCCACTCACAACTGTGTATCCTTTGGGAAAAACATGTCTCTGAATCAGTTCCTCATGTTTCAGGGGATATAGACTTGACTTTAGAGGGCATGTGGGCATTGAGTATACATGAAAGCATTTTGTAAATGATAAAATATAGGAATAGAAAACCAAACACCTCATGTTCTCACTTAAAAGTGGGAGCTGAACAATGAGAACACGTGGACACAGGGAGGGGAACATCACACACGGGGGCCTATCGGTGGGTGGGAGGCAAGGGGAGGGAGAGCATTAGGACAAATACCTAATGCATGCGGGGCTTAAAACCTAGATGACGGGTTGATGGGTGCCACAAACCACCATGGCACATGTATAGCTATGTAACAAACCTGCACATTCTGCACACATATCCCAGAACTTAAAGTAAAATAAATAAATAAATAAATAAATAAAATATGGCTTTTATTATTGCCTATGTTAGGTCACTTTAGGATGAGAGGAAGCCAGCCAGGCGCAGTGGCTCACACCTGTAATCCCAGCAGTTTGAGAGGCCAAGGCAGGCAGATCACAAGGTCAGGAGTTCGAGACCAACCTGGCCAAAATGGTGAAACCCCGTCTCTACTAAATATACAAAAAATTAGCCGGGCATGGTGGCAGGCGCCTGTAGTCCCAGCTACTCGGGAGGCTGAGGCAGGAGAATCACTTGAACCTGGGAGGCGGAAGTTGCAGTTAGCTGAGACCATGCCACTGCACTCCAACCTAGGTGACAGAATGAGACTGTCTCAAAAAGAAAAAAAAAAAAAATGAGAGGAAGCCAAGGAGAAGAAAGTAGTACTCATGCATCACCTCTGTTTTGTTAGAACATACTTCTAAGGATTAATAAGCCTGAATTCTAGAGATGAGGAGTAGCACAGATTGATGTCAATGACAAGTTAGGAACACTGTTTTAGAGGCTTATGCTAGAGGGTAAGTTTGATCTTAGGATGGGTGCTGAAGAGATGGGTTTGCCTTCCAAGGCATGTGCGTGCATGCACACACACACACACACACACACTAATGTGGCCTCGGTGTGTCCTCTACCTCTGTGTTCAGAAGGGAAGCTTCTTCTAGTGTCAGACCTCCTGGGTTGAAGACTGGCACTCCTGCTCAGTAGCTGGTAACTTTGAGCAAGGTTCTTCACCTCTCTCAGCCTCAGTTTCCTCAGTTGTAAACATGGGCAAATCATAGTACCTTTTTCATGTAGTAGTTGTAAGGTTTTGATGAGATAATACAATTAAAAGCCTTAGCACAGAGCAGGCATAGAGTAAGTGCTCATTATTACCTTATTTTTGTAAATATTATCTGACCTCACCATTATCAGCCTGTGACCCTGTTTCTTCTCTTTCAGGTAGGAGGTGTGCAATCTTTGGGGGGAACAGGTGCACTTCGAATTGGAGCTGATTTCTTAGCGCGTTGGTACAATGGAACAAACAACAAGAACACACCTGTCTATGTGTCCTCACCAACCTGGGGTGAGTCTTTCAGCTGAAGTGAGAGGAAAAACAGAAACCAGAGAGAATTATCCTCATGACTCTCCCTGGTTACACAGAAAATGTAATCCAGCCCTAGAACAACTGACTGTTGGGAATGGCTTGAACAGTGGGTTATGGCAGTGCATGAGAAACCTGCTGCTCAAAATCAAGTTAAGAATACTCTTTCTCAAGACTCTTAGTAGACTTGTATCTACCAAGGCTATGTTGAAACTCCCCAGAGGAGGCATAGAATGTAGATGCAGGAAGTATCATTGTAGTAGAATATAAGTCTGGCATTAATGTGACTGGTTGAACTTGTTCTTGGTTACAATCATTCCTCTACATCTTAACCCCCAGCCTGGATGATGCCCAGTGGACATTGAGCCTGGGAGGGCCCTGGAAGCTGACTTGCATCCTTTCCACTCATGCCTCCTAGTGTTTGTAAAGTGCTTAACTTTTTACTTCTTTGCATGCAGAGAATCACAATGCTGTGTTTTCCGCTGCTGGTTTTAAAGACATTCGGTCCTATCGCTACTGGGATGCAGAGAAGAGAGGATTGGACCTCCAGGGCTTCCTGAATGATCTGGAGGTGGGTGATTTAGAGGAAAAAGTAGAGAATTGCATGGTGTCAGGAATCTCAGGCAAAGTCTTTGGACCAGTTGCTAAGTGAAGGAGTCTGAGACACCTTCCCCATACCTGATGGTGGTTTCTGACATAGCATGTAAGAGAGAGGGCACAAAAGAGACATGAAAGAGTGACAAGAATATGGTTGCCCTTTGCCCTCCATCACTGACCAATCTGCTGCTGACTCTGTCTCCCAATATTCCCATCAGTGTCAGAGCTGACATAGCTTCCTTCTCCTCAGAATGCTCCTGAGTTCTCCATTGTTGTCCTCCACGCCTGTGCACACAACCCAACTGGGATTGACCCAACTCCGGAGCAGTGGAAGCAGATTGCTTCTGTCATGAAGGTAACTGCCCCTTCAGAGCATCTCTTAAAAAATAGTATATATTCTTATTTAATGTATGTAGAAGCAATACCTGTTTGCTGTTTGCTGAGGAATTAGGAAAATGGAGAAAAGTCCAAAGAAGAAAATAAGTATTAACTGTAAATTTTATTACCTAAAGAAAGATACTGTTAATGTTTTGGTAGATAGAATGTCAGACTGTGTGTGTGTGTGTGTGTGTGTGTGTGTGTGTGTGTGTCTAGTTTTATGTATATGTTTTACAAAGATGAGATCATTTTGTCTGTACTGTTTTGTGCAACACAATTTGTTTTTCATTTTCACTTCTTTATATACATGTCATTGAATATTTTGCAGCATCATTTTTCATAGCTATATTATATTTCTTTCATGGATATGTCATATTAGGGATGGGGTAAATCATCTGATGAATATTTAGGTTTACTTCAGATTGCTTGATCTGATGAAAAATTATGTAACAAAATTTCCTTTTATTATTTCTTTGGCGTAACTTTCTAGGTGGGAATTCCTAGCTGAAAGTGTGTATATTCTTCCTTAACGAGTTTGTAGAATACTTATTAAGGAACTGCTGTGTATTGGACACTGTGGGAATACACTATTGAATGGAGCAGATGCAGTCCCTACCCTCAAAGACAGACAGCCTGTTTGGGGAGATGGACGAGTACTAAGGCAGCTGTGATGCTGTGAGATAGCTGTGTTGACAGTGTTATAGGGGGGTACATAGCCCAGACTTTGGGCAGTGTATATGTGGGAGTTGGCGGGTTGGTGGCAGGAACCTTCCTGGAAGCAGTGGTTTCTATGTTGAGTCCTGTAGGATGGGGAGGAGCTAAGAAGGCATCAGCAGACAGGGGTTGACAGGGAAGGGATGTGCTCTGCAGAGGACGGAGCATGGTCAGAAGCCCCAGGCAGACATCATGGGGAGTGTGAGTGATGAGGCTAGAGTGAATAGGGGCAGGGTCTGTGCTGAGGCTTGGACTTTATTCTCAGGGCAGTGCGGAGCCACTGAAATCTTGGATGTCGGGGAGTGACATGATTGGATGTGCATGGTCTTAAGGCCACCCTGATGTCATAGCAGGGAATGGGTCAGAGAGAGGCAAGACTAGACAGGCCGTGGGAGCAGTTAGGAGACCATTGCCATAGCCCAGGTAGGAGTTGATGGTGACCTGGATGAAGTAGGTAGCAGTGGGGACAGTGAGATGCAAAAGGATTTGGGAGCTCTGAAGAGACAGGACTGATGAGACTTGGGGAGTGCCAGGATGTGGGGGATGAGCTGCAGAGTTAGGAGTCCAGATTCCCCCCAGTCCCACCTAGTCAAGATAAACCTAAGAGATGGGAATCAAAGTACAACCAAAGATTTGGACAGTTCCGGGGAGGGAAGTGGTGTCCACTCAGAGAGCACAGCTGTAGAAGCAGGTTCCCTGTGGAGAGCTCTTTGAGGAGATGAGTGACAGGAATGGAGGCTACTCTGTTCCCTTCCTCTTGAGTACCTAGCAGAATAGCCCATGAGGAGCCCTGGGGATACCAAGCCTACACTTGACTAAGGCTCTCACGCCAGAAATTCACAGAGGAAAATCCACAATGTAGGACATTGTCTCCTTGCATCAAAAGTAAGCCCTGTTTCTCTAAGCTGAATTGGGACACTCTAGGACAATTTACTTTTAAAAAGTAAAGTTTACGGAAAAGGTTACACTTGTTGGTTGTAGAGAGAAATGGATGTAAAGTGGAGCTTGGGTGCATATAGTCAAGAAATAGGAGAAATGGACAGCATTTGAAATTCCCTCCAGGCATCAGCTGGGGAAGGAAGGCCGGTGTCTGAGGTTGGTGCCAGAAGGATTTCCTGCCCTGACTCACTTTGCTTCCCCGCAGCACCGGTTTCTGTTCCCCTTCTTTGACTCAGCCTATCAGGGCTTCGCATCTGGAAACCTGGAGAGAGATGCCTGGGCCATTCGCTATTTTGTGTCTGAAGGCTTCGAGTTCTTCTGTGCCCAGTCCTTCTCCAAGAACTTCGGGCTCTACAGTGAGTGCTCTCCTGAGGAGTTACAGCCCCACCTCCTCGCATCACTCCCTGCTTCAGCAGCCACAGCTGATTCTGGTCCCTCTCTTTAGATGAGAGAGTCGGGAATCTGACTGTGGTTGGAAAAGAACCTGAGAGCATCCTGCAAGTCCTTTCCCAGATGGAGAAGATCGTGCGGATTACTTGGTCCAATCCCCCCGCCCAGGGAGCACGAATTGTGGCCAGCACCCTCTCTAACCCTGAGCTCTTTGAGGAATGGTAAGGGGCTCCCAGTCTGGTGGGCCGGGGGGTGGGGAGTGCAGAACAGTAATTGTCCCAGTACATTTAACTGGGTCTCTTCCTTTCATTTTGGCAGAAGCAGGATAAAATTACTTTAACTTCTTTGACTCTCAGATATTTGTAAAACAGGGGCTGATATCTACCTCACACGTGCATAACACAACACCTGGAAGACAGGAGGGGGCACTCGATGAATGGTAGTTTTCCCCAATTTCCCCCCCCACCCAGTCTTCCTCTCCATGAAGTTGGAAAACCCAAGAAGGTATTCCCAGCAAAATAGAATATCGAACGTCTAGGCAGTTTAACAGTTTGGGAGCTCTTGGTTTTTATCTGTAATTTACATACACTTTATCTTATTTTAGAACAGTAATTTTTATATAGTAGCTAAATCTGCAATCTTTATTTAGTAAGTCCTGATGAAACATATTGCCCTATTAATATCTATAGCAGCACCTCGGTGAAGCCTGAGTTGAAATGTGAGTGTATTCTAGCCAGTATACCCAAGACTAGCACTAGACTCACTAGTAAATGCAGTCCTTTCCTTCTGCCCCCTAAGTCTCTCTCTCTGGTATGTTAATCCACCCATCCAGACATCCACATGCCATAATAGGCAGGTTATGATCCCATTGTCAGCTGTCGTTTAAATTAGAGTTTTTAAACCTGTGTGTTTTCGGGTACCATCTTTCCTGTCTGGATTGGTATTTACGTCACTGTCCATGCTTCAGGACAGGTAATGTGAAGACAATGGCTGACCGGATTCTGACCATGAGATCTGAACTCAGGGCACGACTAGAAGCCCTCAAAACCCCTGGGACCTGGAACCACATCACTGATCAAATTGGCATGTTCAGCTTCACTGGGTTGAACCGTAAGTGGCCCCCACCACCTCCAGCCCATGCGTGCATGTAGACACACAACATTCCTTTCAGTCGCTCGCCTTGAGCTGAGCTCACTTTCACAGCCTTTGCCTAATTGGGCAGCCATTGCTTTGGACCAGGACAAGTTAGGTTTTCTTAGGGTGTCCCACCATCTCATAAACTCTCTGGGTCTCAGAAGAGTATTGTGGTCTGCCCTGCTGACCCACAGCCAAGATATTTCCGTGTTTGTGGGCTGGGAAGTGGCTCAGAGCCAGCTGGGAGGTAACAGGATTGGTAGCTGGGAGCCTTAATTTATGAAAGGTTCTTATAAATGCTCAGGTACATTTTGGGTTTGCCTTAATCCTGAATATAATGATTATTCAGGGAACTGATTTCTTGACAGGTCTTTCTTATTTCTAGGTATTATCCTCAAAAAGAGATTACAAAGTTATCTCTGCATTTCATAAACAAGAACCTAGATTGGGCTGGGCACAGTGGCTCACACCTGTAATCCCAACACTTTGGGAGGCTGAGGTGGGCAGATCACGAGATCAGGAGATCAAGACCATCCTGGCTAACATGGTGAAACCCCGTGTCTATTAAAAATACAAAAAAATTAGCCGGGCGTGGTGGCAGGCGCCTGTAGTCCCAGCTACTAGGGAGACTGAGGCAGGAGAATCACTTGAATCCAGGAGGCAGAGCTTGCAGTGAGTCGAGACCGCACCACTGCACTCCAGCCTGGGCGACAGAGCGAGACTCCGTCTCAAAAAAAAAAGAAAAGAACCTAGATTGGTGGTTGGAATTAAAAGCTGATTGAAAATCTAGTAGGTGGTCATGCATGGTCTTGGTCAATTGTCAGTAGGGCACATCTGCCATCTGCAGTCCCATCTGATGACAGAAGAGTCATTTCTTCTTTTTTTTTTTGAGATGGAGTCTTGCTCTGTTGCCCAGGCTGGAGTGCAGTGGTGTGATCTCGACTCACTGCAACCTCCGCCTCCCGGCTTCAGGTTATTCTCCTGCCTCAGCCTCCCGAGTAGCTGAGATTACAGGCGTCATTTCTTTAGTAATTCCCACAGTGCAGATGTGGCGACTCACCTGTGTGTCCCAGTGACTCTAGGGAGGGATGTGTGGCTGGCTTGGTTTGTAGGCAGAACGGCAGAGGCCGTGGGGAGGTATTTAACTGGGGCCATCACAGTGCCAGTGTGAAGTGGGCTCAGAAAAATCCAAAGGAAATAAATATAAATGGCAGTTAATAGAGCTTGTATTGTGGACCCCTCAAAATACTTTGGGGTAAAATGAAGCTACCTAAGAAAGTAAAGAAATAGCTCAGTTAGCTGTAGATGTCCTCTTGACTGAGGAACAGAGAATTAGTTCACTCACAATTATAAAAATATTACATGTAACAGAAATATTAATAGTCTTTAGTAGTAATAGTCTAAAAGCTCACAATATGGGAATGTCTCCCTGTAAAATATCCATATCTTCCCATTATCCACAGGAGGAAATTAGTTTTATTAATATCACGAATTGGAAAAATGATGAGAATAGAACTGTGCTTATAACACAAAAGTTATATTTTTAGCGCTTGGCATCATTTGCCCTTATTAAAAACAGGGGTTTTGTTTTCCTCCCAACTTTTTTTTTCTTTTTGAGACAGAGTCTTGCTCTGTTGCTCAGGCTGGAGTGCAGTGGCACAATCTTGGCTCACTGCAACCTCCACCTCCTGGATTCAAGCGATTCTCCTGCCTCAGCCTCTCAAGTAGCTGGGACTACAGGCATGAGCCACCACACCCAGCTAATTTTTGTATTTTTAGTAGAGACAGGGTTTCACCATGTTGACCAGGCTGGTCTCAAACTCCTGACCTTAAGTGATCTACCTGCCTTGGCCTCCCACAGTGCTGGGATTACAGGCGTGAGCCACTGTGCCTGGCCTTTTTTGTTTGTTTGTTTGTTTCAGACACGGTCTCGCTCTGTCACCCAGGGTGGAGTACAGCGGTGCAATCTCGGGCCACTGCAACTTCTGCCCCCTGGGCTCAGGTGATCATTCCACCTCAGTGTCCAAGTGGCTGGGACCACAGGCGTGAACCACCATGCCCGGCTAATTTTTTGTAGAAACGGGGTCTCACCATATTGCTCAGGCTGGTCTCAAACTCCTGAGCTCAAGTGATCTGCCCGCCTCGGTCTCCCAAGGTGCTGGGATTACAGGCATGAGCCACTGCACCTGGCCAGAAAAGTTTTAAACATACAGAAAAGTTGGAGGAATTGTACAGTGAACCCCTATATATCCGCCACCTAGTTTCTACAATTCTCACATTACAATACTTCCTTTGTTATCTTTTTTCTGTCAGAATGGGGCTTTTAACCTGGAATCCCTGGATGTACGTTTAGGAGAACTGTGAAGCCCCTGAAATGATGTTTAAAAAATTGTATATGTGTATTTTGGCCCTGCTCTAGGGAAAGAGTCCATAACTTTTACTAGCTTTTCAAACTGTGACACTTCCCTTCTCTGAAAAAGTAGAAAGGCCTCATTTTTACTAAAACAAAACCAAAAGCCAGGGTAGGAGTCATTTAATCACTGCCTCAGGGCACAGGCTTTTAGAAAGAGTGGCACACCCAGGGCTGTGTTGGCTTGAGGCTCTATCCCCTTGGGTGACCAATTCACACAGGTAAACCTCTTCTTAAGCTTGCTTTCTTTGTTCACTGGTTTGGAGGGGTCAAGGGAAAACTTACCCTTTGCCCTCTGAAAGTTTGCTGGAAATCAGCTGACAAGAGGCAGATTAATAGGAGAAAAGGCATACAAATTTATTTATTTATTTTTGAGTCAGAGTCTCACTCTGTTGCCCAGGCTGGAGTGCGGCGTCACAATCATGGCTTACTGTAGCCTCAACCTCCCAGGCCCAAGCAATCCACCCACCTCAGCCTTCGTAGTACCTGGGACCACAGGTGTGTGCCACCATGCCCGGCTAATTTTTAAGATTTTTTTGTAGAGACAGGGTCTCCTTATGATGCCCAGGCTGGTCGTCAACTCCTGGGCTCAAGCAATCCTCCCTCCTCAGCCTCCCAAAGTACTTGGATTACAGGCATGAGCCACTGTGCCTGGCCAGCATGCAAATTTATTAACTTGCACAGGTGTCTTACAAAATAGAACTCAAATAAATGGCCAGATGATTGATGCTTTTATACCATCTTGGGGTTATAGAAAGAATGGGAGCTTGGAGCTTGCCAGAACAGATTATGGCAGGCAGAGAAGAGAAGGCCTGGTTAGCAAAGGTGGTCTTGTTATATTATGTAGATAAGACAGGTAGCAGCCCTCGGAGAAAATAGCGGTAAAGGTCTATTTCTTTTAGACCTTTAAAGGCATCACACTCTCAGTTAATCTCCCCTAGATCTGGACAAGGGAGGGCCTCAGAGAAAGCCTAGCTGCAGCCATGCAGATTTTCTCTACAGATACAGATCTCTCCCACAAAAGACAGCTTTGCAGGGCTACTTCTGTATGTAGGCCCTCTCAACAGCCATCTCAAAATATGTCAAAGTATATTTTGGGGTGAACTATTTTGGTTTCCTTCAAGGAGCACTGAGTCCAGGGTCCAGATTTTTCACTTCCTTAGAGAGGCACTGTAGCATCACGGGGGCAGTGTACAGCCCAGACTTGAAATCCTGCCTGAAAATCCCACATCCACCATTGACCAGCTGTGCAATCTCGGAAGGCCATTTAATGTCTTTATGGCCTATCTGTAAAATGGGCATGATAAAGTTATTATCAGGATGAACTAAGATGCAGTGCTTAGAACACTGCCTGGCACATAGTGTTTACTCCTCTGATTATGATGATTCTATTATTATTCCATTTCCTCAGGTTGGTGGTATCTTAAAGGTACTAATTACTTAAGCAATAATTCACTAAAATTCTTTTTTTTTTTGAGACAGAGTCTCACTCTGTCACCCAGGCTGGAGTGCAGTGGTGTGATCTCGGCTCACTGCAACTTCCTCCTCTTGGGTTTCAAGCAATTCTCCTGCCTCAGCCTCCTGAGTAGCTGGGACCATAGGCACATGCCACCACGCCTGGCTAATTTTTGTATTTTTAGTAGAGACTGGGTCTCAGCATGTTGGCCAGGCTGGTCTCAAACTTCTGACCTCAGGTAATCCACCAGCCTCAGCCTCCTGAAGTGCTGGGATCACAGGCGTGAACCACTGTGCCCAGCCAAATTCACTAAAATTCTATCAATGGATTTGCCAAATAGCAAAACTGCTTTAGAGACTGCTGTATAAAGGAAGTACAGGTAGTCTCTTCTTACCCACATGTGATGCATTTCTGAAAACATGGAAAAACTACTGCATCTGAGAGAAAGCTGAGAAATGAACAGAAGTCTGATGGTGCCAGGTCAGAGAGGTCTGTGTCATTTCTCAGCTCATTGGTTAATTCACACAGGATTGATCAGGTACCTCATGCATGGGGCCTTACCCAATGTATTGTAAAAATGAAATGTCAAAGGGAGGCTGCCGCGGGTACTCAATGCAAGTCCAGGTTAGGGAAGAACTAAAGGAAGCACTTCATAGCCAGCATTTCATATCGCTGTCCGTCTGATGGTTGTTTTTAGGTGATAGGGGTGTCCTGGTGGATATAATGTATAAGGCTTGGTTGGAAGGCAATCTCAGATTAAAATTCCCATCAGTAGTAGCCATATTGAATTTTCTGGGGATTCAAAGGTGAACTAGTAAGAGTACTTTCCAGAATCTAGTGAGCATATTTTTCTGTTTGTCAGTTGGACAAAATAGCGCCTTTTGTTTTGCTTCTCTCTGTTAAGGGGAAAGAAGTAAAGCTGTAATTGTCATATAATTGCTGAGCCTCCACTGCTTTAAGGATCCCCTCTGCTCTGATTATGTCTTCTTTTGGTTTTCAACAGCCAAGCAGGTTGAGTATCTGGTCAATGAAAAGCACATCTACCTGCTGCCAAGTGGTCGAATCAACGTGAGTGGCTTAACCACCAAAAATCTAGATTACGTGGCCACCTCCATCCATGAAGCAGTCACCAAAATCCAGTGAAGAAACACCACCCGTCCAGTACCACCAAAGTAGTTCTCTGTCATGTGTGTTCCCTGCCTGCACAAACCTACATGTACATACCATGGATTAGAGACACTTGCAGGACTGAAAGGCTGCTCTGGTGAGGCAGCCTCTGTTTAAACCGGCCCCACATGAAGAGAACATCCCTTGAGACGAATTTGGAGACTGGGATTAGAGCCTTTGGAGGTCAAAGCAAATTAAGATTTTTATTTAAGAATAAAAGAGTACTTTGATCATGAGACATAGGTATCTTGTCCCTCTCACTAAAAAGGAGTGTTGTGTGTGGCGGCCACGTGCTTCTATGTGGTGTTTGACTCTGTACAAATTCTAGTCCCAAAGATCAAGTTGTCTGAAGGAGCCAAAGTGTGAATGTGGGTGTCGGCTGCGGCATTAAATTCATCATCTCAACCCAGAGTGTCTGGTCTCCCTGCTCTTTCTGCATGGTTGTGTCCCTAGTCCTAAGCTTTGGTTCTTTAGGGTGACTGTGGTAAGAAGGATATTTAATCATGACATGCACGGACACGTACATATTTAACTGAAACAAGTTTTACCAAACAGTATTTACTCGTGATGTGCGTAGTGCATTCTGATATTTTTGAGCCATTCTATTGTGTTCTACTTCACCTAAAAAAATAAAATAAAAATGTTGATCAAGACATGGAGTTGATTTTATGACCACTAATGGGTTGTGACCCACAGTTTAAAATGAATGCTTTAGAGGGTTTTACTAGTGGCTAAAGGAAAAACTACAATGTGTTCTTACAGTATAGCTTCCTTCAGTGAACTCACCATATAACTCCCTGGTGATTTTGCGGGCTTGTCATTTGGAGGCCAGCTGTCTTATGTTACTTAAGAAACTGGACTTCTTGGACTGTGAGAGGAGATGACATCACTCAGGTTGATTATAGAACATCAGCCCGTTCCCTGCTGTCAGAGTCCCTCCTGGTTTATTGAAACAGAACCACAAAAACATACATCACAATTTCCAGAGTCCAAGGGCCGCTCCAAATGGCCATTTTGTAGAATTTGGTGGGGTTTGATGTTACTTAACACAAGAGGTCTATTAATTGGAGTTTTTAAGTATTTAAAGTTAATTCTTGTGATTTTAATAGGATCTGCCACTTTCTAGGACTCATTTGGGTTGTTAGAAAATCCTGCAGTCCTGAGGGATGACTGGGGCCTCAGAAGTCATCAAGTCCTGCCTCTCCGCCAGTGAAATAGTCTCTCCATATTGTCTCTGACTCATCCATTTCAACTGGTGGGGTGGTAGTGGTGATGGATTCTTTAAATACCTGGTGAGGCATCCCCTTCTGCTGGTGGGGCCTCTTAATTAAAAAAAAAGAGGCTCATTTACCTTTTGCTCACGGTAAAAGTTCATCTACCTTGAACCAGAATTTGATCTTTGTTCCACTCCCCTGCCCCTCCTTTCCTTCCTTTAAACCACAGATAGTAAATCTACTGGCACTTCTAATCTACCACCTTTCAAATATTTGAAAGTAGCAGTTGTCATTCCTTGTTTACACTTTTCCACATGAACTGCCTCTCCCCCACCACTTTTGTTTCTGCACAGGATGTGGTTTCCAGATCCTTCCCTGTCTGGCTGGAGCCCCAGGAGTTCTTCAGAGGACACTCACTCTGCCAGTGTGTGGTTGGGCTGGTGGAAGTTCATGAGTGAATGTGATTAGATGCCCTCCCACCCATCTCTTCACAGCTTTCTGAACATATCAGTCTTTGTTCTCCTCCCAATGTAAAGATGCTTGTTGTTAGTAAGGGAAGGCAGCCAACAGAGAAGTCGAATGATTCTACCTTCTGTCAATCTGCCATTCTCTCCAAACGCTTTCAACCACTCATTCTCCATGGGGACGATACTGCCTCCATGGGGACGAAAATTGGCTCTCTGGGGCAAAAAAAAAAAAAGCCTGAAATACTAAAATGTTGCCTTCCAAAGTGCAATCCTACCTGACCATCTTATTAGTATTTAATTTCTCTTGTTAGGGAAAATTAAAATTTTCTCTTTAGGGGGCTGCCAAAACCATTAAAGATAAACACATCTTTAAATCTAAGTGACAGTACCAAAGTGCTCAAATGTTTTTAGCCTTGAAAAAAGCCCATCTCAATGGGAATCTGGCCTTCTTCTATTCCGACAGATATGTTGGTTGGTGTGGTTCCCACTGCGTTCACCTGAAAAAGGGCTGTGAGTTTGGGAAGCCGGCAGGACTCCTCAGGCCTCTGACATGCCAGTGAACTTCAGAGGTGGGATTGTTTCACCAATTTTGCTCACTCAAGAGCAGGGCACTCCAACCTCCAGGCTCTGCCAGTTCCCAGGTGTGTAACCGTGAGCAAGAAGACAGTAACCTTGCAGACAGTAACCCCTCCTCCACAGGGTGGTTGAGAAAGAAATGAGCTAATGGGTACTTAACAGAATACTTGGAACATAAAGCCCTTGGCAAAATAGTTGTTTCCATTATTTATTATTACCGTTAGTGAAATGAATAGCCTCTACTGAGGTTCCTGAGAAGAATCTTAAGAGGTTTTGGCATAGGCCCCTGATCCTCCTGTTTGCTTTGAGAAATGAGTAGTAGGTGTCAGATTTCAGCCTTCCTTCCACACAGGTATTATATGCCCAAACACATCTTCCCACCTGCCTGGCTGTTCCCTCCCTCCAGCATCGGCTTAAAACTGACCAACAGGCCTGGCCCATTCTTGTGTTCCGTTCCCTAGCCTTTGGTTGCAAACTGCCAGAGTCATGCCACTTGGACTCCTTTCTGAAGGTTCTGCAGAAGCGAGCTAGTGTGACCAACATTCTGTCTCAGGGGCTTGTCTGGGTTTAGCCCCCAAGACCCTGAATTTGGACGGCACCCAGCACAGCACCTCACCCATCACATGGGTTCAGCAAATGCCAGCCCTTCTCACTGTCGTCTTAGTTCCTTCCTCGTCTTTATGCATACTGGCTTCTCATTTGGGTTTTACTTCTCATTTCTGGCATTCACTCCTGCAAAATCTTACCATCTGGCCTCCCAAAGTAGTGTGCCAAGGCTTCCCCGTGACCTCACCGCAGCCTCACACCTGGCCCGGAGCGGCATGCCTCTTCAGGCAGGTGGTGCACAGGTGAGATCATCACACGTGGGCATCACTCAACCTGCATCTCAAATGAAGCCACGTCAGAAGATTCCAGGGGCAAGGAAAACAGCCACATTCCAGGAAAGGCATTTTCATTTTATTTAAAAATTATTTACAATTTATTAAGCCTTCATAAATGCTTTATTTTAAAATCTTTTTTTTAAACTTTTTTTTTAACCTGAAGAAAATCTTTGTGGGGTGGGGGTATATAGGGAGGGGAGTGGTGACAGGCTCCATAGGGATTTTGCAAAGGGATGGGTGTAATGCAACAGCAGTGGCTTGAGCCTGGTGGCCTCAGGTGATGAAGACCAGCCAGGCAGGCACCCCGGGGCCAGTGGTCAGCTGGGCAAGAAGCCTGCATGATGGTAGTTCTTGTTCAAAACTCACCATTTATTGGTTTGGGTCTAAGTACCCAACATTGAGGGCTGACACTTCGCCTGTTCCTACCAGGCAAGAGCAGGTGTTGGGACTGGATGACTGTGAAGTTATCTACGAGAAGTCATGCACTGCTGAGCCTCAGGCCAGGCCAGGCAAGGGGTGTGGTGAAGTCAATAATCATTGCTGGAAAAGGCTTCTCTAGCTCCAAAGTCTTTACTTCCACACGCTGTGGCCCTCCTGTCTGCAACACCTGCTCTGGGTTGTTGGGGAAGAGGGGACAAAGTTATGTGGGGGTGTTGGTTGTACAATACTCTAGGGTGTGCCGAGAATTTCTGAGGACTTCCACTTCTTGGTGGGTGCCAGCCTTCCCCATCAATTGATGGACATTTGAAAAGACCACTTATGATTAAAAACCTGTCTCGAACTGCCCAGTATCCACTTCACTCTGCATTGCAGAAACGCTGGGCTGAAAGTTCCACTATTTAAAATAGTAGTGTTTTTTTTTGTTTGTCTGTTTGTTTTAACTCTTTGTAGGTCTGAGACCTTTGAGAACCTTATGAAAGCTTTAATGCTCTGGAAAAAACATACAAGAATAAATACATTAAATACTGACAGTTTTAGGGGTTTCATAGACCCTCTGAAGTCCAACTATGGACCCCCTGGGGTGATGGACCCCAAGTTAAGAACCCCTGAGTTAACAGTTCCTGTGGGTAAGCATTTTCTTTTGAGATGCAGATAACCCAGAGGAATGATCAGTCTCCCTCCTGCCTGTGAATGACTCAATGGGTGTGGGGAGGTGGGAGGGAGGGTTTTGGAGGAAGGGGAGGGAAGCTGGATGGTATACTACGGGGAAAGGTTTGGGAATGGTTTGGAGATTTAGCAGACAGCACTCGATCAATGAGTTCAGTGAGTACTTGACTGAGAACATCTAAAGAGTAGGAGACAGATCAGAAAGGGAGATAGTTATTCTGAAGACAAATTTCACTTACTTCCAAGTTTTCCCTAAGGCTGGCTGTGGTTGCTTTTCTTTTCTTTTCTCTTTCTTTCTTTCTTTTTTTTTTTTGCGGGGGGAGACAGAGTCTCGCTCTGTTGCCTAGGATGAAGTGCAGTGGTGTGATCTCAGCTCACTGCAACCTCTGCCTCCCAGGTTCAAGCGATTCTCCTGCCTCAGCCTCCCGAGTAGCTGGGACTACATGCCCAGGAGAGATGGGGTTTCACCATGTTGGCCAGGCTGGTCTCAAACTCCTGACTTCAAGTGATCCACCCGCCTCGGTCTTCCAAACTGTTGGGATTACAGGTGTGAGCCACCGCGCCCGGCTTTGCGGTTGCTTTTCAGAACTGTTTTATTCTTGGAAGCAGGTATGCGCGGTCACTCTGCCATCTGGTGGTTATGCTTGGAATTGCACCTGCCCCAACTTCAGGAGAAAAACCAGAGATCCAGTAAGTTCTTGGAATAAAGTACACTCAGCTGATCTGCTAGGGTGTAGTAAGGGGGTGGGAGAAGGACAAATGCATGAAAAAGAAGAATGATTCTTCAACATTCCTGTGTAACTCCCACTGAAGTCCCATGAGATTATGTATCTTTCTTGGCTGACCTGGGCACTCTTTGGTTTGTCATGGCTAAACTTGCTTTCAGCACTTACAGTTTTTCCATGTAAGTTTTGTTTGTTTTTTGCTTTGATTTGCACTTAAGACCTGAAGTTCCATCTCTGGCTCCCAGTTGGGTCTCTCTGCTCCCTGTTCCTTCTCTTCCAGAGCAGAATTATTGATCGATTGAAGACTGCTGATTGGGAGCCAAAACAGATGTGTCCCTGGTAAAAACAGTGACTTGAGGTTCCATCTCACATTCTTTCCATTCCAGCTGAGACATACTGCCCCAGGCTGCTGGAACCCTTATCTAACAGGAAACCAGTCACTAACAGTTTTCTGTGCTGTAATGTCAATCACGCGCCAACATGGCTGAGTCCCACTTCTTTAAAGCTCTGGGGGAAATTCTTGGTCCATCCCCTGAACTAATCTTCAGACCTCCTACTCCAGCCTCCCATGTGCCTGTCTGCCAATGGCACCTTCTGAGCCAAGCTATGCATGAAATGTGTTAGAAAGTTAACATTTTGTTCTGGAGGAAAGAATGGCAAGTTCCAAGACGATAGGTCTCCTATGGCATCAGGGGACCCAAAGAACAAAGAAGAGCATCAGGGGTCCCAGAGTGGCATTGTCAGCTTGCAGTCAGACATCTCTTTTCCAGTCCCAGACTATGCTGTGGAAAAGACCATTTCTAGCATGTTCTATCAGAGGCACCTCCTTCTGTTATGGCCATGTCAAGGTTCTGAGTCGAACTGGAGGTAACGAGGGAAAATCTGCCAAACTGACAGCTAGGGGTGAAGAGATGGAAGGGAAGGCAGAACATTCTGTCACCTGTGGGAGGCCTTGGGGGAAGCAGATGATGGGAGGGTGGATTCTCCCCCAAAGCTCTGGAATTTCACACACCCAGTGAATGCTGGCTTTGCCCTGTCATGTGATCAGAGGTGTTAAATTGGAGTTGTCCTCAGAGGTTCTCTCTCCTTCTGGTGACCTCTTCCTTTTTTGGCCACCTGAAAAAAACAAGTTGCAAGTATCAGCCTGTAACACTGGAGGAACATTCATAATTGCTTGGCAGTCTGAGTTCTTTTCAAAACAGAAGCAGAAATGGAGACAAAGCCCTTGACAGCTTGGTTAGAACTAACCGGCATTGTATGCTGGTGCTGATATTGGCATATTTACATCTTGAAAGATTAGGACGTACTTTCCACATAAGATGCCATCTCTGAAAAGTCACAAACCCAGGCTGGTGCCTGGAATTGAGACTTCCTGGAGGGGACTGAGTAAAGCCCATGTAACACCTCAGGCCCATGCCTCCTGCGCCCCTTGGGGGCCAGCCCCTCTGACTGCCAGACACCCTCAGAGAGGACCAATCTCATAGACTTTGATGTCCCATGAATCAGGGTTGGTGGCTGTAGCTGCAAGCCATTTCCAGGGACCTGCGTTCTCTAGCTCTGAAGCAACCTCCCTTCTGCAGTGGGGCAGGTGGGCATAATTACATAGTTGTCCTCAAGGATGAGAGAGCAATCTGTTCCCAGGTCTGTTTTTAGGAAGGAATATCTTCACCTTGTTCTCTCCACCATTGACTTCCATCTGTGGAGGAGATTGCTCTCTTTCTATTGAGTCTCCTGGACACCAATTCTTTAAAGGACTAGACAGAAAATATTAGAGGCCTGTGGGCCATATGGTCTCTGTCACAATTACTCGACTCTGACATTGTTGCCATAGATAACAAATGGATCTGTCTGTGATCCAATAAGTCCTTACTTACAAAAACAAGTAAAGGAGGGAGGTCAGAATTGACCTGTGGGCATGGTGTGCAGACTTCTGTCCTAGAGGACAAACAACTGAATGGGACAGATCCCAAAACTATCAAGGGTGCAGTGCTGGCCCAACCCCTTCTGCGGATTTCCACAATTGTACCTCATTAGGGTTTCTAAGAGGAGTCCATGGCTCCTCCCCCAAGAGGAAGATGCTAACATGCTTTTCCTACTAACCATCAGCAGGGTGGCTCTCATTTGGGTGAAGAACTAGCTACTCACTCAAGGTTCTCAGCAGCTTCTTGCCCACGTTTTCCTCAAAATCGCTACTGCAGGGGCTGGTCTCTGTATCCAGGTTGATGTTACAACATTCACTATCTGATGCTGAGAAAGGAAAGGAGAGAACTCAAGTTGTCTCAACCTACACACTCAGGCATCAAGAGAGGGTGATTCTGAGTGATGACATCCCTCAGCAAGTGAAGTTTAAGACGTGAGCCAAGGTGAGGGTGGTGTAACAAGGCAGGGACGCCCAGGGAAGTACAGGGTGTCATTAGTTAGCAAGAGGCATTTTAGTGCCACAAAAGGAACAAAAAGATGGAGAACAGGAGCCGGAATCCAACGATCCATGCAAAGTCAGAAATCATTCCCTCTTCTCAAACACTGTTTGGCAAGAGAGAGGGTTTAGAGAACAATGTGTTCTCCACCCAGTCTATTTGCCAGACTAAAAGCACACGTGAGGATAGGTGGAGGTCTCCTTGGTATATTTGCACAAACCCTGGAAAGCCACAGGGTTCAACAACAATGCCCCTGTCTTCTCCCGCAGGACTCAATGGGAATTCAAAGAGTTACAGAATCTGAGAGCCCAGAAGGGGCCAAGCCTTACCACCAATGCAAATAAAAACCTAAGGCAGAGCGGTGTGTTGGAAATGGCACTGCACTGAAGCCATGAGGCTGAGCCTGCTTCTGATGCAGTTTTTGGACTTGAGCAAGTTATTTCCCTTCTCTAGGCCTCCAGGGTCCTCAAATGTCACAGGACGAGGGTGGACTAGATGATCTCCAAGACCACTCCATCGCCTTCATTCTTATTCCTTTGTTACATTTTCTTGCTATGTGCTTTAGCTACTAGATTTGGTGTTGGGGGCAGAAAAGGAACATCAGTTCTAAATTCAGGTCCTGGAACAGTGACTATGTATGTCCCAGATTTTCTGGGTCAGCCACAAGTTCAAACATATTGTCTTGTTGACTTTAAATTTTTTTTTTTTTTTTTTTTTTTGAGATGGAATCTCACTCTGTCACCCAGGCTAGAGTGCAATGGCGCCATCTCGCCTCACTGCAACCTCAGCTTCCCAGGTTCAAGCGATTCTCCTGCCTCAGCCTTCCGAGTAGCTGGGATTACAGGCACCCACCACCACACCCGGCTAATTTTTGTTTTTTTTAGTAGAGACAGGGTTTCACCATGTTGGTCAGACTGGTCTCGAACCCCTAGCCTTAGGTGATCCGCCTGCCTGGGCCTCCCAAAGTGCTGGGATTACAGGCATGAGCCACCGTGCCCGGCCAACTTTAAAAATCTTGGAGCACTTTTTCAGGTTGTTGCTCTGGACTTGAGAGGTCTTATACTATGGACTGAAGTAGGTCTGACAGGTCGGGTGGGGGAACTGCTGGCTTGGGTGCAGGCATAGGGGGCTACTGAAAGCTTGGGGAATACATCTTAGTGAGGCAAACACAGAAGCTTCTCAAGACTGCTGGGACCCTGGGAGCTCAGAGCAACACCACTGTCAAGGCAGAAGTGTTCAGTGTCTCAGAGGGAGGTGATATGGTCTTAGACCTCAGGAAAAGTCTTATAGGCTACACCTTTGGTCAAAACCACAGCTAGTTAGAATGATGGCTGACATCAGTTTCCTAATCTGTAAGGTAGGCCTAATAATAGCTATGTAACATTTATAAAGCATGGTACTGAACACTGTAATATGCCTTTTATGTATGTTATCTCATTTATACTCAAAGCTACTTTATAAGATAGCTGTCATAATTTATACCTATTAACATAAGGATACTTATCCATTCAGATAAAAAAAACTGAGTCTTAGGTTCAATAACTTGCCTAAAATTGCATAACTCCTAAACGAAGGAGCCAGGGTCTGAATCCAGGCAGAAACCCAACTCCTAATACTGCCCTACACAGTTTTCCTAGGAGAATGAATCAGACAGGGCCTGATGCATGGTAGATGCTCAGTAAATGTTTCCTTTCCCTGGCTGTGTAAGGAGGTCGGAGGTTTAACGCACGGGCTGCGGTCCCAGGGCTCCCCTCAGCCAGCTTTCCCTGGGCCATCCCAGTGCCCAAAGGCAATGATCTCCCTTGCTGCACTGGGCCCAGCTGGCCTCCCTGACCTGCTCTCGTGGGAACGGCTGCAGGAGACAGCGTGAGCTGCTGTGTGCTGTGCTCCTCGAAGTCAGTCATTTCTTCCTGGGTGAAGGCCAGCTCCTCCATCCTCAGGTACACTACCTCGCTGGGGCTTCTCAGCCCGTCTGAGCGGCTGCCTGGGGAGGACAGTGAGTGCATCACCTCTCTGCTTTGGAGAAGACCCAGGGCTCAGGTGGTGTGAGCCCTGGGAAGGGCTAGAAGAGGAAGGCAGGGTCATCCTCACCCCACACCAGCCCAGCCTGCCCGTCTGCCCAGCTGACTTACACGGCAGGCTGTTCCTGTTGTTGAGGAGCGTGATGGCGGGGTCATCCTTAGGGGTCTGGGGTGTGCCCCGGGTTGTGGGGGCCTTAGTGGAGTCCCCGTCTGTGAAGGCCTCCATGTCAGGGGACTGAGGTGAGCTGTCCATGTGGCAGGCAGTGAGTGCGTTCTGATATTGCTGCCGTGTGATCTGGAAGGAAGAGGGCAGGAGCTTAGGAGCAGCTAGGCAGAGACCACCCGGATGCAGCCAGCCTTCCCAGGCTCGGGGGCAGCCTCGCTGGGGTGCTTGGAACCCTCGGCCTCTGAGGCCTGAGATCCACGAATGGGGGCCTTACCCACGCTGTAGCAGTCCAGCAGGGACAGTGAGGCGGCCCTTTGCTGGTCTGCCACCAGCTCCCACTGTTCATTTTTATTGGCACCTGGAAGAGCCAAGCCTTCTGAGACCCTGGAGAGGATGGAGGGCATCTTCTGAGAGCAGGGTGGTTGCCCATGGAGAAGTTTAAAACACCCATTTATACTATTGCCAAAGGCCCAAAGGGTCAGTCGGGGGTGACTTGGTGAGAATAAGGTAGGACTCCAGCAGGGAAGCTCTCATGCCCTAGGTCTCAGTGTCGGGAAGCTGGAGGCTAAGGCCTGAGAGAACACAGGCATTTCTGATTTGGACTAAGCCCATCCCTGGATGTAGGGTCATGCTCCTATGCTGGCTGGGACCACAGCAGGGAGGTTTCCCAGCTGTCTCCTCAAATCACAGGAGTCAGACTTGTGACTTTCCTGATGTGTCAAACACCCACAACTGAAGGCATCCGGAGGGTCAGGCTGCAGCCAGACCAGACAGGAGTCTCCACGATTCCAGGCAGGAAAAATATGGATCAAATATCTCTTCTAAAAGGCAGGAGGGTGTCTCTGTCACCCCTGTTCTCTGGGTGTACATAACAGACTGGCACTGTGAATCCTTGCTAGCAGTGAAAACAGACTAGGTTGTGTGCCACCCAGTACAGGAATGTGAAACCACTCATCAGCGGCTGGCACTGGGGGAAGAAGGGAAATGGTACATGGCATAATATCCTTCCCAATCATACCATCTCCTAAAGCGTTTTCATCCCTCCTTCACTGCATTAGCGCTAGTGAACGGACAAAACCACAAATTCTGCTCATTTTGCCTTCTCTTTCCTTTGGGGCAGAATTGGTATTACACGTTGAAAGAGAAAAGATTTCTGCTGGAAATAGGAGAGGGGATGGTTAAGGCTGACATGTTGGGAAAGAGAGTAGGCTTGAAGTTGGCTTTGTATCCGGCAAGGTCTCAACAGTGGCTCCTTGTCAACTACTGACAAGACGCATTATTTTACTGGACACGATCAATCCTTTCTTTAACCAACTTCAGGATATTTTGCAAGAGAACCAAGCAAATTCTAAGCACAACCAATCGAATCACAAAACACCAGTTAAGAATACGTGCCTTTTTGCAGAGCATATGGGACACATACATGCAGAGATTCCAGGCTTCTAGTTATACTACTGCCCATTTGAGTGGGCAAATAGAGTTTTCTCTTGATGGTTTAAATCAGTGATTCTCAAACCTCAGCATCAGAATTATCTGAAGGACTTGTTAAAACAAGATTTTTGGGTTTAACTCTCAGAGTTTCTAATTTACTAGGTCTGGGGTGGAGACTGAGAATTTGCATTTTTAGCAAGTTCCTGTGTTCCTGGTGCTGCTAGTCTGGAGATCACACTTTGAGAACTGCTGACTTAAGACCTAGTTAAAATTAGTTACAGGTACTACTCAGGTTTTGGTTTTTTTCTTCTAAAGGATTTTACAGGACAAAGCAGCAAAGTGTTAACAACTGGCTTCGATATTTTTCAGGTCAAAATGGTATATTCCATGCTTTATGGCATGGAACCACAGGTCTCCACTTAGCATTTATCCAAAGTCTTCAATCGATTCAATGTTCTTGTTGAAAACACCTGACTTTTGCAATTCCCTCTGTTGGGAAGTGAGAAGTCACGTTCCAAAATTTCCCCCAAAGATGAGGAAATTTGGCTCTAACACCAAAGGATGGGAAAATTCCCTAAATGACACTTGGTAAGCCCAGTAAAGCAGTTGATCTTACTCTGTTTGGGTTCTTTAGTTATTTAGATTTGGCTTCTAGTTTAGTCAAAGGCCAAATGTCCCTTCACCTAAGAAATATGGCAGGAAACACAGTGCCAAGAACTGAAGTTCAAGTCCCAATTTTGCCACTTTCAAGCTGGGAGACCTTGGCCAAATACATATACATTTTTAATCAGCCAATGGGCAAATGAATACACTGGCCACATTGTTAACCTCTCTGATCTTATAAAAGAGGCCCAGAGATAATGAGATAACATGAGTGAATCCATTATATGAAACTGTTAGGAATGGTTGTTTAAAACATGCCCACATGCATGTCTCACCATTTGACTTTATAATGGGCATACATTTCAAAGACAGCTGTCAAGCTTACCATCTCATTA